>NC_000005.10:154859371-155159689 GCF_000001405.40 Homo sapiens | reverse complement strand
CCCTTTGAAAACTGGCACAAGACAGGGATGCCCTCTCTCACCACTCCTATTCAACATAGTGTTGGAAGTTCTGGCCAGGGCAATCAGGCAGGAGAACGAAATAAAGGGTATTCAATTAGGAAAAGAGGATGTCAAATTGTCCCTGTTTGCAGATGACATGATTGTATATCTAGAAAACCCCATTGTCTGACCCAAAATCTCCTTAAGCTGACAGGCAACTTCAGCAAAGTCTCAGGATACAAAATCAATGTACAAAAATCACAAGCATACTTATACACCAATAACAGACAAACAGCCAAATCG
Organism: Homo sapiens; assembly: GCF_000001405.40. Taxonomy (NCBI): domain Eukaryota; kingdom Metazoa; phylum Chordata; class Mammalia; order Primates; family Hominidae; genus Homo; species Homo sapiens. The sequence goes on along the minus strand of NC_000005.10, from coordinate 155,159,386 downwards.
TGAGTGAACTCCCATTCACAATTGCTTCAAAGAGAATAAAATACTTAGGAATCCAACTTACAAGGGATGTGAAGGACCTCTTCAAGGAGAACTACAAACCACTGCTCAATGAAATAAAAGAGGATACAAACAAATGGAAGAACGTTCCATGCTCATGGGTAGGAAGGATCAATATCGTGAAAATGGCCATACTGCCCAAGGGAATTTACAGATTCAATGCCATCCCCATCAAACTACCAATGACTTTCTTCACAGAATTGGAAAAAACTACTTTAAAGTTCATATGGAACCAAAAAAGAGCCCACATCGCCAAGTCAATCCTAAGCCAAAAGAACAAAGCTGGAGGCATCACGCTACCTGACTTCAAACTATACTACAAGGCTACAGTAACCAAAACAGCATGGTACTGGTACCAAAACAGAGATATAGACCAATGGAACAAAACAGAGCCCTCAGAAATAATGCCGCATATCTACAACCATCTGATCTTTGACAAACCTGACAAAAACAAGCAATGGGGAAAGGATTCCCTATTTAATAAATGGTGCTGGGAAAACTGGCTAGCCATATATAGAAAGCTGAAACTGGATCCCTTCCTTACACCTTATACAAAAAGTAATTCAAGATGGATTAAAGACTTAAATATTAGACCTAAAACCATAAAAACCCTAGAAGAAAACCTAGGCAATACCATTCAGGACATAGGCATGGGCAAGGACATTCATGTCTAAAACACCAAAAGCAATGGCAACAAAAGCCAAAATTGACAAATGGGATCTAATTAAACTAAAGAGCTTCTGCACAGCAAAAGAAACTACCCTCAGAGTGAACAGGCAAACTACAGAATGGGAGAAAATTTTTGCAATCTACTCATCTGACAAAGGGCTAATATCCAAAATCTACAAAGAACTCAAACAAATTTACAAGAAAAAAACAAACAACCCCATCAAAAAGTGGGCAGAGGATGTGAACAGACACTTCTCAAAAGAAGACATTTATGCAGCCAAAAGACACATGAAAAAATGCTCATCATCACTGGCCATCAGAGAAATGCAAGTCAAAACCACAATGAGATACCATCTCACACCAGTTAGAATGGCGATCATTAAAAAGTCAGGAAACAACAGGTGCTGGAGAGGATGTGGATGTGGAGAAATAGGAACACTTTTACACTGTTGGTGGGACTGTAAACTACTTCAACCATTGTGGAAGTCAGTGTGGCAATTCCTCAGGGATCTAGAACTAGAAATACCATTTGACCCAGCAATCCCATCACTGGGTATATACCCAAAGGATTATAAATCATGCTGCTATAAAGACACATGCACACGTACGTTCACTGTGGCACTATTCACAATAGCAAAGACTTGCAACCAACCCAAATGTCCAACAATGATAGACTGGATTAAGAAAATGTGGCACATATACACCATGGAATACTATGCAGCCATAAAAAATGATGAGTTCATGTCCTTTGTAGGGACATGGATGAAGCTGGAAACCATCATTCTCAGCAAACTATCGCAAGGACAAAAAACCAAACACCGCATGTTCTCACTCATAGGTGGGAATTGAACAATGAGAACACATGGACACAGGAAGGGGAACATCACACACCGGGGCCTGTTGTGGGGTAGGGGGAGGGGGGAGGGATATCATTAGGAGATATATCTAATATTAAATGACGAGTTAATGGGTGCATCACACCAACCTGGCACATGTATACATATGTAACTAACCTGCACATTGTGCACATGTACCCTAAAACTTAAAGTATAATAAACAAAAAAAAGAAAAATAAATAAATTTAAAAATAAAATAAAATCATTCAGCCAATAAATGCAGAGCCAAAATGCAAGTGCCAAGTAGTAACTCTTAAATAACGAACATATTTTCTTAAAGGCAGATTATCATGCAGGTAGAGCAACTACATAAATGCATAAGTTATGTTGTGATATGTGCTTTAAATCAATTATGAAAGGAACAATATTGCTAGCATCAATTTCCCAATAAAGCCTTACTAACCTCTTATAGACAATCAGTGTTCTGTATAAACCTTGTACTACTCCACAATAACTCAGAAAGTTTGTTAAACATCTAGATTCTCAGACCCCACTTTCCAGGAGTTCTATTCCACTCATATGGCATGAAGTTCAGCACCATACATTTTTATTAAGCACCTGTGTGTTGCTTGATACAGCTGGTATGACTGACCCATGAATCTAGCACTGAGAAATCTTGAAAGAAGTAATCAGTGTGGGGTCCTGATCTTGAGATGGGGTTCTGTTTCTTCTGGCTCTTCAACTCACTTTTTGCATGACTCTGATTAATTATTTTACTGACACTCTGTGTTACAATCTTGAAGTGAAGGAGGATGAAGTAGGTTATCTAACTGCCACCACATACCCTTCTCACCAAGGTGCTACTCCAGGAGGACCAAAAAAACTTATCTCACATGCTCACAATCTCAATTCGCAGTGCCTTCTTGAAGCTTTGTGCTGGGAAGGATTCCGAGGTGCTATTTCACATTGGTGGACAAAATATGATAATTCAGAGATGTGTGTCATGAGTGCGTGAAGGGGACTGAAAACATGCGCTCCATGTGTGTGAAGTCTCAACATAACTACACAGATCTATTTTTTCTTGCTCAAACAAACCATTCCTTTACTTATACTGTCCCCTTAACTTTACTGAAATTATCCCTCTAGTTTAACTTTAAAGACTTCATAAATACTTTCTTGTCACCCCTTTCCACATCTCAATTTTTATGCTTCTAATAAGTAGTTGTTCCATTCTGCCTTGTAACATGGGTAGTAGCTTATCTCCACCTCTCTCTTCCTCAAAAGAAAGAAAGGTCACTGAATTGTTGTGAAGCCTTAGTAAAATAACAAATCTAGAATGCTTGTCACATGGTATATATGTGACTATTATTTATCACAGCCCATTCAGCTCTAAAATTCTAAACTTTCAGCATAGACATTACTAAACATTGATGATGGGTGCAATAGATAAAGATACTTGAGTTGAAGCATCAACTCAGCATCTTGGGCAGCTTGTGAGACTTTCTGGCATTCCTTCTGCAATTCTGATGCAACCTACAATATTCTCCAGCCCCACCTCTCTGTAAGGATAATTTAAGGGCTTTCTTCTTATAAATACGAGCTCTGTTAGTCTACAGAAAGGGGGATATCCTTTCCTAATTAGCTGATCTCACTGCAGTATATCAATGAAGTTAAGAGTCCAGGCTCTGGGTTAGATGCCTTGATTTTGAATCCTGGCTCCCTACTTACCAGCTGTGTGACATTACACAAATTGTGTAGTATCTTAGTGCCTCATTATCTCCTCTGTTAAATGAGAACAGTTATAGTACCTGCTTCATAGAATGTTAGTGAACACAAAAATATATTCTCTACATATAGTGTTTAGAACAGCCTAGCACATAGCAAGCCCTCAGCAAATATTAGCTGTTAGCTATTAGTGGCTACCTTGAGGCCTTAGAACTGGTTCTATCCTAGGTCTGCCATAGATTCATGTGACCTCAGGAAAGGCCCTTTATTTCTCAACTGTGAAATAAGAGAGTTGGAACAGAGCAGATGTTTCTAAAGTAGGATTCACAAAACCGGAAATCTTTCTTTTTTTCCCATTTAACTTTTGTTCCTTTTGTTTAGTCATCCTTGGGTGTTGTCAAGACCCAGACTTTGGGGAGTTTGAGGATTCTGGACTGAAACCTCAGCCTTCAGCTCAGGCTCCCTGACTTCAGTGGCCTAAATTTTAGATGACTCAAAACAAGCATGAGGTTCTCAGCATCCCTCCAGCCCAGGTTTTCTGAGCCTTCCTCGGGCCTAACTGCAACCCCAATACCAATTTATACAGAAGAGGCCTTTAGAAAAGGGAAGGAGGCATGAGGCACCAGCATTTCCAGGCCATTGCCCTGCTCGATGCTATCCATCAAGATCTTCCTCGGTCTCTGCAGTCATTCATTTCAATAACACTAGATTGTCCCTTCAAGTGGTTGGATGGCTTGCATATTTCAGTTTTCTATTGCACCTTTCTTACTGAGGGTTCCCTAAACCAAGGCATGGAGCTCTGACTCCCTCTGTACAAACCTGCTTATGAGTTTTTCCTCTAATCCCCAGCATCTTTGCCTAAGTGCTTCTAGAAGTGTTAGGAATCCAAACAGCTTCCTGGCTGACTGCAGCTTCTAACATGAGATCATGGCTTTAAATCTCAAAATCACAGTATACCTAGTTATTAATAGCAGGGGATTTCAGCTCAACACAATGCTTTGGTAGACTGCCAGCAATCCAAGTTTAACATTCTCCAAGGTGTGAAATTAAAAGAAAAAAAAATACTTAAAGGCTGAGCATTTCTGTTTCATTTGAACTAGAGTTTTAACTCCTTCTCTACATCTTCCATTAGCTGTAAGATTACTGTACAGGTAATCAATTTTTTGAGGGCTCCTAGGGAAAATGACTATATCTTATTCATCTTTTTAGCCTTAGTGACTAGTATATAAGACTTGAAGTAGATTGCATTATTGTTCAATAATATTTACTTCCTCCTCTTGACTCCCATAGAAGGACCATATATCTCTGTTTCATTGATATTGGGCTCAGCCATGTGTCTTTGCTTTGGCCAAAAGGATGTTAGCAAATGTAATGCAGCAGAGGCTTAAAATGTGCTTATGCAGTTGAACCTGCTTTCTTGGACCTCTGCCATAACTATGAGAAGAAAATTTCTAGGCTAACACACTGGTCCCAGAAGGAGAATAAGAAATATGGTGAGCAAAGCTCAACAGCTCCTGCTGAGCCTCAATTAGATCAACCAACTCCCAGTTAACCCAACTCATAAGCTAAATAAATGCCTATTGTCTTATGCCACTGAGATTTAAAAGCCATGGTGTTACCGCACATTGTATCGCAAACCAATAGAGGTCTCAATCGATGAGTGAATAAATGAACAAGCATTAAGACTGCAGAATTTCCATACACCAATTCTTTATTTCCTGGAAAGCAATAAGAGAGAAATCAGGTCATTCATCACTAGAGAAGTATTCTAATACCTGTTTCTTTTTCTATTGGGGATGATGGCATAAGAATGCCATGACCACATTTAAAAGTTAGTAGACATCACCTACAATTTGTTGTTACTCAACACCAGGTTAAAAACAACATTTTCCAATTTTGTTATATACCCTCTCTTCTTCCCTGACCTTGTCTCCATCTCACAGATAAGAAAACTACCTTTTTTGAGAAGGGCAAAACTGTCCTGAAGTCACACTGTGCTGGGGAAAAATCTAACTTCCGCTGTAATAAAACTCTTCAGAATTTATAAGAATCAAGAATTCCCTATAAGCATATAATTGAACTTGTTTTTACTGCCATGGCAGAACTGGACTGAAAATTAAAAATTCATTCCATAGTGCAGTTTATAGAAGCTATGTTTCAGCTACTTGGAAAAGGTTCCAAATCCACTCAATTTAGCAAACATAAGAACACAAAAATGACCAAACCAGGTCAGATCCCTAGTACCCTTCAGCACAGAGTTCTTTGACAGTTGAAAAAACAAAGTTATCCTTGATGAAAAATTAGGTTGCAAGCAAGAGACCCCTTGTTGCCCTTAATAAATCAGCCTAGATATATCATTCAAGTAAGCTTCTGATATAATTAACTGGTACCAGACTTGCCCTATGCCACCAAAAAAAAAAAAAAACATGTTAAAGTAGGCAAATAAAGGAAGCCACTGTTTTCAGGCATCAGAGCAACCTGCCTGGGGATAGCTTCCCAACTAAGGCATAGTGAGCTGAAGTCCAAGCAGAGAACATTGGTCCTGCTAAGTGGCAAAGATCAAAGTTTGGGGCAGCTAAAACAGCTGGGAACCATGGGACAGGGCACTGGAGAGAAGAGAACTATAACAGAGGGGCACCTCAGAAGTTCATTTTGGAGTTCCCCAAAAGTCCTAGTCCAAGAGCTAGGCTCACATGCACAGGATGAGACTGCATGAGGCTTATCAAAGACTGTTGGCTGTGAGCTGGATAATGAAACAGACACTAGAGAGCAAGTGGTCCTAGAGAGCATGGGAAGTTTAGCCCAACCTGAGTGGAAAGACTTTATTAACACCTTGTTAATTATTAATTTATTAACACCTTATTAATTCCTCAGGCAGTAAGTTGACATATCGGAAAGACTTCCTCTTAGGATTAAGGACCATGTGCTAGAATAAGATCTACTCTAGACCTACCTTAGCCTTAATCTAAGCTCTGACAAAAGCCACAGAGAAAACAGTTTAGAAGTTCAGTCCCACCAAATTAGAGGGCCTTCTGAACCATCTCAGACTTTCCACAGATATGGCATAACAAGATATAAACACAAAACTACACAATCATTAGGTGTCCATCCAGTAATTGAACTGTGTACTAAACAAAAATAAGTCATCTTCAGAGGAAGATTACAGAATCCAGTGTCTCTACAACATATTATCGATGAGTAGTACACAATAAAATATAAACGGTGGGGGTAAAAACAGAAAAGTGTAACTATAGCAAAGTAAAGAAACAGTCAAGAGAAACTGACACCTAGGTATTTACCCAATAGAAATGAAAACCTATACACAAAAATCTATACCTGATGTTTAAAGCAGCCCTATTAATCATCATCCAAACTGAAAACAATTCAAATGTCCTTCAGTGGGTGAATGGATAAACAAACTATAGCATATCTATACAATGAAATGTCACACAGCAATAAGAAACTACTGGATACTTATAACAGGGATGACTCTCAAAGGCATTATGCTGAGAGAAACAAATCAGTCTCAAAAAGTCGTATATTGCATAGTCCCATTTGGAAAAGGGCAAAAATATAGCTACAGAAAACAGAGTAGTGGCTACCAAAGTTCAAGAGTAAGGAGGGCTTAACTACAAAGGGGCAGCACAAATGAGTGTTCAGCAATGATGAAACTGTTGGCCAGGCATAGTGGCTCACGCCTGTAATCCCAGCACTTTGGGAGGCCGAGGCTAGTGGATCACCTGAGGTCTGGAGTTCAAGACTAGCCTGGCCCATGTGGTGAAACCCTCTCTACCAAAAATACAAAAATTAGCTGGATGCGGTGGCGGGCGCCTGTAATCCCAGCTACTCAGGAGGCTGAGGCAGGAGAATCGCTTGAACCCAGGAGGCAGAGGTTGCAGTGAGCTGAGATCGTGCCACTGCGCTCCAACCTGGGCGAGAGAGTAAGACTCAGTCTGAAAAAGAAAAGAAAAGAAAAGAAAAACTGTGCTGTATCCTGATTGTGTGGTGGTCACACAAATCTATAAATGTGCTAAAACTTATAGAACACCAATAAAGTAAGTTTTACTGTATGTTAATGTTTTTTAAAAGTCTGAAACAGGAGGCAAATTAAATATTATAAACATTTTTACTCTAATAAATTCAATAACAAAAACTTATACTTCTGAACTAATCAAAAAATGGCCAAAGGATATGAACAGACAATTTACAGAAAAGGAAACACAAATTGACTTAAACATATGAAGAAATGTTCAACCCCCTTTTTCATTCACTAGATTGGCAAAGATCTAAGACTAAGAATATATCATGTTGGTATTTGGGGTCAATAGTCACTCTAACACATTTCTGGTAGAAGGTAAATTGGTATAACTCTAATGAAGGGAAAATTGGCAAGATCTAACAAAATGTTTAAAAAATGATATGCCATTTCACTCAGCAAGTCTACTTTTAAAAATTTATCCTACAGATATATTTGAACATGTATCAAATGACCTAGGAGCCAAATTATTTACTAAAGCCTTGTTTTTATTAGTGAAAATGTGGGGGACAACCTAAATTTCCATTAACAACAGATTGGCTAGACCAAGTGTGACACATATAGGTATATAAAGATGTAGATATAAGTACATAATGGAATACGATGCAGCCATTAAAATGAAAGCGACAGCTTTCTTGTTCTGAAATGAAATACAATTAAGTGAAGATTGTTATATGAAAAATGTAAGGCAAAAAACACTCTGCAGTAAGCTGCTGTGTAAAATAAAAATAGAAAAAAAGACCCATAAAATACTATAATTGGCATAAAATGTCTTTAGAAAGATACACGAGAAACTGATTAAATTGGTTGCCCCTGCTGAGGGGCCTAGATGGCTGGGGAACTGAGGACAAGAGGAAGGCATTTCACTATACATCCATTTGTTCCTTTTAAATGTTGATCCATGTGATTGAATGACTCATTTTTAAATAAATGAAAATTTTAATCCATCAGAACCTTTTGGGAAACTATGTGTTCGGGCCTAGGTTATTTGAAATTAATCCTTTCCTTACTGAAAGTGTTCACTGTGCTACAGTGATCTGTCCCACAAAACAGGGACCAAGAAAAACCTAATCCTACCAACTACACCTCTCCTGGTTATAGCACTGTGACTCAGAGCCAAGCAAGAACATAACCAAGTACAAAAGAATCCCTCACTTCAAAGACACACATGCAGTGCCCATTTTTTCCATAAAATTGTATTTTTTAAATAAGTCTTTAAAAAGGCTTATTTTCCCATTTTTTAATTAACCTGTGAAAGATTAATCATACCTTTTGATGGAGGTAACAGCCACTTAAAGAGTCCAATATGAAGGATTTAGTATGAGCCCCTAAATTTTGCCCCAAAACATCTACTCTTGGTATATGTTGACACCTAAAATTTTTAGAATCATAGTAATAGAAATAATAACGATGACTAAAATTATTGAGCTCTTATCATGGGCTTAGTATACATGCTAGGTGCTTTGCTATGCCCTTTACGTGAATCATCTCAATTTCAGCCTCAGTTACAACTCTTTGAGGTTGTGCAGCATTTTAGGTAGATCACAGATGGCAGAAAAGAAAGATAAACACAGGTAAGTACACAGGCACATATGCACGCACACACACCACTTTTTATATGAGAAAACTGAGACTTAGAGAAGTTGCCCTGCCTAAGGTGACTCATCTCACTAGCGGTAGACCCTAGATTCCCAGGTTCAACTATGGGCAGCCTTACTCCAAAGCACATGCTCAACCACTTACCCAAGACCATCTCTAACTGCAGAATCTGCACAGGAGAAAGCCTTGAGGCCACCTAGTTAACGCTCCCCGTCACTACATGGACACACTCTACAACATGCTGACAGGAAGTTACCCAACTCTGCTGAGTGACAGGAAGCTCACAGTCTCCTGAGACAGCCCATTCCATCGCAAGATATCTCTAATTCTCCACAGAGGTCAAACTGTCTGCTTCCCTGACACTTCCTCCCTCTCTTGCAGAGTGACACACAATAGGTGTCTAAGTCTTCACAAGACAGCCCTTCCACTCTAGGGAGTTGGCTCTCCTGCCTTCTCTCTGTCTCTCTTCCTTGGGCTTGGTTTTTAGACTCTTCCTGTAGGAAGGCTCCAAGATTCTTCAAGAGACAAAAGGCCCTCTTTGGTTTTTTATTTTATAAATAAAATATTTTATGATCTCTTTGTTTTTTTACTTTATAAATCGACTTTATTGCGGTATAACTTACATAAAACAAATAGCACAGACTTTACGTGTTACAATGTGATGAGTTTTAACAACACATACACACCATACCTATGAAACCCACACCCAGATAAAATTACAGAATATCCCCATCACCTCAGAAAGTTCCCTGGTGTCCTTTCCCAGAGAACACCCCGTAGAGAGCCACTGATCTGATTTCTATCACCATAGATGAGTTTTTCCTATCATCACACAGTAAGCACTCTTTTGTCTCTGGCTTCTTTAACTCAGCATAATGTTTTTGAGATTCATTCATGTTGTTATAAATTACAGTACAGATACTCTTCCACTTACAATGGAATTACATCCCAGTAAATCCTTCGAAGTAAGTCAAAATATGCGTGGCTGATGGAGCTGCAGCTCACCACCACTGCCCGGACTCTCGAGAGAAGTACAGTTTCTACTGAATGGTGTTGCTTTCACACCATGTAAAGTGAAAGAATCATAACATGTACAATTATAAGTCAGGTATTGCCTAAAGTTCTTTCCATTTTTATTGCTCTGTTTATTTATTTATTTATTGTTATTCTATAGTGGAAATATACCAAAATATACCATAATTTCTATTCTCCTGTGGATCAACATTTGACTATTTCCAGTTTGGGGCTGTTTTGAATAAAGCTACTATGAACATTCTTTTATACATTTTGTTTGAAGGTATGTTTCATTTCTCTTGACTAAATATCCAGAAGTGGAATAACTGGGTTTATGGGGTGGTGTATATTTAATTTTCAGGAATCTGAAACACCCAGGACCGGGGAAAAAGTAATTTTTGGAAAATGCAACTAAAACCACAGAGAGATACCATTTTTTACCCACTAACATAGGTATAATTAAAGACTGATGACTCTTGAGTATTGGCAAGGATGTGAAACAACACTCCTTTGAAAGTGAAACTCTAGTAATTGCATATTCACAGTGTTGGCTGACACTAGCTCAGGTACTGTTATCTCCTCTGTTCTGGGCACTCAGTACCCATTAATTAACCCAGCTGACTTTGCCCTGGCTCCCACTGAGCTTACCATCAGCTGACATTCCAAAGACTTTTTCACATCTACTATTGTTAAACTTATTCCCTCCAACCTCTTCTGTGCAAATGATTTTTATAATCCAGTTGCCTAACATAATTTTCCAACTTCAATAAACTTCATAACAAATTACACTTGTTCCAATTATAAAGGGGAAATCACTGCTTGTCATTAAAGCAATCAAAGAAAGCACACAAGAAAAACTTAAAATGTCTATAAAACAAAGCAAAAACCAAAAACTATAAAATTTTTAGAAAAGAAATGCAAGTGATGAAGACAAAGAATGCACGAAACCATATTTTGGTCTAGAAAACATTCCTAGACACGGTTTCATTTAATATCATAACCACTGTGTCAGGTAGATATTTGTAAAGCATCCTGCTCCCATTTTGTAAATGAGGAGGCAAATTCAAAGGGAATATGGGATTTGCTCAAGCTCATACAGCTAATGAGTTGTCAATTCATAATTTAAAATGAAGTTCATAACTGCAAATTGTATGCTTTTTTGTCTATATTGGTTCATCTCACCCTGATCACTCCAAATATCCCATGAACAACCCTAATCCATTTGATGAGTTTGCAAAAGACCCTGAGGATGGCCAATGCCCCCATTCTCTGACCCTTGATTGTTACAATTAAAATATATCTTTTGAAGCATGCTGATTTGCATTTCTTTTGCCCTTTTGTCTGAGTTTCTGGTAGCAGCCTGACACAGAACCAGGAACACTGATATTGCCCCAGCCACTGGCAAGCTCTAGGATCTTGTGTAGAGATCATATGGTAAGGAAAATGAATGTGGACTTTGGAGCCAAAAAAATTCATGCCAGCTACTAACTGTGTGGCCTTGATGAAATTTACTTCACCTTTCTGAGTGTCCATTTCCCAATCTGTAAAAGGAGTATAATAATCTCTATCTTGCAAAGTTAGGGTGAGGATGGAATTAGGTGACATGTATAAACAGTCTACAGTAGTAGGTGCTCAATGAATGGCATTTATATCATCATCACCATTATCATCATCATCATCATCACCATGAGTTATTACTGTCTCAAGGTTGGACTAGATTAGCTTTAAACCTATAAGCACCTTTGTCTGATATCTTGTGAGCCTATTTATGACCACATCTTCATATGTATAACAGAAAATTCGTTGTTTGGAAATTTTGACTCAATTTATTTGGTTTCAAATAATTGGTTACTATCTCACTCTCTGAGATATTCTAGAGCAATGTCTCCTTGACTCAGTCATGCACTTATCCATTATTGCCAACGTATTATGTGTCAGGTATTGTGTTAGACAAGGAATGAAATCCAGTGAACCTGACAATTATCCTGTTTATAGAAATATGCATATTTTCCCTGCAGGGGGCACTAAGAAACCAGTTCAGTTTCCTTCTAAAAAGTATTGCTCTTTTAAAGTCTGTGAATGTGTACTCGCTTCTGACAATCACCACTCTACAAGAAGAATTCACCAGAGAAGCTCCTTATTGTCCCACAGATGGCATGTTTTATGAAAAGGAATTTTTTTAAAAACAGGCATTAATTTGACAATACTGCATATTTGTTCAGATCAAAAGCCACTCATAATAGGACTCATAAATGCAGAATTAGTGAAATGAAAGTTGGATGCTGAAGCCAGTTCCAGTCCTAAACACAAAACAACACAGAATTCAGAGGCACATTACTTCTTTTCCAGGGGAATACAGGTGTACCTTGCTCTACACAAAGTGGGCATCCTAAACAATTGTGTATAAATTGATTCCTTCTGAAATGAAAGTCTCTTTCAAATCTATCTAAAGAAGCTGTTCTTTAAAAGAAACCTATAGCAAATGCTTTTGCAAAGCTAAAAATCACCTTGAAAAGTAAATAATGATTCCTGAAATACATTGTATAAATCTAGTATCTCATGTATCAAGATTGTTTAATAAAACACCACGCATGTGCATTGTCTGTGAAAATTTCAATTAAAACTTCATACATATGATTATTTATCATTGTGGTCTGTAGCTACCAACAAAGTCCAACAATAATTTATTTCTATTTCATTTCATTAAACAGGTACAATATGAAAATGAGGCAATACATGGCAATTTTCATAACATTAAGCTCTTTCACACAATGCATTAGCAGGAACTGAAAGTATCAGAAGGTTTAAGTTAATGAACAACTCTTTTCCCAATTATGAAGGATTTGTACGAGGGAACAGCATGAGTAGGGTGCAGTGGCAGGACTAGGAAGAAAAATCGGGCTTCCAGGACAGGGAATCTATTTGACTATCAATCTGCAAACTGTATTTTATTAAAAATGTAATTACCCACAGGACTCTTATTTGCAGAGCCTGTTGAAGGTATATTGACATTTGGAGCTGTGTTAAGGTCTCTGAAGTCATCTCAGTATTGGAACCTTCCTTATCGGGTTTAGTGTTTGTGGAGAAGAGGTTTCTTTCTCCTCAAAAGGCAAAGGCCCAGGAGAAAACTGCTTTATAACAACAGCTCCTCAGGTCAGTTATTTAAAAAAAAAAAAAGAGAGAGAGAGAGATGCACAGTCTTGGAATCCATCCTTTGTCTTTTTTGCATCCCTTTTCATCTTACCTATAGTCCTAGAGCCCGCTTCGTGGATGGCAGCCTGTGCACAGACAGAGCACCGAGCTTAGAAGGGCCCCATGTTTAACTTAATGTTGTGTTGTCACCATTTTTAAATTCTTAATGTTTTTTTTGAACAAGAGGGTCCCGCATTTTTATTTTGCACTGGGTCCCCCAAATCATGTAGCCAGTCCTGTCAAGCCTATACATGCACGCACACACACACACACACACACACACACACACCTCAGACATCTTCTCCAAGCCCTCGTTATAACCACTTGCTATACTTCGTAACCAGGTCCAGATGATGGAATACCGGTTTGGAGCTAGAGTTCAGAATGGGCTGCCTGGGCTCAATCCTCCTTCCTACTAGCTTTGTGACTTTGATTTCCTCATCTAATGAGGATGGTGTTCATCTCACCTCACAGGGTTGTTATGAGAATTAAATGAGTCAAAGTATATAAAGTATATAAAGCACTGAGAACGTGTGGGCACTCTATACAGGTGAGTGTTCTTCCCATGATGTTTATATTATTAGTGGGGAAGAAGAGGGAGGAAGTCTCCTGCTTCCTCTGTGAAACTTGCCTACTCTCCCAGGTTGAGTTCACTGGCCTCTCCGCTATTTTAATGAACTATATTTGGTATAACATTACTATCCTTCTACCTAAAATGCAGCATTTCCTAAACTTCAGTCATTCATGTACCCCTTCCAGGATTTTCACTCTGCCTACCATTTCTACTACTTACTTCTTATATTTGTTTACATCAACTTACTTTTTGAAGTGAAATAGTTTTATCTTATAAACTTAATTTTACTATATACTTTATTGTATATAGTGTCATTATTATATACTCTAAGTGAAAAACTAGTATCCCATGTCAAAAAAGAATGTAATACACAATAGTTAACATGTTTAGATGTATTCATACAACACCTTCAATCCTTTAGATACCACCAGTGGCACCCATATTAACTTTGTGTCCTCTTCCATTGGTCTCTGAGCATTCTAAGTGCAGTTATTGGGATCTCTATGTGCTCATGCACAGTGCACTGTGAACATCAAGTTTCCCAGAACTATTTGCTGAATGAATACTTATTAACAAACTGATAAGAGAGATAGCCCCTTGCAAAGATGCCTACCTTTTGACTGGGGCTATCCTAAGGCCCTAAAACCTTGAGTCCTAACAGCAATGGATTTCTCCAATGCAGCACTCCTCACAATGTAGTCTGAGAACCACCTACATCCTAATCACTCAAGGGGCTTGTTAAAAAGGCAGATTGCCCAGCCCCAATCTGAACCTACTGATTCAGAAGTTCTGCACATTAGTATAGCCTAATGTAGAATTTTAGTAATTCAGATAAGTAGTAGTAGTAGTAATAGCACTACTAAAAACAACTAGCATTAATTGTGTTCTTACTATGTACCAGAAATTATACCACACACTTACATACATTATCACTTCACCCCCTTAACAAGCCTAGGAAGTAGGTACTTGCCAAAGCCATATAACTATTATGGGGCAAGGAAAGGGTTTCAGGCAGCCTGACTCCAAAACCAAACTCATAACCACCACACTGTACTCTGGGTAGAGGGGAAGCTTCTGGAGAGAGGTCTTACCCATTTTGCCAGCCATGGACCCTTCAGGTCACACCATATGTTTTTTAGTTCATAAGCACAGACCAGCCTGCAGTGCAGTCATTATTCAAGCAGAAAATGTTAAAACAAAAAAATTATATTTGAGTTCATCAAGTGCATTCCTTCAAACTACATACTTATCAAAGTTGCCTGAATACAGTTGGATTAAGAAAGGGTCCTTTTTATCAAGGGCGTGGGGACCTTCATTACTTGGAAGGACAAATATGTCCCTTTCAGATTCAGAAAACCACACCAAGGATGGTAGGGTCACGTATCTCTGAGAATCAGTAGAAGGGTCTCATAAGGGAGCCATCCTAATCTGGGGCAGTGAATTCCCTGGCACTGAAGATGAACATGGAAAGGCTAAACAATCTCTGCCCAGGTATTCTAGAGGAGATTTTTGCCCCAGATGGAGGATTAGAGTTGATCAGCTCACGAGATCGCATCCAAATCTAATTGTCTAGGATTCCATGATTACACAACCAGCAGAAGGAAACTTAATTTAAGGCACTGTTTGTGTTCTGCTCAGAAAGAAGGGAGGAAAAGGAAGGGAGGGAGAGAGGGAGGAGGGTAGAAAGGAAGGAAGGAGAGAGAGAGAGAAAGGGAGGCAGAGAGGGTGGAAAAAGGAAGGAAAATAAAAGGAAAAACACTGGCTGATGTTAGGAATCATACAAGTCTCATAAACACAAAGGAGATACAAACCAGGTGCAGGCATTGCTGAACAGGCACATTATTAATCATGAGTCTAAAGAAAAGCAAAAAACCCACTGAGTCAGGCAACATCCATCCTAGAAATATTTAGTGCAGCAGGTTCCTGCTGAAGTCTTGATGTTGGAATTTACAGTTCAATGCCCAATGGAAAGATTTACTTTAGCAAAAGCTGAGCACTATGCATGCAAGTCTCTTGTTCCACACAATTATCATTCTTTGTGGTGGCAAGAAAGATTTTTAAATAAATAAATAAAACTTTTAAACTGCCTGTTCTTGAGTCCTCTTATTTAATTTAGCAAAAGGGATTGGAGCCGTCTTTGTCTAAACTCAATTAATAGAGTCAGTGATGAGCAGTTCTTGCAAGTACAAATGTGTTGAGCAGAAAAGAAAAATAATTCTATTCTGAAATAGTCACCGAGAGGAGAAAGTTCTGAAATGAGTCCCTTTCATGTTTTCTGTTTCTGTCCAAACTTTGTTTTGATGCTTTGTTTGGGCTCTCAGATGAAAAACCACATATAAGCCATGTTCCCAGGACTGCTGCTAAGGCTGGACATTTCAACACTATCAACAGATTGTCATGCATACGCAAATTGAGCCTCTGTGTCCTGAGACATTAATGTGGCTGCTATGGTTTGGATGTTCGTCCCCTCCCAATCTCATGTTGAAATTTGATCTCCAGGGTCAGAGGTAGGTCCTAAAGGGAGGTGTTTGCAGGATGGGGGCAAATCCCTCACAAATAGATTAATACTCTCTCCCTGGGGATGCAGGGTTGGGGGCAGTAAGGGAGTTCTCCATCTATTAGTTATCTTAAGAGTTGGTTGTTTAAAAACAGCCTGGAACCTCCCCTCTGGCTCTTGCTTCTTCTCTCACCATGTGGTCTCTGCACACATTGGCTTTCTTCACCTTCCACCATGAGTGGGAAGCAGCCTGAGGCCCTCACCAGAAGCCAAGGAGATGCCAGCACTAGCTTCTTGTACAGCGTGCAGAACCGTGAGCCAAATAAACCTTTTTCCTTTATGACTTACTCACCCTCAGGTATTCCTTTAGAGCAATACTAAATACACAAAGTGGCTGAAAGAGTTTCCTGCCTATAATTGGCAATAATGGGCTTGGCCATTCTTTTCTCCTTGTTAGTATTTTTTCTTTACTTATCCCAATTTCTTTTTTTTTTTTTTTTTTTTTTTTGAGATGGAGTCTTGCTCTGTTGCCCAGGCTGGAGTGCAGTGGCATGATCTTGGCTCACTGCAAGCTCCACCTCCCAGGTTCATGCCATTCTCCTGCCTCAGAATGCCTCATGCCATTCTCCCCTCAGCTGGGACTACAGGTGCCTGCCACCACGCCCGGCTAATTTTTTGTATTTTTAGTAGAGATGGGGTTTCACTGTGTTAGCCAGGATGGTCTCGATCTCCTGACCTTGTGATCTGCCCACCTCAGCCTCCCAAAGGCCTGGGATTACAGGCATGAGCCACTGCGCCTGGCTGACTTATCCCAATTTCTTTAGCTGGTTGCAGCGCTGCTGCCATTTATTTTTCCTTCTGCAATTTTCTCATTTGTTAATTTGTTACTGATTTGACCATGTGTGATATGAAACATTTAGAGTTACTTTGCATAAATGTAGTTATATAGGAGGTGTATTTTCTGAGACTTTTGCATTTCCTTTGGATGCCTTGGTCAAAGAATACAACCTCCCTAGGATATAAAATTCCTGCATCACAACGGAATCCTCTCGGAACTCTGCAGGTCTTACCCCTGTTCTTCTGACATTAGTTATTTAAAATAAGAAAACTGAAACTAACTTATGTCCTTATTTTATTTTATTTTATTTTTATTTATTTACTTATTTTTTATTTTTTGAGACAGAGTCTCGCTCTGTCGTCCTGGCTGGAGTGCAGTGGCACGATCTCAGCTCACTGCAACCTCTGCCTCCCGGGTTCAAGCAATTCTCCTGCCTCAGCCTCCTCAGCTGGGATTACAGGTGCGCACCATCATGCCCCGCTAATTTTTTGTACTTTTACTGGAGACAGGGTTTCACCATGTTGGCAGACTGGTGTTGAACTCCTGACCTCAAGTGATCCTCCTGCCTCTGCCTCCCAAAGTGGTAGGATTACAGGCTGGAGCCACCGCACCCAGGGCCAATTTATGTCCTTTTAAAGTAAACTCTTCTGTGTTTTCTAATTTTCTGTTTGGAAGCTTGTAGAACTCTCCATTCATCACTGAAATGTAAAAATCCTTATCAGGCTTTGTCTTGGAATATAAATTTTACATTTGCCTGAAAAACTTGAAAAACACTTTCCATCCAAGTGGCTTTGTTTTGTTTTGTTTTAATTTTGGAACGTTTTCTTCTATTATTCCTTCAAACATTGCATATAATCTATTTGCTTTATGTCTTTCTTCAAGAATTCTTATAATTTGCAGGTTGCACTTGCAATCTCTGACTTCTATATCTCTTCTCTCTTTTCATCCTTATTACCGTTCTCTGTGTTCTGGAGAAGTTTCAAAAATTTATCCCCGGTTCCTGATTAAATTTTCTGCAGTGTAGACTCTGCCTTCCTGCTTCCAATCAACAATCCGTGTTGTGATTTTTGTTTCATTCTACTTTCTTTTCATCTCAAACATTTTAAGAAATGATATCCTCTCTTTTTATCTTATTCCACATAAATTATCTCCTAAATTTTACATCTGTTCATTGGGAGGTTTATTTAAAAAGAGGAATATATATACTCTTGCTTTCTTAAATTCTGTGCTCACAGAGAACATGGAAATCTTAGGGCGATTAAAGCAGTTAAGCTAAAGATTTTAAACTCTAAAGCTACCAGGTCAAGCAGAGAACACAAAGCCAAACAAGCAGAGAGACACTTGTCCTGACCACAGGGGACACCCATTGTGCACCTCCAGTCAGAAACCTGGATGTTTCCATGGTAAGTCTAGACGCTCACATATTAATCACTAATTTGAAAATTGTGTAAAATGCTATGCAGGCCATGCTGCACACCTGTGTGGACTAGATTTAGCCTGGAGGCTGCTTGCTTATAACCTCTGAGTTCACAAAGCCTGCCAAACTGGGTTTTTCTTAAGCGGACTCATACAGGCTGTCCCTTCAAAGACAAACATCTCCACCTAGTAGTTGTTCTAAGAAGGGGCTTCGAGCATCAAATGTGAGTAGTGGGAGTCAGATCGTGAAATATTTGCGGTCCCTCCCAACCTTAGGTCTAAGTTTCCCTGACCCTCTCACTTCATCCATCCTGACCACTTACTAAAGTCCTCCTCATCCCCACACCACAGGTGGGCCTCAGGGCCACCTCATGAAGTCATCCACGATTAGTTAATCCTCCTTCATGTTTTTCCTTCCACAAAGAACTTCTCTACCACTTTTCCTTTAACTCTCTTGATTGCGTTACACTCTGGGTGTTATCACATCAACCTGTAATCAATATAACATTTATCAAGGACATATTTTACACTCCTTTTTAATGCCAGTCCTTCAAAATTATCTCCTCCAGGATTTTCTCTATGCTTTTCCTGGCCAGATCTGGAATTGGCTTTTGATAATTTTTTTTTTTTTTTTTGAGATGGAGTCCCACTCTGTCACCCAGGCTGGAGTACAGTGGCACAATCTCAGCTCACTG
Organism: Homo sapiens; assembly: GCF_000001405.40. Taxonomy (NCBI): domain Eukaryota; kingdom Metazoa; phylum Chordata; class Mammalia; order Primates; family Hominidae; genus Homo; species Homo sapiens. The sequence goes on along the minus strand of NC_000005.10, from coordinate 155,140,238 downwards.
CAACCTCCGCCTCCCGGGTTTCGAGCAATTCTCCTGCCTCAGCCTCCCCAGTAGCTGCGATTACAGGTGCACACCACCACACCCACCTAACTTTTGTATTTTCAGTAGAGACAGGGCTTCGCCATGTTGGACAGGCTGGTCTCAAACTCCTGACCTCAGGTGATCTGCCCGCCTCAGCCTCCCAAAGTGCTGGGATTACAGGCATGAGCCACCACACCCAGCCTGATAAATATCTATTAAAGTGAAAAAAATGAGTGCTATTTTTATACAATAAGAATTAGCTCTACAGTTACCCATTTTTCATATTAAAAGGATCCAGTTTCCCATCACGTCTGCATGTGAGCCCCAGATGCTCAACTCCAGCCAGTGAGTGACCTCAGCTATCCCAGCCGAGGACAGTTAGGGCATTCCCTGGCTACCAACTGTCTCTGGCACCACCTGCTGGTCACTCATGTATTCACCAGACACAACGAAGACCGAGATTAAGGTTTCTAAAAGTGGACCAGAATCTATTTGCCTTGAAAAACAGAAATATACTTAAGGCTCAGAATGGACACGACAGGAGGATCTCCTCCCTGCTCACCCTTCCTCTGCTTCGTGCGGGGAGTAGGGCTTAAAACTTCTTTTATTTTAATGTAGCCACGGTGTTGTGCATAGTAGAACCACCGCAACCACGACGTCATCTTCACCCTCTAGTGAGAGTTCACTGTGTGGCCTGCATTTCATTACCTCCCGATAATCCCAAAACGGAAGAAGTGGTACTGGGACAGCAGAGACCTGTGTCAATTCCTTACCACGGCCCAGCCACGTGGCCTTGGCAGAGACTTCTCCCTTCAGTGTCTCTAGTGAGCGTTCGCTTACTAAACTCCTCTCCAGCTCTAAAATCTCATGAAGCTATAAATCTTATGTCATGCCTTCCAGGCCACCATCCAGACTCATGCTGGCCAACAATCACACAGGCCACAGTAGGGCTATTGAGCTCCTGAAGTGTGCCCAGGCCTATCTGAGATGTGCTTAAATGTGAAATGCACACTAAATTTTAAGACTTCGTATGAGAAAAAATATAAAATATCATTAATTTTTATATTGATTATGTATAGATATGATCATATTTAATATACTGGTTTAAATTAAATGCTATCAAAAATACTTTCACCTTTCTTTTTTATTATGGCACTAAATGTTAAATTGCATACAGGCCTCCTGTTTTCAGCAGATAGCACTGATCTAAACAAAGTACCCAGTCGTCTTATATATTAACAGAAGGAAGAATATGAAAAATATCTCTATCTTAGGATCTTTTTATTTATTTATTTTGTCCTTTTTGTATGAGTCTCTATGGTAAATAAAAATGCCTAGGTCTCCCACTCCCAGGATGGTCATTTATGCCTGTCAGCATCTTTGAACCTTGAAGATGGTCTCCCTGGAGCTAAAGTCAGCCTGGCCTGGAAAGCTCATGAAACCCCTAGAAAACATCCTAAAGAGGTGAGAGCTATGCTAGAAGGAGCTCTGATCCAGAAACATAAATATGTGGGGTCAGGTGCAATTTAAAAACTGTAAATGACTTATATGCTTATGAAAATGTTCTCTCATGCTGGTAATCAAAGAAATGGAAATTAAAACGAGATCTCCTTTTTAGCTTATCATGGCATAGACTTTTTAAATTAGAGTTGGCCATGGAATATGGAAATCAGTGCATTTATTCCCTACCTGGGGGAGCTAAAATTCATACAGCCTTTCAGGGGGCAATTTAGAAATGTAGAAAAACAGCTTTACAACTATGCACACCTTCTGAGCCAACAATTCCACCTCTAGGGATTTTGTCAAAGGCAATCACCATTGCTATGCTCAATAACTTACTGTAGGGATGTTCACTACCTCAAAAGTTATAACAAAAATAACACCAAACCAGGGAATTTTTTAAATTACAGCATATTGAGAAAATAGAATAATATGTTGCCATTAAAACTTGTGTAACAGAATGTGTAATGATAAATTAAATTAAATTCCTCCTCCCCTGCCCCCCATCATACTCCTCAATTCAGCCTAAATGATCATTTTAAAGTGAAGCAGATCAGGATCCTCCCTTGTTTAAAACCCGTCACTGCCTTCACTTGGTATGAGGATAAAGACCGCCCCTGCCCACCCCAACCTTTATATGGCCCTAAGGCTCTAGGTCCTGCCTTTTCTCCAGCTTTGCCTCTTGCCAGCCTCCTCTCCCTTGCTGTGCTCCCACCTGGCACGGGGACCTTCTTTCAGCCCCACAGCCCTGGAAAGTTCTTGCTGGCTCTGGGATTTCACTCATAGCCCGCAAATTGGATGCTGCCTGCACCTCAGCCCCGACTTCCTGGCAAAAGCCTCCTCAGTCCAGAGGACTCAGTTTTAAGTGTCTCTTCTCCCAGAAAGCCCTTCCCTAACTCTTGAGTCTAAATCAGATCTCCTTGTCCCCTGCCTCCTATCATCTTTTTTCCTCCATGTTACTATCACAGTCCCTGACTCTGCATTTACTACTGTGATTATTTGTTGAATGCCACTGTCCCCACCTGACTATGGGACTCAGCTCACACCTGGCATGTAGAAGATGCTCCATAAAGGCATGTCAAGTAAATGAATGCTATTCTAATAAGTCAAAGGCAAGGCATAAAATGACAGGTGTAACAGGATTCCAATATCCAAACAAATGTGTACGTGTACGTAGTTGTAATATTTCTGGGCACAGAATAAAAAGACCAGAAGAAAATCCAAGCTGTTAATAGCAACTATCTCTGTTGTCATGGTTTTACTTTTCTTCTTTTATCCAGATTTTCTATAGTGAGCATATCTAACTTTCAAAACCAAGATAAAATTTATTTTAAAAATATTAAGAAAAACTAGAGATCATGTCCTTTGCAGGAACATAGATGGAGCTGGAGGCCATTATTCTCAGCAAACTAACGCAGGAACAGAAAACCAAATACCACATGTTCTCACTTCTAAGTGAGAGCTAAATGATGAGCATGTATAAACACATAGAGGGGAACAACACACACTGGGGCCTGTCAGAGGGTGGAGGGTGGAAGGAGGTTGAGGATCAGGAAAAATCACTAATGGGTACTAGGTTTAATACCTAGGTGATGAAATAATCTGTACAACAAACCTTCATGACACAAGTTTACCTGTATAACAAACCTGCACGTGTTCCCCTGAACTTAAAAGTTAAAAAAAAAAAAAAAAAAAAAAAACTAGCCCTGGGTTCAAGTTCAGTTCTTAACAAAAATATGGTCTTGAGAAACCAAAGCTCTTCATAGGCTCATCGTTATAAATAAAGGGGAGGACACCTCCACTGACTATGTCATAGAATTAATGGAATAATGTACATATAAAGTTTTGTACACTTTTCAGTATTTACTCTGGGTGTTTAGGGGAGTAAGACCCAAACACTTTAAAGTGTAAGGCAATGGGCATTTTCCCAATGGTTGTGTAATTTGCAAACACCATGAGGAGCTGACAGTTGAGTAGCTGGAGCTTTTGTCTTTCGACAAGCATGTTGCAGTCGTTGCTATCTAGTGAGGTGAGAGTTGAAAGTCATCAGGAATGCAGAGAGAGAGTCTCCCATGGGGTGAGAAGTGGGAGGAATTTCACAGGAACAGAGACATCTCCTCTCCTTTCCCCAAGACCAAATGCTGGGAAACAGGTGGCCTCCAGAACCCCAGCGCAAGTTCCCAGCAGGAGTGAGAAAGCTACACGTGGAAACACTAAGTTACAGGGAGATATGGCATTTTTCATGCGGAAGAACTCAACTTGTTGGACTCCTTCTGTACTCTCCTGGCAAAAATCCAGCAGTTTGGGGCATCCTCTTTAGGCTCTTTCTCTTCAACCGTGTGCTTGTTGAATGCAACTTCAGAGAAGAGCTGCTCCAGCTTTAACAGAAGACAGTAGCTCATTCAGCTTCTTCCATGAATATTAACTGGGCATTTATAACATGTTGGACACTATGCTAGGAGCAGAGGCTAAAATGGATGAATAAGGCCCTGTCCCTGCTTTCAAGCAACACATGATCTAGTCATTATGATCTTCTGGTATTAAGTCCCCCCAACGTCCTCCAGTACTACCCACTTCATCACTCCCTACTTTGTGTTTCTACTATGATTATTTTATTTTATTTTTCTTTGAGGCAGAGTCTCACTCTGTCACCCAGGCTGGAGTGCAGTAGCATGATCTTGGTTCACTGCAACCTCTGCCTCCTGGGTTCAAGCAATTCTCCTAAGTAGCTGGGATTATAGGCATGCACCACCATGCCCAGCTATTTTTTTCTATTTTTAGTAGAGATGGGGTTTCACTGTGCTGGCCAGGCTGGTCTTGAACTACTGGCCTCAAGTGATTCGCCTGCCTCAGCCTCCCAAAGTGCTGGGATTACAAGCATGTGCCACCACGCCTAGCTGCTATGCTCATTTTAGCATTTAACCCACTGAACTATAATCCACTCCTCCAGGAGCCTATCTCTATTAAGCCTGTAATCTCCTTAAGGACACAGACTCTACTTTGAATCTGCATCTGTAGCACAAGTCTGTTATGTATGGTGCTCAATAAATGAGCAAATGAATGATTTAATTGCTTGAATAACTTCATAAGTAAATGCCTATAAAATAGTGGAGGTTACCTGGAAAGCAAATGCTCAGCAAGGTGTTATGCTTTGCAGACTGAATAGAGATGTGTGTGCTATCTTTGTGTGTGTTCTTTCTGTAGAAAAGAGACTAGAGGTGAAAGAAGACAGGTACAGGAAATAGGAATCTATTTCTTCAAAGCCCTCTCTGATACAGATGCTTCAGTTCTAACCCTTCTAGTCAGTGCCCCAAGAAGATCACAGCTCACAGAGCTCCAATAAAGACTGAGAGTTCCTCCTAAGAGAAGCGATTGCATTTATGGAAGGGCAATTGACCTATCAAAAACATAGATCATCCATATCCCAAGTTATCTTGCCACAGGTGCAAAACTGGGCAAAACTGCCATCAACAGTAGCTTGAGGCAACCAAAACAGTGAGGGCAATATTGTGGGAAACAGGAAGAAATTGTAGATGGTTAACCCAGGAGAGACAAAATTCAGAAGAGGTGTAATAGCTGACTTCAAATACCAGAATGGCCATGGTACAGAAAAAAAGGTGATACTAGAGACAGAAATACCATTTGACTCAGCAATCCCATTATTGGGCATAATACCCAAAAATATGTAAATCATCCTATTATAAAGACACATACATGCGTATATTGACCACAACACTGTTCACAATAGCAAAGACATGGAATCAACCTAAATGCCCATCAATGATAGACTGGATAAAGAAAATGTAGTACATATATACCATGAAATACATGCAGCCATAAAAAGGAATGAGATCATGTCCTTTGTAGGGACATGGATGGAGTTGGAAGCTATTATACTCAGCAAACTAACACAGGAACAAAAAACCAAACACCACATGTTCTCACTTACAAGTGGAAGCCAAATGATGAGAACACATAGACACACGAATGGAAACGACACACACTGGGGCCTGTTGGGAGGAGTTGAAGGAGGGAGAGCATCAGGAGGAATAGCTAATGGATGCTAGGTCTAATACCTAGGTGATGGGATGATCTGTGCAGCAAACCACCATGGTACACATTTACCTATTTAACAAACCTGCCCATCCTGCACATGTACCCCTGAACTTAAAATAAAAGTTAAAGAAAAAAACAAGAAGTGAAAAGAAAAAAGGTGATACTTTTTCCCTATGATTCTCAAGGTCAAAGTTAGGCTTCAAAGTGGGTGTTAGAGGCAGGCAAATTCTTGGCTCAATAGAAGAGGCACATGTCAGGAAATTACCATAAATGATGCAAGTCTATAACTCAAGGCAAAGGCAGTAACACAGACTAGAACTGCCTTTGAAATGCTGCTTTCAAAGTTTACAAAAAGGTACTGGGATATGCATGCTGAGGACACATAACTGAATGATTTAGCTCCCTGTCTACCAGGAGAGAGTGCTAAATCTAACATCCCATGAGAGTGCTTTCCTCAAATTGATGCACTGGAGATCTTCCAAAAGGGTGTTGGCTTTTTGGTAACTTGCCTTGCACAAAACAGCTCTACTTACCTTGAATGCGCTTCGACGTATCAAGTCCATAAGGCCCAGCTAACATCTCCATATGTTATCCCTTCAGTCTTCAAAGCATACATCACTAGGGTCCCTCTACTTCAACCTCTTTGGATTTGTCATTTCAATTGTTCAACTATTTATGTTTTGCCCTCCAATTAGATTCTAGTCTCCATAAAGGAGGATGCCATATGCTTTTAATACACAAGGATTAGCACAGTACCTTGCATTTAACAGGCCTTCAGAAAATGGTCACAGATTTGGTGCTGCTGGATTCAAGCCAGAGAATGGAGGCAACCCATTCTGCCAAGGTCTTGGACAACATCTGTTTTTTCCACCACAGCATTTGCCATCCATCACAGAGGAGATTGGAACAGAAAAAAGTCAAGTAAAGTACAAGGTCACTTTCAGGAGCCCCAACAATTCCATTCTCCAAGGTTGGAATGTTCTTCCTCTCTTCAAACAGCAGACCAGATGGTCTCCTAAATCTTGGCCTTCATGGTTTAACTCTAATTACAATGTTAGTTAGCAATGAGTTCGGTGATTGAAAATCACTAGTAGATTCTTTCCAGGCAGTCAAGCTTTTCTTCTGTTCTCACTAAGAAAAGGGTGGCTTTGTCGTCAGCCTTGTTCTTGCTTCCAGTATCATAATTGCTTAGCTGTTTGGAAAATGAAAGGAGCCCAAGGCTACCAAACCTAGCTGGATGCAATAGCACTGCAGGAGACAGGAGGTAGCAACATCCAGATGGCTAAGTAGCCTCCAGTGATATTGCAATCAAACTGGGAGGCACAAATCAGGAAGAGCTCTTCAATTGTGTAAATGCCACATGCCAGGTGTTAAACTCAGAGGTGCACATGTGTTTGCCTAGATGTTTTGTGAATGTGGTTGAGAAGAAACCCTTAAAAGTAAGTCCTTGGAATTGCAAATGTTGGAAAAAACTTTTCAAGGTCATTGGATGCAAGTCTTTCCAAATGCACAAATGCTTCATTGAAAGAGCTCATCCATGTTCTATTCAAACATTTTCTGTAAATAAAACTTACAACCTCAAGATGCAGTCCATTCATCGACAGTTATTAGGGTTTGTTTTCCTAATACACTCAGCACCTCACTTTAACTCTTAGTTACTGGTTCATGCTATACTCTCTGGAGCTACTCAGAAAAAAGGGGCCTCCTCATCCATGGAATAACCATTTTTGAACAATCAAGGAAGCTGGCAGTTCACCTCTGAGTCTTTATTTCTTCAAGTACCCCCACATATTTAACTGCTCATTACTTGATTTAATCTAAAATTTCCACACTTCCCTCAGGGACTCTGTTTCCTGCCAGAGCCCTGCTGAGCCAGCCTAATCAGGTTCTAACCACATGATCCTACCCCATGGCCATGTTTAACTGGTCCAGGGGTAGACACCTGGCACAAGCACGGCTACCTATAGACATCCTGTACCATCAGTCTGACAAAAAAGATGAACTAGGCCAACCCGGGTGCTCTCCTAGCACTGGGAGCTGGTACACTTAGAGACTGTTGTCATTTATCTGTGGGCTGCTGAGCTGGAGGGTCCTGCAGAGTCAGGGCAGGAGTGACCCACTGGGCCAGGGGCCACATGAGTAAGCAAAGGAAGGAAGCATATTACAAAAGATAGGAGAGTGAGCAGATAGAGAAAAACAGAGGCCCCGTGAGAAAGAGAGACTGAGATGAGATGGGACCCATCCCTCCCTTTCTTGAGACATGAGTTGTAGCTCTTCCAAAATCCCAATGATCTATAGTCTTTCTACAAAGGACAAGGAAAGTCAAGAGAATCTCTACTCCTTACAATCCTAAGCTGCTGGGCCAGAAGATCTCCTTCTTCCAATGCCTAGAACAATCACACATTTCCATGCAACTCTACAAATAAAAACCAACTAGGTTTACCTATTATATGTGCCATATACATTATAAAGTCTGTCTAAATAAAAACTCTTAGAAGTGATAACATGTGAATACAACAATGCAAACATTATTGTATGCTCACCATCTACAATGTACCGCACTGGATACAAAGTTATGGTGGCAACCTTTAAGGAGTTTAGAGTCTAATGAAGAAGGTAAACAGTCACATAAAACACAGCAGACTATTAAATGCTAAAGTTAAAGATATGAAGGAAAGGGCAAGGAAGCTTTACTTTTTGCTTTGGTTCCTTTCTGTACTATCAGAATTTTCCAACAAAACATATGCATTACTTTTTAGGTCAAGAAATATTAACAGGATGAAGAAATTGTGGGTCATTTTCCATTTTCCTTATTTTTTTAAAGCTTTGGATTTTTTTAATAAATAAAGAAGTACTTAATAAAAAAATTAAGATAAAATATACACACAAACATATCTGGAAATACAGGGGAGAGATGAGAAATTAAGATAAAATAAGGACATAAATCTGGAAATGATACAGACAGGAGACAAGGAAATACTGGGTAGAAGTGGGCAGTTCCCTGGAAAAGGTCCCACCCTCAAGCCTGGATACTCACAGCCCTAAGTGAGAATGGGCACTCCTGTTTTGGCACCCAAAAAGTTGCCTTTTGGCCTGCCACTCCCACCTATCCTGTACCCATATAAACCCTGAACCCCAGGCTCCAGAAGCAGGAGAGGAACAGATGAGGAGATGGGCGGCAGAACGGCGTGGCAGAGGAGAAAACAGAAAGTGAACGTTGGGAGGAGTTCAGCTGGGGACGGTCAGAGAATCAGCAGCTGGATAGCCAAATTCCAGAGGAAGATCATCTTTCTACTCCATCCCTTGTCCACCTCCCCATCCATCCCACTGAGAGCCACCTCCACCACCCAATAAAACCCCTCATTCATCATCAAGTCCATGTGTCACCTGATTCTTCCAAGACACTGGACAAGAGCTCGGGATACAGAAAGCTGTCATACTGGCCCTCTGCCTTTGCAAGAAAGGGTTCCTGCACCTGTCCATCTGCGTGCTCCCCCTCCCATAAGGGGTTTGAGCAGCGGCAGCAACCAAACAGACAAGCCACACCACTGTTGCATGTCCTGCGAGGGGACTCAGAGGACTCTCCTGTTTCAGAAATACAAGGGAGAGATTTTCCCTGACTAAGAAGATCTAGGAAAATGTTGTAGAGGTGGGGCCTTTTCCATAAGGTTGAGAAGGATGGAAAAACAAAATAGGTCACATATGGGGAGAAAATCCTCCAGGGAGACACAAAAGAAACAGCTAAGGAAGAATGGCAGAAGATTAGGTGACCTGTTCAGGGTGGGCAGCCCAGCATGATGAATGATGACTATAGGGCAGGGAAAAGCCAAACAGTTATTTGGCTCAATTTGTTGAAGGTCTTAAAAGCTCAGGTTCTTAGGCAAAGGAGAGACATGGCCAGAGTTTTGTTTAAGGTGGCAGCAAGGAGAATGGAATTGAAGAGAAAGAGCTTAGAGCCAGGGTCACTGGTTGGGAGAATCACTGCCAGGGTGTTTCAAAAGTCCCTTCCCGAAAAGATTTTGTTTATGCTGTTGGCATTGTGAAAGTACAATTGCATATAAACATGTGTGGTATTACCTTGAAATATGTTTGAAGGCACCTATGACTACATATCTCTTCTGTACATCTAATTTATTTTAAGCTAAGTGTGGTATATAAAATGCTTGATGGCAAAATTGAACTCAAGTATTTCTGGTTTCTTCTGGGGTAAAGAAAGGCTTGTGTGAGAAGCTAGGAACCAAATAAGTCTGAGTCTGTAAAGTTGAAGGTAGAATTGAGGTCAAAATGCAAACAGCATCAAAAACTTCAGCTATAGCTTAAGTAGGCATAAGGTCATGGTGAGTGTGTGTTGAAACTTCCAGGAGGTTCTGCAGCTTAAACTTTCTCCATATGGTTGGGTTATGAATACTTCACTCTTCTCTGAACCAAGAGTTTTTAAAATATTGCTGCTTGGCTTTGATCAACTGAAAGTATATACTCTTCCAACTTGACAAAGCCCATATAAAATTACAGAAAAATTCAGGAATCAAAGTTTAGCTGCATCCAGCCTAAAACCCATAACTTGTACCAACAAACCACAGTTTAATCCATGGCCAACTTTCTGTCTACCTGAATGATGGTTTGAGACGTTCAGTGATGTTAAAACAGGCTGGCAAGGATTCTTCACTTCCAGATCCAAAGATTGTTTACAGGTAGTTGAGCCATAGCCATTGAAAATGATCAACCTTATTTCAAAAATAACCTTGTTGTTTTATCACCCAATAAACTGTCCACTTGTGGGAATAAGTGTTTGAGAACTTTATTGTCCACACAAGAGATCATGAGACAGAAATAAGATAGAGGTGAGAAAATGGGGGTGTGCATAGGAAAGGGAAGGTATTTCAGGGATAGGAATTACAATGTGTGATGACTAAGTATGGAGATTAAGAACCAGAGGGAACAAAGATGAAATATTCACTCAGTCAACAGTTATGTACTGCATACTCACTATATGATCAACATTGTGCTGGGTGTGAAGGTTACAGCTGTGATGTACATATTGCTCACTATCTGGTAGACATCACAGATAAGGAGAAAATTACCACAAAGTAGAGGAAACAGATGATGCTGTGGAAACAGCAACACCAAATTCTAACCTAGTCAAGAGGCATCGAAAAAGATTTCCAAGAGGAATCAATATTAAAGTTGAGACCTAACAGGCACCATATAAAAATTAGCCATGTGAATGGGAGATCACAAGGCAGGGGAGATGAGTCAAGGCGTGTGCCCTGAGTCAGACTTTGCAGATTCAAATCTTGGCACTGGCGCTGCCATTAGCTGGTTGTGTGACCTTGGGTAAGTTACTAATTCTCTTTGTGTCTCATTGTCATTATATATTAAGTAGGGATAATAATTCCTTCCTCATAGGGCTATGATAAAAGCCAAATTAAATAAACAAAGAGTTCTTGGCACAGAGACTGGCGCAGGGTATGTGCCAAATAAATGGCAGCACTCTCTTTGTTATTAAGAAGGAACAGCATCTGCAAAGGCTAAAAGGTAAGAAAGAACATGGCAGTTTCAAGGAAAGTAGTTCAGTGTTGCCAGAGTGTTGGGGAAACAGCAAATTATGAGCCTGGAGAGGAGGAGCAAAGGCAAAGTCAAGGAGGCTCTTTTAATATGATTTCTACGGTAATACAGTGCATAGTGATGTCACTAGAGAAGGCACGGACTTGGAGAGAAATCCAGAGCATTTTCGGGATGACTTCACAACCACCTTATGACCACTTTTGAGGTGCATGCACTTCCAGGAGGGAAAAACAGTGTGGTTGTGATTCAGCTAAGAGCTACAAATGATGACAAGAAACCAGGGGCTCAGGAGTGGTAGGAAACAAGAAGGAAGCTGAGTCCTTGGACAAAAGCTCTTGGAGCAGGAATGGGCCCCTTAGAATGGCACAGCAGAGGGGAAGGGCACCTCTGCCCTTTATCTGGACTCGACTGCTGACCCTGCCAGTTACTTACATGTGACCAAACCACTCTCTTTCTCTGTATCTTAATAAACAGGGAGGCAGCCTAGATCCGTCATTCTTAACCCAGAAACCACAGATACTATGAATCCATGAAGATGCTAACAGAGGTTCAATCTATTCTCAATTACTTTTTTTAAACCCCAAGGCCATACTAGTTCTTTCAAGCTGATCCAAAGCTCCTGTAGGCATTGCACATCTTTAATTAATTTATAACTGAGTGAATAAATTAATTATACCATTAAATTCAGTTACTACTCTTAGAAATTGAAAAATAAAGAAGAAAAAGGGTGCTAGTAGTAAAAGATTTGACACCACTAGACTGAATGTTTGATAAGGCCATTCCGGCTCTCATATTCTGGAAGCCTACCTTCACCTGTCAGCTATTTCATTGTCTATAAAGGTTTACATTCTTGGGGTTAAAAACATGGGACTCAGAGTCACAAAAGCCTGGGTTCAAATCCCAGCTCTGCACTTGCTAGCTGGATGACCGTGGCAAATTACTTAACCTCTATAAATCTCAATTTCTTAATACACAGAATAGAGATTAAAATAGCATTTTTTGACAGAGTTGTTGCAAGGAATGAGATAATGCAAACTTCAGTCATTGGCATACTCCTTCCCAATCTTTGCCAAATCTGCATAAAACCTGAAATATTAGTTAGATAATATTTTTTATTTAAATCAATTCATGTTTTCAGTTAAATTTATGTGCTTTAATCGGAAGCTTTATACTGCTACCATAAATGGAAAACAAGTACTACCGTAAATTGGTAGTAACCATAAGAATAATACTAATAAAAACTGTACTGAAATTTTTATCTCAATAAATAACAATTAAAGTGTTGTTAAATTCTAGCTAAATGCTGTTTCCTGCTGCAGGCTCTGTGCCTGAGGCTGCCCTCTCTTTGTTAAAATGGAGATTCACATGTATAAAACGAAGTTAAAAACACCGAGGCTTCAAACCGCAGCTTTGTCCTTGAAGTAATCAGGAAACTCCAAAGAGAATTAAAAAGGAAAATCTCTATGCAATTCAGTTTTATTCAATGCCTCAACTGGGTATCACCTAAAATAATCTCTCATAACATATATGCCACATTTTGGATACACTGAGGTAATACATTTGAAGCACGTGGCACTGGGCTTATTCTGAAGTAACTGAAGAAATGTTCATTTCTATTACTTTTGGTAAGAAAATAAAAAAAACAAAAAACAGAAGCATTTGGCCCTGCCACTACCTCCTACTGCCCACCCCCACAAAATTGGGACTGACAGGGTGGCCATATTATTGCAGAAGGCTCCTTCCTGTCCCTTGCTCCTTCCTGTCTTTTAAGGCCACTTAGTCAATTTCTTCCCCATAATACATCTTTAAGTCATCCCTTTCTGTCTATCTCCACACCAACCACACAGCATCTGGCCTTGGCTCTTACACCAACCTGCCCTGCCATCTTTTCCTTTAAGATTCATCTGAAAATGATACAGACAGGAGACAGGGAAACCACTGGGTAGAAGAGAGTGGTTCCCCAGCAAAGGCCCCACCCTCAAGCCTGAAGACCCACAGCCCTAAATGAAGACAGGCATTCCTGTTTTTATGCCCAAAAAGTTACCTTTTGGCCCACCATGCCTCCTATCCTGTATCTATATAAACCCTGAACCCTAGGCTCCAGAGGCAGATAAGCAGGTGAGGAGATGAGGAGACAGCAGACGGACAGCAGAACGACACAGCAGAGAAAGACAGAAGAGGAGGAATGTCTGAACACAGAGAGGAGTTTGGCTGGGGGTGGTCAGAAAGAGGTTCAGGCACTGGATGGCCAGGCTCCAGGGGAAGATCATATTACCGCTCCATCCCCTCTTCCAGCTCCCCATCCATCCTGCTGAGAGCCACCTCCACCACTCATAAAACACCCACATTCATCCTTCCAGGCTGTGTGTGACCCAATTTTTCCAGGACACTGGACAAGAGTTCAGGATACAGGAAGCTGTCACACTAGCCCTCTGCCCTTGCAGAAAGGCAGAGGGTCCACTGAGATGGTTAACACTCAAGCTGTCTACAAATGGGAAGGCTGAAAGGGCACACTGTAATACACGCCCACTTGGGCTCCTGCACTTGTCTGTCTGTGTGCTCCTCCTCCCGTAAGGGGTTTCAGCAGTGGTGGCGACTGAACAGGTGAGCCACACCTCTGTCACATGTCCTGTGAGGGGTATCAGTGAACTCTCCCATTTAAAAACACTACTCTCAGAGGCCTTGCTAATCGCCAACCTCTGTGCCACACAGAGACAGCAGCCTGCTATACTGGGCTCCCTGGATCCCCTTCACAAACTTCTGTTGTAATATTAATAATTACCTTGCTACATTGCAGTAATGTGTTTGTGTCTGTCTTCCCCACTCAGCTATAAATTTCTAGAGGCCAAGGACTGTGTTTAGTTCATCTTTGTATCCCTTAGTTCATAATAAATGCTCAATTCAGTTTTCATAAATGGATGAAAAAGAGGATGGATGGAAGAAAGGAAGGATGGATAAAAAAGAAGGAAGGAAGGAAGGAAGGAAGCAAGGAAGGAAGCAAGGAAGGAGTGACAGTGATGGACCACATTGCTTCTGACTTTCTGATTTCTAAGAAGGAAGAAAAACAAGGTAATTCCAGCAGAGGCGGCTTAATTCCCTCTTGTCCAATTTTTGTACAACCTCTTCACACACCATCCGTGGCATTTTCCTTATCTTACAAATACCGGAGGACACTAGCCTTCACAGAAATTATCTTGGCTCCTTGCCAGAAAACAAACAAGCCTGAGAATAAAGAAAAATAAATAAATAACAACAGTGATGTTTAGCACTTTGAGGTCTGGGAAATGAATTCCGAATGGGAGCTGAACTCAAAACCAAATGTTTGGCTTTCGGGGACAACCTACTACTTGGCTGAAAGCCTCAGCCCCCTCCTGAGACCACTTAGCAAATGTCGGCCCAGAGCTCTTCCTGCGAGCTGCTGTCTATCCCACCCCTTTCTCAGGCCTGGAAGAAATTACTGCCAAGAAAAAACAATCAAACCTTCTACCTACTACTTCAAGGTTGCTTGTGGTTGATCTTTTCCTACCTTGGGAACTTTCCAAATGGTTCTTTAGGAATTCGGTTGTGTTTGAAAAAGGTTTACTCAAAGCAGATTAACATCTGATTCACTCACATGCGCACACACGGTCTCACATACAAAAGCTCAGATTTTTAACCTGGCACATCCTTGCCATTCTGATTCCACAGGAATTGATGTCTGACAACATGTGGGTGCTTATGTGCCCTGAGCCTGGGGACAAGGTGAGCTTCCAGAGAGTGGATGAAATTGAGAAGTGGGAGTAGCTGTGGGGGCAATGAGGGATGCTAGGAAAGGTCGCTGGGGAAAATGCAGAAAGCAAAAGAGAACACTTCCCATGCACCTGACTCAGCTAGCCTAATTTCCTGGGAAATTTTTAATAGTGCTGCTACTTGACAAGATCATGGGATTATTTATCTGCTCCCTTTTCCTCTTTAAAAACTTCTCAACCCACCCACTAAAAAGACAGAGCCAAGGCTTTAAGTTCTCCTTTCCAGAGCTACAATATTTGGGCTTTGCCCTTTTCCTTCCACTGATATCCTCAGTAGCAAGGTATCTGTACCAACACAGGCAGGTCTACCTTCCTGATTACCATGGTAAGCTCTTGTTACAGTCTGAGAAAGCATCAACCCCAAACCAGAGGCAACCAGGAAAATAGCCGGTTACAGCGCTTAAAGGAGGAGCAGTGTTATCAACCAGAGGTACATAGGTTCCGGAGCCATACTGACCCAAGCTCGACTGCACAAACGCCTTCTCCTCTCTGAGCCTGAGTTCTTCATCTGTAAAACAGGGATATGGTTTGTCTTAAAGGATGAATTTCGAAGATTAAATTCAATGATAATGACAGGTACTATAATCAAGTAAGTGCTTAACAAATGTTTGTTGAATATTTTTTTAAAAAACGAATGCCCTGGTAGCGTGATGCCTCCAGCTTTGTTCTTTCGGCTTAGGATTGACTTGGCGATGTGGGCTCTTTTTTGGTTCCATATGAACTTTAAAGTAGTTTTTCCAATTCTGTGAAGAAAGTCATTGGTAGCTTGATGGGGATGGCATTGAATCTGTAAATTACCTTGGGCAGTATGGCCATTTTCACGATATTGATTCTTCCTACCCATGAGCATGGAATGCTCTTCCATTTGTTTGTATCCTCTTTTATTTCCTTGAGCAGTGGTTTGTAGTTCTCCTTGAAGAGGTCCTTCACGTCCCTTGTAAGTTGGTGGATTCCTAGGTATTTTATTCTCTTTGAAGCAATTGTGAATGGGAGTTCACTCATGATTTGGCTCTCTGTTTGTCTGTTGTTGGTATATAAGAATGCTTGTGATTTTTGTACATTGATTTTGTATCCTGAGACTTTGCTGAAGTTGTTTATCAGCTTAAGGAGATTTTGGGCTGAGACAATGGGGATTTCTAGATATACAGTCATGTCATCTGCAAACAGGGACAATTTGACTTCCTCTTCTCCTAATTAAATACCCTTTATTTCCTTCTCCTGCCTGATTGCCCTGGCCAGAACTTCCAACACTATGTTGAATAGGAGTGGTGAGAGAGGGCATCCCTGTCTTGTGCCAGTTTTCAAAGGGAAAGCTTCCAGTTTTTGCCTATTCAGTATGATATTGGCTGTGGGTTTGTCATAGATAGCTCTTATTATTTTGAGATACGTCCCATCAATACCTAATTTATTGAGAGTTTTTAGCATGAAGGGTTGTTGAATTTTGTCAAAGGCCTTTTCCGCATCTATTGAGATAATCATGTGGTTTTTGTCTTTGGTTCTGTTTATATGCTGGATTACATTTATTGATTTGCGTATATTGAAATAGCCTTGCATCCCAGGGATGAAGCCACTTGATCATGGTGGATAAGCTTTTTGATGTGCTGCTGATTTCGGTTTGCCAGTATTTTATTGAGGATTTTTGCATCAATGTTCATCAAGGATATTGGTCTAAAATTCTCTTTTTTGGTTGTGTCTCTGCCTGGCTTTGGTATCAGGATGATGCTGGCCTCATAAAATGAGTTAGCTACAGTAACCAAAACAGCATGGTACTGGTACCAAAACAGAGATATAGACCAATGGAACAGAACAGAGCCCTCAGAAATAATGCCACATATCTACAACTATCTGATCTTTGACAAACCTGAGAAAAACAAGCAATGGGGAAAGGATTCCCTATTTAATAAATGGTGCTGGGAAAACTAGCTAGCCATATATAGAAAGCTGAAACTGGATCCCTTCCTTACACCTTATACAAAAATCAGTTCAAGACGGATTAAAGACTTAAACGTCAGACCTAAAACCATAAAAACCCTAGAAGAAAACCTAGGCATTACCATTCAGGACATAGGCATGGGCAAGGGCTTCATGTCTAAAACACCAAAAGCAATGGCAACAAAAGCCAAAATTGACAAATGGGATCTAATTAAACTAAAGAGCTTCTGCACAGCAAAAGAAACTATCATCAGAGTGAACAGGCAACCTACAAAATGGGAGAAAATTTTCGCAACCTACTCATCTGACAAAGGGCTAATATCCAGAATCTACAATGAACTCCAACAAATTTACAAGAAAAAAAACAAACAACCCCATCAAAAAGTGGGCGAAGGACATGAACAGACACTTCTCAAAAGAAGACATTTATGCAGCCAAAAAACACATGAAAAAATGCTCACCATCACTGGCCATCAGAGAAATGCAAATCAAAACCACAATGAGATACCATCTCACTCCAGCTAGAATGGCAATCATTAAAATGTCAGGAAACAACAGGTGCTGGAGAGGATGTGGAGAAATAGGAACACTTTTACACTGTTGGTGGGACTGTAAACTAGTTCAACCATTGGGAAGTCCGTGTGGCGATTCCTCAGGGATCTAGAACTAGAAATACCATTTGACCCAGCCATCCCATTACTGGGTATATACCCAAAGGACTATAAATCATGCTGCTATAAAGACACATGCACACGTATGTTTATTGCGGCATTACTCACAATAGCAAAGACTTGGAACCAACCCAAATGTCCAACAATGATAGACTGGATTAAGAAAATGTGGCACATATACACCATGGAATACTATGCAGCCATAAAAATGATGAGTTCATGTCCTTTGTAGGGACATGGATGAAATTGGAAATCATCATTCTCAGTAAACATCGCAAGAACAAAAAACCAAACACCGCATATTCTCACTTATAGGTAGGAATTGAACAATGAGAACACATGGACACAGGAAGGGGAACATCACACTCTGGGGACTGTTGTGGGGTGGGGGGAAGGGGGAGGGATAGCATTGGGAGATATACCTAATGCTAGATGACGAGTTCGTGGGTGTAGCACACCAGCATGGCACATGTATACATATGTAACTAACCTGTACATTGTGCACATGTACCCTAAAACTTAAAGTATAACAATAATAAACAAAATTAAAAAAATAAAATAAAATAAAATAAAAGTTAAATCATAAAAAAAAAAAAAAAAAAGGAATGCCCTGTTCTGACCCCAGTTAAGGAAATACAGGCAGATCTGGGACTCCCTCCAAGAGGTGCTTGCTCAGCCCCTGACTTCCATAAGAAACTCCTTCTTACCCCTGCCCCTCAAGCCCTAGGACACAGACTCTGGGCCTATGGTCAGAGGCATAGAAGGGCAGGCAGGGCCAGGCGCAGTGGCTCACGCCTGTAATCCCAGCACTTTGGGAGGCTGAGGTGGGCAGATCGCAAGGTCAAGAGTTCAAGACCAGCCTGGCCAATATGGTGAAGCCCCGTCTCTACCAAAAATACAAAAATTAGCTGCACGTGGTGGCGGGCACCTGTAATCCCAGCTACTCAGAAGGCTGAGGCGGGAGAATCGCTTGAACCTGGGAGGCGGGGGCTGCAGTGAGCAAAGATCATGCCACTGCATTCCAGTCTGGGCAACAGAGAAAAAAAAAAAAGGACAGGCGGTAGAAACAGTCAGCCCTATGTGCAGGCAATAAAGGGGTGCATGGGCATGGCCTTTGGAGAATTTAAAAACAATAAGAGTCAGTCTGATTTTATTATCAGCCTGCACCAGCAATTCCAAATAATGTCAGTGATAAACTACTCTTTTATACTCCCACCACCCATGCTTGCTATGCCACTGTCTGTTGTATCAAAAGATTATGTCCCCTGTCCTGACTGAGTCCCTGCCTGGCCTCAGAGTCTACCTGGGGGTTCCAGAAGCCAAGCCCCTGGACTCTTCCAGCAACCAGATGTGCACTTAGATCATTGTCTGTGCCTACATATCCTGAGAATTCCTTAAACTTGTTGGCCCAAACTCTCTTGAGATGAACACAGTGTGAGGAAAAGAGGAAAAATTACTTTAAGTCATAAATGTCTAAACAGGCCCAGACCAGAATAATGGGTCCAATTTATCAGACAGAACCTTTCCTTTCCTCTTTCACTGTCCCTTGTTTGGTGTTGCTCAATAGTCCTATTTCCTTGAAAATTGAAGCTTCACCTTTAGGAGGCCTATGGCCTCTATTTGGTTTTTATATGCAATAGAAATTTTAAAAATTCAGAGCCAGGGAGCTCAGCACCCCCTCAGATGCTCCCTTGTCTCAATTTCTCTTACTCCTGGAAGCTCATTTTGTCCCTGGGATGAGTTAAATCCTTATAAATGAGGAAACTGATGCTCAGAGAAGGAAAGGGACCAGCCCAAAGTCATACAGCAAGTGAGTGGAAAAAGGGGAAATGCACCTATCCGAGGCATTCTGAGGAGCGAAGCAGTGCACATAAAATGCTGAGCCATGTGCTGGCACATAGTAAGCAATTGATGAGCATTAACTGCTACTTTTGTGTAGTTGTGTGCTATTACTGTTAAACAAGACTAGACCCACATCTCCAGGCTTTAGGGCAGCCTCTTCCCAGTACCTTGCTTGGTGTCAAGCACAGTGTAGGAGCTCATTAAACATCTGTCGAATAAATAAATTAGCTCTATTCCTGCTCAGTGACCATCCAACCTCTGTGTAAACATCCCCAGTCTGAGACACTGCCTCCTTCCTTTAAAGATACCCCATCCCATCCCTGGGCCCATCCATTAACAGATCTACTTCATAATGAGTCAATTTTTAAAAATCTCTCTTCATCCCTTGTGCCCATTGGTTAGTCCTAGATTTAATCTCCCTAGCATTGAGCCTTCTACAAAAAGATTTTGATGTTAAATCAGAACATGTTGGTTCCTGGATAGAAACCATCCAATTAACCTCACTGGGTGGTAAAATATATATATATATATTTCATCAGTCATTCACCTCAAGAAAGAAAAGGTCGGTTTTATCTTAATAACAAAGAGGACACTTTAATCATGGCAAATCTGCTGAATAAATCAAAACAACAAGTTTGCAAGAGGCAACTGCCCTCTATTAGGTAAATTAAGACAAGCATCTCAACAGGCACCCATTACCCTGACAGGAGCAGAGAGGAAGTCTTGTCTCTGTCAATCTTCCCTCTGGAAAGACAGTATTGATTAAATGCTGACACATATTTGTGTCTGAAGAGCAGGAAAGAACAACAAACCAAAGGGATGCGTCAGGCATCACCTTTCCACTCAACAGCACACGTAACAATTACCACCTCACAGTTTTATACAGTTCTTTTTGCACTCTTTTAAAAAATGCTCATCAGTAATCCCAGCACTTTGGGAGGCCGAGGCACGCGGACTACCCGAGGTCAGGAATTCAAGACCAGCCTGGACAACACGGCGAAACCCCATCTCTACTTAAAAAAATATAAAAATTAGCCGGGCGTGGTAGCACACGCCTGTAATCCCAGCTACTTGGGAGGCTGAGGCATGAGAATTGCTTGAACCCAGGAGGCGGAGGTTGCAGTGAGCTGAGACCACATCATTGCACTTCAGCCTGGGCGACAGAGCGAGACCCTGTCTCAAAAAATAAAAACAAAAAATGCTCATCAGTTTATTTCACCTTCATGGAAATCTTATGATGTAAGTAAAGAAAGTGCTCGATTTTACAGATGAGGAAGTAAGACAGAGAGTGGCCAGTCACGGGACAAGCCAACCATTTATTCCTCCATGTGGCAAATTATGATTGCATCCTGACTCCATGCCAGGCATTGGGCTAGGCTCCGCAGATGTGATGGTGAGCAAAACAGACACATTCTCTGCTTCCACATCCCTTAAAATAGAGAGGGGGAAAACAGATGGTTAAACAAACATATCAGATAAGTGATAGGATAGAGAAAGCAGGGTAGGAGGAGCATCAAACCTAGCCCAGGATGGGTCATGAAGGGTGAATAGGATGCCGCCAAGCAGAGACTTTGACCCTAAGGCGGTAGACGAAGTCAGCCCTATGTACAGGCAATAAAGGGGTGCATGGGCATGGCCTTTGGAGAATTTAAAAACAATAAGAGTCAGTCTGATTGTATTATCAGCATGCACCAGAAATTCCAAATAATGTCAGTGATAAAATACTAAGAGGGCCAGCTTAAATGGGAGAACTTGGATGTAAGGCAGTAGACTGTGCTGAGAACCATCATACCAGCAAAGCATGCATGCACACACACACATTCCTACGCACGCACACACACACAAGCACACAATCACAGCAAGGTATAGGAGGCCTCCAAACAAGGGGATGAGAAACAGAATGGTAAATCCAAATGCTTTCAGATGTTGAAGGCTCCTGGGGCTTCAGAACTTCCTGGAATTCCATGGTGTAAGAGTTGAGATGTAATGAGATGTGACCACTACATTGTAAGGTAACTGGCAAATCCAGAAGCCAGGCTCCTCGTTATGACCATCTGGTTTGCCAGAGAGAATAAATACTCAACATAAGTCACAAGATCTCCCTGGCAGTCCCTCTGCCAGTACAATAGCCAGGGCAAGCCAGAGTTGAAGGGGCTTCACAGAGTTGAAGGGGCATCTCACCAGACTGACATGAAGAGAAAAAGAGCATTTATCTCCAAACTTCCTCTTTCAACGTAAGCCTCTGAGCTGAAAGCGATATACCTAGGCCAGGAAGAAGAGAATGACAGACATTAGGGAAAGAGAAGGTACTTCACAATTCTAACACTGTTGCTGTGAATTGATTTTTCAAAGCATACAAATGGGAAATGCCTCTAATTTAAGGCATGAGGAATTGGCCCATGTGATTATGGAGGCTGAGAAGTCCCACGATCTGTTGTCTGCAAGCTGGAGACCCAGGCAAGCCAGTGGTGTAGTCCCAGTCTGAGTCTGAAGGCCTGAGAACCAGGGGGACCCGTGGTGTAAATCTCAGTCCAAGGGCAGAATAAGACCAAGATCCCACTTCATGCAGCAGGCAGGAAGGGGCCAAATCCCTCCTTCCTCTGCTTTTTCTTCTATTCAGGCCCTCAGCTGATTGGAGGGTGCCCATCCACATTGGGAAAGGCAATCTATTTCATGGAGTTCACCAATTCAAATGCCAGTCTCATCTGGAAATAGACATATCCTTGCAGACACATCTAGAAGTAATGTTTAAACTGGACACCCTGTGACCCAATCAAGTTGACGTATTAAAATTAACCATCACAGGCCGGGGCGTGGTGGCTCACACCTATAATCCCAGCACTTTGGGAGGCCAAGACAGGTGGATCACTTGAGGTCAGGAGTTCAAGACCAGCCTGGCCAACATGGCAAAATCCCATCTCTACAAAAAGTAGCCGCACATGGTGGCGCACGCCTGCAATCCCAACTACTCAGGAGGCTAAGGCAGGAGAATCGCTTGAACCCGGGAGGTGGAGGGTGCAGTGAGCCAAGATCATGCCACCACACTCCAGCCTGGATGACAGAACAAGACTCTGTCTCGAAAATAAGATTAAATTAAATTAAATTAAATTAACCATCACAGTGAGATTAATGGTTTTTTGTGAACTATGGCTTTTGAAATAGGTTTCGTGTGAATATTTTATTGCCACTTTCATTCCTTTACAGCAGAGGGGATCCATAGTACAAATGAACCCAGCTTTTTGTCCTGTTTGGCTCCTCACACCTCTGACTCCCTCTCAGTCGTCTTCTTTCTATTCTCAACTTTGACTTCTCTTCTGTAATCACTTTCTCCCAGCTCTGAGCCCTAAACTCATTTGTTTTCCAGATCCATAAAATGCTTTGCCTTTCTTTCCTCAGTCAACAAAATTTATTAAAGTTATTTTGTTATAAGTTGGCTACTCCAGCGTCCCTTCTCCAGCTGACATAAATTCCTAACACAACTCTTCTGTGCTTCATTACCGCGAGCAGGGAGTAGCTTTTATGACATTGCTATAGGTGCACAAACGTGGCTGGGTAGCTCCGAAATAGAAAGATATTAAAAGCTCTAGCCACAATGCTCTGAGCCAGACTCCCACTCAATCAGGAAAATAAAGTTTCTCTTGCGCCCCATGGGAACTCTAAGATTACAATTGATACGGTTCTACTCTTTACATTGTTGAAAATATTTATTGTCAGCGTGTGGTCTGGGGCCTCTGGTGGCCCATAATAAGCCTTTATTGATTCATTTAACAAGTATGGAGCAACTGCTATTTAGAAGCTCCACCTTCAGTTCCTTGGTATGAAAACTATTTTCATTCCACATATCACCGTCTAAAATCTTTCTACCTTTGTTCGTTCTGTCTCTCCCAACAAAATATATGGTCCATGAAAACACGGACCCAGTTTTGTCCAACACTGTATCCCAGTGCTAAATGCAATGTCTGATGCACAGCAGATACTAGGCAAATACTCACTGGATGACCGGATTGTGATGAGGCAAATTCACTGTAAGGACTTCTCATTCCACTCTAGGATTTTAGAAATGGAACAGCTTTTTTATGTCCTTGTGTTCGTAATACAATTAGGACTGGCTTTTCTCTCACACAAAAATCTTTTTTTTTTCCCTCCCATACCAGGCATTTTATCATTTGGATCTCAAACAAGTACCTCTCTTCCCAGCCTCTACGAAGGGAATTTGGTCGAACACACATTGGAGGTCAAGGTCCAAGTTGTCGTTGGTGAGGTAGCAGAATTTAACACGCTAGGAAAGTTTTAATACTTCTTTCTGAAGATGCCTGGGACACATAATTGAATTAAAATATATTTAATACTTGCTCTACGCCAAGTATCTGGGAAGCCTAGTAAGAAATAAACACCTTCAAACAGAATAGCACCACTTACTGGTTTATTGTGTTGGGTGTGCATAAGGATTTTGTCTGAGGGGGAAAACGGAGTTTCTCAGATTTTAAGAAAAAAAAAACAGGAAAACCACTCTCCTAGATAATATTTAAGTTCCTTTCATCTCTGACCTTTTTCAGTCTCTCCTTTCTGTGTAGGACTTCACACTCCCTTTTCCCTAAACCCCTCACATTTATAAAATAAATAGATTTATAATGGAGCTCTGAGTCTTACATAAATCTATAAGCTGTCCAGTTATCCTTCCATTTGGAAAACGGCAATATAACAATATATTATACAGATTTCTGGGCTTTCAAATCTTTTTCAACCTTTATAACAGTCTTTTAAATTTTGTATGAGAGACTAAATTTCCTCTAAATTAGCATTTGAGAAAACTGGGATGGTGATGTTTGTCCAAAATCATATAGCATGCTGCGTCCCGAATTGGTGGGTTCGGGGTCTCACTGGCTTCAGAAGTGAAGCTGCAGACCTTCGCAGTGAGTGTTACAGCTCCTAAGGCAGCACGTCTGGAGTTGTTCCTTCCTCCAGGTGGGTTCGTGGCCTCACTGATCTACAGGAGTGAAACTGCAAATCTTCGAGTTGAGTGTTACAGCTCATAAACGCAGTGCCAACCCAAAGAGTGGGCAGCAAGACTTACAAGAAAGAGTGAAAGAACAAAGCTTCCACAGAACAGACAGGGACCAAGGAGGGTTGCCACGGCGGGCTCTGGCAGCCTGCTTTTATTCCCTTATCTGGCCCCACCCACATCCTGCTGATTGGTCCATTTTGCAGAGAGCTGATTGGTCTGTTTTACAGAAAGCTGATTGGTCCGTTTTGACAGGGTGCTGATTGGTGCGTTTACAATCCCTGAGCTAGACACAAAAGTTCTCCAAGTCTCCACTAGATTAGCTAGACACAGAGCGTTGATTGGTGCATTTACAAACGTTGAGCTAGACACAGAGTGCTGATTGGTATATTTACAATCCCTTAGCTAGACATAAAAGTTCTCCAAGTCCCCACCAGATTAGCCAGATACAGAGTGCTGATTGGTGCATTCACAAACCTTGAGCTAGACACAGAGTGCTGACTGATGCATTTACAAACCTTGAGTTAGACACAGAGTGCTGATTGGTGTATCTACAATCCCTTTGCTAGACATAAAGGTTCTCCAAATCCCCACTAGACTCAGGAGCCCAGCTGGCTTCACCTACTGGATCCTGCGCCAAGGCCGCAGGCAGAGCTGCCCACCAGTCCCGCACCGTGTGCCCGCACTCCTCAGCTCTTGGGCAGGACCCGACGCTGGGGAGCAGGGAGCAGCACTGGTCGGGGAGGCTCCAGCTGCACAGGAGCCCAGAGTGGAGGAGGGGAGGCTTGGGCATGGTGGGCTGCAGGTCCCAAGCCCTGCCCGCAGGGAGGCAGCTGAGGCCCGGGGAGAATTAGAGAATTAGAGCACACTCTCCGCAGCTGCTGGCCCAGGTGCTAAGCCCCTCACTGCCCAGAGCCGGGGGCGCGGCGGCCACCGATCGGAGTGCAGGGCCCGCCCAGCCCACGCTCACCCGGACATGCGAGCCATGCGGGCAGCCCCGGTTCCGCCTGCATCTCTCCCTCCACACCTCCCCGCAAGCAGAGGGAGCCGGCTCCGGCCTCAGCCAGCCCAGAGAGGGGCTCCCACAGTGGCGGGCTGAAGGGCTCCTCAAGCACCTCCAGAGTGGGTGGGCACGGAGGCCGAGGAGGTGCCGAAAGCGAGCGAGGGCTGCAAGGGGTGCCAGCAGGCCATCACCTCTCAATGCTATGGCTAAACCAAGACCAGACCCAATTCCTAATCTTGGGTTCTTTGCACTGGTTGAGGATGGCAAAATAAATGATATTCAGGCCAGTACTCTTTATCTCCAACCCATGGCAGGCATTACTAATCAATCACTGCCCTCCTTCGCACTGTGCCTAGAGGCAACTTTTTAGAAGCCCTTTCAACACAGTGTTCCAGGTAGCCACTACCAATCAATTTCAGGTTGAAATCTGAGACTTGAAACCTATTTGCCTTCCCTGCACTAGCCAAGTTCTCTCTGTAAATTAGGAGGCCTGTGGTGCCAAGCAATACAGAAGTTAAAACTGCTACTTGCAGAAGGAGGATGAGTATGAGAGGAATACAAGGAAGGTGAGTTAGTAGGACAGAGACAGGATGAATGTTGAGTTTTTACATTCTATAGTTTCCTGAACGTCTTAAGACCTGGGTTTAATTTTGCTGTAGATGCTGTAGGAAGTAAGGATGAATCATTGTCACCACCATGAAATATTTAACTGTTATGTGCAAATGATTGTTAATTACATTCTCTGCCTCCATTAAAGAGGTAAATGACTATTTCAACTTCTCCCTGGGTGGCCACTGTGTACATATTCCATCCCTAATTCTTCCATGAAAACATTTAAATGGTGCTTTTAACAACCAACCCAGCTTTAAACGCAGCAGCTTTAGAGGGGATGTGCTAACTCTGAAATAGCGTCTTACATAAACTCAAATGATCCTCAGTTATGGGAAAACAAATGTATGCACATCTCTTAGAATCTTTCTTTTTTTGCTGATTCATTCTCATTCTTAATTTAGCAAAAATGCTAAATAATAATAAAATGGATGCCTTACCTGAAAAGGTGAGTCGGCAACACCAACAGATTATTTCTTAGGCTGCATCTTTCGTATTTTCTCCCAATAAATAAAAAGAGATGCCTCTCAAATTAGCACTTAGCAGAACTAAAAACTTATTTATTATCTGCTGGATAACTGGAACAAAAATAGAAATGTGAGTTGCCCAAAGATTGATGACTTTCCCAGGATTCCAACCTAAACAAAGGTTGTTGAGATCATCTGTGTCTGAGAACGCCCCCCTTTTGAGTTCGGCAAAGAGATTCCAAAAGAACCTTCTGTAAACTAGAGATAAACATTTTCCCCAGCACTGTCTAATGGCTCTGCCTAAACTGAGCAGATGGGGCACCGGGGTGGGTCTACCCCTTGAGATCACTGAGCATTTTCCTATTTAATTGTACTTTGAAAGCAGATTGTTCTGCTCAGGCACCTGTGACCAGTAGCATTTGGGAATTTGCCCATCTTGTTTGATGGAGGTCATCCAACTTGGAGGTCACTCACTTCATCTTTCATCATGACCTCCTTCCTCCAAATGATCCTTGAAGGTAGACACCTGGTACATCCTGGACATCGGCAGGCCTTGCATTTTGACCCTGTTGGCCAGTCCTCAATCTCAAGTCTTTCTAAATTAGCCATTTATTAAGCACTATTATATGCTGAGCACTGTCCTAGAAGCTTTATGGATATCATCACACAAGAACTCTAAGTAAGAGATAAGTGCTAAAGTCATTTCCACTTTATAAATGAGGAAACTGAGGCTGAGAAAGATTAAATGATTGCTCCCAGGTCACACAGCTAGTAAGTGGGAGAGCCCCAATTAAAAGCCAGGATCCAGAGTCTTTGCACTAAGTTCAATGTAAACTTGCCACAGAGCCAACGACATTTCATTCAGACACTCAAGGAAATAATAGACATAGTAGATTCTTTTGTGATCCTTCAACCATCCATGTTGTTGTGTTGAACCAACAAAGCATTTTAATGTCAGAATCTAAAACATCAAAAAGATGGTTCTCTTACTATTACCAACAATGGCTTAAAATTGATGTCATGGGCATTTTTCTTTTAGCTACCCAGCAGATGAAATTCTTTATCACCTTTGGGGAATTCTGCTGGTCCCTAACCTTAAGCATCTTGTTAAGGAGCCTGAAAATGTGGTGCTGTCTTCTTCTCTTCTTCTTTCTTTTGAGACAGGGTCTCATTGTCACCCAGGCTGGAGTGCAGTGGCATGATCATAGCTCACTGCAGCCTTAATTTCTGGGCTCCAGTGATCCTCCCACCTCAACTCCCAAGTAGCTGGGACTATAGGCACACGCCATCACGCCCAGCTAATTTTTATATTTTTTTGTAGAGATGGAATTTCGTCATGTTGGCCAGGTTGGTCTCGAACTCCTGAGTTAAAGCGATTTGCCTGCCTCAGCCTCCCAAAGTGCTGGGATTTCAGGCATGAGCCACTGCACCCAGCTTGGTGCTTTCTCATCTTGTAAGATGGCGAGTGAAAAAGTTGAGAAGCCAGATACTAGGGAGAAGAAACCTGAATCCAAGAAGGCTGATGCTAGTGGCAACGTGACAAAGGGTAACCTCAAAGCTAAAAAGCCCAAGAAAGGGAAGCCCCACTGCAGCTGAAATCCTGTCCTCATCAGAGGAATTGGCAGATATTCCCGACCTGCTATGTGTTCCAGAAAGGCACGTACAAAAGGAAGTATTCAGCGGCTAAATCCAAGATTGAAAAGGAGAAGTTTCTTGCAACTGTTACAAAACCAGTTGGTGGTGACAAGAATGGTGGTGCCCCAGTGGTTAAACTTCACAAGATGCCTAGCTATCATCTACCGGAGATGTGTCTAAAAAGTTGTTGAGCGGCTGGGCGCAGTGGCTCACACCTGTAATCCCAGCACTTTGGGAGGCTGAGGTGGGTGGATCACCTGAAGTCAGGAGTATGAGAACAGCCTGGCCAACATGGTGAAACCCCTTCTCTACTAAAAATACAAAAATTAGCCAGGCATGGTGGTACGCACCTATAGTTCCAGCTACTTGGGAGGCTGAGGCAGGAGAATCGCTTGAACCCAGGAGGCAAGAGGTAGCAGTGAGCCGAGATCGTGCCACTGCACTCCAGCCTGGGCGACAGAGCGAGATGCTGCCTAAAAAAAAAAAAAAAACCTGTAGTCAGCATGCCAGAAAACTGCAAGCCAGCATCTCTCCCAGGACCATTCTGCTCATCCTCACTGGGCGCCACAGAGGCAAGATGGTTTTCCTGGAGCAGCTAGCTGGGCAATGGCTTTTACTTGTGACCGGACCTCTGGTCGTCAATTGAGTTTCTCTGCGAAGAACACACCAGTAATTTGTCACTGCCACCTCTACAACAATTGATATCAGTCAGCAATGTGAAAATCTCAAAACATCTTACTGATGCTTACTTCAAGAAGAAACTGCAGAAACCCAGACACCACGAAAGTGAGATCTCTGGTGCAGAAAAAGAGAAATATGAAGTGATAGAGTAGCGCCTGGTTGATCAGAAAGCTGTGGACTGGCAAATTTTACCAAAATCAAAGCTATTCCTCAGCTCCAAGGCTAACTGTGATCTCTGTTTGCCCTGACGAGTGGAATTTATCCTCACACATTGATGTTCTAAATTTCTTAAGGAGAATCTAATTAAATAACTGATACTTTTTTTAATGTAGTGCTCACCTTCCCAACCCCTCTTGAAAGCAGGGCACCCAGGACTTTGAAACAGCAGCTAGAGATGCAGAGAATAGGAGACTGCAAAGAATCCATCCTGGGGGCAGGTGATAGCAAAACAAAATCCCATTCCCAGGAGAAGTAGGGTCAGCGGTGTTCACTGTATGTAGCTAGCAGCACCTCTGCAGGCTGTGGTAATCAGGCTCAGTGGCAGGCACTGCAGGGACCCTGTCAGTCTGGTTCTGTGGCCAGGGGCTATTCACAATTCTAGCGTTGGTCCTGGTTGCCCACTCTCCTTTTGATCTTGCCCAATTCTCCAGCCTTTCAGGTCACTGTGGGGGCTGCCGAATGCCCTTTCCATACATTTCTTCTCTGCTTATATCAGTCAGTTTCTGCTGCTGCTTGCTCTAACTAGGCCAGGGAGGTGGAAGTCTAGTAGGCAAATGCCTCAGTTCTCCACAATCCCTTGCCAATCACTTCACTGAAGGGGAGCCAGGGGGACCTAATTTTAGGATAAAATTCAGATTCTAGAATTTTGGTGCCCTTAGATAAGACTATCTATTTAGCAATAAATGCCAGCTCTGAAGTAATTCATTTGTACTTGGCTACTCCAGGTAAATTTACCAGCCCTATAGATGCCTGTTGGGGCCCAGAAAACAATACCCTAAAGTGAAGGCCTCAGAAGCAAATGTTTCTCCCTGACCTGCTCCTGCCCTCCTGTCTCTCAGTCCCATTCACCTACAAGGCTAGCCAGAGAAACTAGAATCTCTCTTCCCCAATGTAGGTCATAGGAACCAGAACGCCCTTTCCTTAATGCCAGCCATAAAACCTAAAAATATTATTCTAACTTTCCCCCATTTTTCTGTGTGAAAACTGGCCATAAAGAAATGATCTGACCTGTTTTGTTTGTCTGTGAGTCATAAGACCCCCCTTCCAGAGAGGGTCCTGCCCCATACCTAGAAGGAAGGAAAGCCACTCGGACAGGCCAAGAAGAACCTAGACAGACAGGCCTCGCTGAGTTTCACTACTCGGTCATGCCTGTTTTGTCCAATCCTATTTCCACACGGCTGTCCACACTTTGTTGAACCTAAGCATAAAAATGGACAGTTTCCCCTGTATCTTTGGGTCTTCATTCTAAAGGCTCTCTTGCATACACGTTAAATAAATGTGTATGCCTTTTTTCTAATTAATCTGCCTCATGTCAGTGGTTTTCAGCAAACCTTCAAGGGCCCTTGGCCCCTACATGCCCTAAATGGTCCGGGTTTCATCTTAGAAACAGGGAGCTGGATTCCAGCAGAGCCCAAGGGTTTGCAGCAATCAAAATATCTTAGGGAAAAGGATCCCAGGTCTCCACATTAAAGAGAAAATGTTTGGCTGGTTTGGCTGGTACCTAACAAGACAAGAAAACTTCTTAAGTGAAGGAGGCTTTTGCAAAAGAAAATATTCTTCAAAAATCAAGTGAATAAAAGTTGAAATTGACAGGATGCTTTATTGTCTCTGACGCTACACCGTTTTGCCTTTGGGGAATGGGTTTTACACACACACGGGCTACAAAATAATTTTTTAATGTTTTCTACACAGAAAAGTTACCCATTGAAATTCCCAGCTGCTTACAATTGCGTTTCTAGTACGATATCCACACATACTTTTTCTATTCAACTGTAAGTCAGCAAATGTCTTCTATGTGTTAAGCACTTTGCTAGGCCCTAAGAATACAGAGTTGAACCAGGTCAGTCCTTGTCCCTGAGAATTAAAAGCTAAGAGAATACAAAGTGCAATGAGAACACTGAAGATGAGGAGCTACCTGGAGAAACCCAGAAAGGAAAGCAACATTTAAACAAACCTCAAAGGAACAATAAAACAAGTTGATTCTTAGCTAATAAGTCATCAACCTTGTCATTTTACATGCTACACATGCCTATATCCATTTCCCCCATCCTAATAACACTCTAATATATTTCCTTTTGGGAATTTACCACACCAATATGTATAATCATGGGAAAATAATTCCAGGTACCCACCCCCCAGCACAAAAGCTGAAGTCACCAGAGGATTCCCCTCCAGTTACAAAACAACCAGGGCACAGACCTGCAGCCTAGGCTTAGCTAGTTGTCTTTTGGGACTTTGAGTCTAGAACAAATGCAGGGAGAGAAGAAGAGTTGATGGTAGACCAACCAGGAGACAAGCCAGACTCTTACTTCCATGAGGCCATTGCAGGGTTCCCTGCTGCTCAATCCTCCCAAGTCCTGTTAGGTTCTTGCCCCTTCTCAAACATGGTCCTCTAAAGTGCCTCATACTCAGAGAGCCTCTCATAGGTTCCCTCTGTGGGATCCAGCTCCCCTAACCTTCCATTAAATTCCCATTGGCTTAAGTAGCCAGAGTCTTTACAAACCAGGGAACCTATCTAATTTATTACAGCTGGGCATCTTATGGCAGGTTATAGAGCCCACCAAAGCTCCCATAGTCCAGGTGCCATCCTCCTTGCCAAAGACCACCAATCATTTTTTCTTTCCACTGCTATCTTCGCACTCCTCTTATCTTCTGTTTTTCCTCTTGTATTAGTCCATTCTTGCACTGCTACAAAGAAATACCTGAAACTGGGTAATTTATAAAGACAACAGGTTTAATTGGCTCACAGTTCTGCAGGCTATACAGGAAGTATGGCTGGGGAGGCCTCAGGAAACTTTCAGTCATGGCAGAAGGGGAAGCAGACATATCTTACATGGCTGGAGCAGGAAGAGAGCGAAGGGGGAAATGCTACACATTTTTAAACAACCAGATCTCGTGAGAACTCACTATCAGGAGAACAGCAAGGGGGCAATCCACCCCCATGATCCAATCACCTCCCCACCAGGCCCCTCGTCCAACATTGAGGATTACAATTCGACATGAGATTTGGAGAAGTGATAACCAAACCATATACCCCTCAGGTGTTGAGTAGCTCAATTTCTCCTTTGAAAACTTACAGGCTCAAAACCAAATACGTTATTTTACATGGAAATTTTTAGCCATCTCTAGGCACTAGATAATGATGGGATACATACCCACCCTCCAATCCTTTGAAAAACATTAAATGTAATGTTGCAGGGTTAGCCACATATAGATTACTGAGCCAGAAAATGGTGTTAGACCTCAAGTATCTTTGCTTCAGTTTTATGGGTAATTAAGCTGAAAATACTGCCAGGGCTTGAGAAATCAATTAAATCGAATGTATAGAATACAGTGTCCACCTCCATAACATGTTCAGGATGGTGTTGGGGTGTTACTGTCCAGACCAAGAAGCCGCTGGAGCTTCATGTTGTCTCCATGTGCAAAATGAATGGGCCAACAGCAGAGAGGTATAACTAAGAATAATAAGCAACTATTGCCACTACTGTTTATCAAGTGTACCAAGGGAGCAGGGACCAAATCTACTTTGTTCTTTGCCAAATCCCCAAAGCCTAACACATTGGAGCAAGTGTTCTGTACATATGTTTTGTTTTGTTTTGTTGTTTTGTTTAGTCACCCAAGCTGGAGTGCAGTGGCTGAATCTTGGCTCACTGCAACCTCTGCCTCCCAGGTTGAAGTGATTCTCTTGCCTAAAGCCTCCCAAGTAGCTGGGATTACAGGTGCCTGCCACCACGCCTGGCTAATTTTTGTATTTTTAGTTCAGAAGGGGTTTCACCATGCTGGCCAGGCTGGTCTTGAATTCCTGACCTCAGATGATCCACCCGCCTCAGCCTCCCAAAGTGCTGGGATTACAGGCGTGAGCCACCACACCCGGCTGTACATATGTTTTTAATCAATGAATGTCAGGCATAGGCTAAGCACTTTATCTACATCATTTCATTTAATCCTTTCCACGCTGTGGCAAGTGTCATTCTCATCTATAGCCGACGTGACAGTGGAGGCCCTGAGAGATTAAGCAACTAGGACATAAAGGAGGTGGGACTTGAATTCAGGCTCAAATGACTCCAAGGCTTGTGTTGTTAAGCATGATGCTACACTGCCTCCCTCTACACTGCCTGAGCACCATCATCAAGAAGCCCACTGCCTAGGGAAAGAGGCAGATATGGACAGAATATTGCAGGAAGTTGAACAGGACAGGGCTAAGGAATGAGGCCGCATGCCCACTGCCACTACCTTAGTTGGCAAGTTTCTTATGACTGTCTGCTACTACCACCTCCTCACTGATTTTCATTTTCCAGGTCTACCCACCTAAAATTCATTTATCACATTGTGGGTAATGGTATCTTCCTACCACACAATTAGGTCATGGCATTCTCCTACCTAAAATGCTTCGATGGCTCTGCCATTGCCCTCAGGGTAGAGTCAAAAGCCCTCGACCTGCAGCCACATCCTCACCTGGAAGCTCATTACACGTGCAGGATCTCAGGTCCCACCCAGACCTACATCCAAATCTGCATTTTAACAAGATCTAAGGGTAATTCATAAGATCTTTTAAGTTGCAGAAATATGGCACTAAAGTCCTTCATGAATCCTTCAAAATCATTATAAACTGGCTATCTCTACAGCCCAGTCTCCACCCCTGAGCCCTCGCACTCCAGCCACTGTGAACATCTCTCTAATCTCTCTAATGAACACCTCCCACATACAGCTTCCTTGTATGTGCCACTGTCTCCTTATTTCAAAGCTTCGCATGTGCTATTTCAGGCTTTCTACCCTGCCCCTCCTTTCCCTGGCTATACCTTCCTCATTCCTTAGGCCTTAGCTTAAGCATGGCTCATTTCTAGAAGCCTTCCCTGCCCATCCCCTCTGCCCCCAGCCCTAGCAATGTTCGATGCCCTTGCTATGTGTGCTCAGAAACAAATGCCTCACCCATTTGCAGTTGTGTGTTCAACTGTATCTTCAGTAAAGTGAGGAAAGGGATTGTGTCTTCCTTTTTCTCATTCTATCCGCAGTGCCTAGAGCAGTGCCTGACATGAGGTATTTCATAAAACCAATCGCTCTATGAAAAAGCAATGTTCGGCTTCCTCCTCATACTGTCATCCAGCCCACATTGCTACCTCTAATCCCCCAAATTAGAAAAAAAGATACATGAAACCTATTTAAACAACATTTCTCTTGCTATTGACTTTTGCAAAGAATCAATAATCAGGTGAACGATATCTGATACCAACACACACACTCATGCATGCTCGCCTACACAAAATGACACCAATTATTTATTCTGATAAAGGGAAAAGGAGTTTGTGCACTCAAGTCAAAAGGGCTAGTTGAAGGAGCATTAGAAAAGAAAATTAAGTTGCTGCACATGTGCTGAGTCATGAAGCTATTGTGGGAAGACCTCCGAATCTTCAAGTAAGGGCTGGAAGGTAAGAAAATATTGAGTAATCCCAGCACTTCGGGAGGCTGAGGTGGAGGTCAGGAGATCGAGACCAGCCTGGCCAACATGGTGAAACCCTGTCTCTACTAAAAATTACAAAAATTAGCCAGGCATGGTGGTGCACACCTGTAATCTCAGCTACTCTGGAGGCTGAGGCAGGTGAATTACTTGAACCTGAGAGGCGGAGGTTGCAATGAGTGGAGATCATGCCACTGCACTCCAGCCTGGGCAACAGAGAGAGACTCTGTCTCAAAAAAAAGAAAAGAAAAGAAAAGAAATATTGAACAGGCAAGGTACAAAAAAAGTGTTATGGTGTTTATGTGATGTCATTGGTCTCTAATTTTCTTAAGAGCTCAGTTGGACTCCAAGGAATAAGTAAAAAATTAGAGAATTCTTTTAAAACTTGTGACAATACCAACCCGAGAGAGGTTACATTAAGATGGCAGAGCATGGAAGATTCTTTACATCCATGATGACAATCTAAATCATCTCTTTTTCCCAATTCAAATAAGACCCTGTCTTTATACCACTTTGTACAAATCTATGGACGAATCCAACAATTAAACTGGATTGTTGTCCAACCCTCTAAGGGAGGATCACCAAGGTAGTATGAGAGAAGAGAAGTTAAATGACTTTAAAACTTACAAAGATTTTTACTTTTGGCAACTTCTAAGACATTAGCCCCCGTCTTCAGACTCCAAGTCTGATATTGTCTAGCCAGCACCCTGCTCTGGGAGGGACAGTAAGCACATAGCCTGCATGTTCTAAGTCCCTGACGTCTATGGCAGGTACCCCAAGTGACATTATTATCACCCTGGCCAGGACGCAGCCCTCAAAACCTTATTCACATCATATTCTAAGTAGCCACCATTAATGGATCAGAACTTGCATCCAAAATGAACCTTCTTTGTCTTTGCTGATTTGGAGCAGGAGCCCTTCTTCAGCATGAAGCTGATTTTCTCCCTTCCTCCCCCAGAGCACATTTGACTCAACCTTCATGATCTATCAACCAAAGATTCTGAGCTGAATCAAAGTCCCCTTTCCATGCATATCTTGAACATAAAGGTTTTCCCTGAATCAAGTCCAATGTTAATCCATTTAATGCCTTCCTTTTTATACTGCTTTTAACTTTTTCAAAAGCATTTGAAATTACATTACTATTTCATTCTCAGAAAATCCCTGTGAGCTAGGTTAAGCAAGTAGTATTATCTCCAAGAGAACTAAGGCCCAGAGAATTGAAATCAATCACAGAAAATCATGCAGTGAGTTAAAGGGAAAATGGGGTTGAACATCCAGGGAGCCTAGCGGCCATTCCGCACTCTTCACATGATGTTACCCTGCCTTAAATTTATCTAGATCTCCTGGGGGGGTTGAGGGGAGCTGCTTCCTCCTCTCAGGTTACTCTTTTCCACTTGCGCTTGAACTCTACACACACACAAACACACACACAACACACACACATGTGCCTGCACACATATGCAAACAGGGATACACATGTGCATATAGAGAAACCTGCACACAGAAAGATACTTGCATAGAAAGGAATATACTCACATGCCAAAACACACAGAGAGACAGGCTTACACATGCCCAGAGACAGGAAACAGAGATATAGAGGGATACATTCAGAAAGACACACACAGGTTACTTCATATTGCATGCCTGTATCAAAACATCTCATGTACCCCACAAGTATATACACACCTACTATATACCTGCAAAAGAGCTCAACTGGGCTCTAGAGAATAAGTAAAAAATTAGATAATTCACAAAAACTAAAAATAAAAATAAATTTTATAAGACACACAGACGGCCGGCCGCGGTGGCTCATGCCTATAATCCCAGCACTTTGGAAGGCCGAGGTGGGTGGATCACCTGAGGTCAGGAGTTTGAGACCAGCCTGATCAACATGGTGAAACTCCTTCTCTACTAAAAAATACGAAAATTAGCCAGGCATGATGGCGGGCGCCTGTAATCCCAGCTACTCGGGATGCTGAGGCGGAAGAATCGCTTGAACCCAGGAGGTGGATGTTGCAGTGAGCCAAGATCACGCCATTGCACTCCAGCCTGGGCGACAGAGCTAGACTCCATCTCAAAAAAAAAAAAAGACACACAGGCACAAAGAGATGCACACACAGACACATACACAGAGACACACACACAGACATATACACACACAGCAATCACATAGAGATATACAAACACAGACACGTGTAGAAACACATACAGAAATACAACAGAGGAAGATACAGAGACACACTCAGAAAGACACACACACACAGACAGGAAGACTTATAAACAGACTTTCTAACAACTTTGATTTCATCCGCCCACTATGGAACATCCCATTTTTTCTGTGGGACGCTTCCAATATGAGTCATGGAAAACATCCCTGACTTTGTTCCACAAAGAACAGGCCTCCTTGTGTGAGCTCAGTGATAAGGCAATGTTAGATGGGAGATTATGGCTCTCAGCAGAACTGGCATATGGCGATCTGTACAGCACTCATCCACTTATTAATCAATCATTCATAACCTAGTTTGTGCTGAGATATTCTCAGAGGCTGTTATGCTTATTATGAGGAATCAGGAATGCATTGTAGCTGTCACATTGGGTTCTGATGACCCCATCTGGGGGCCGAATCCCTATTGTAACTGTCACATTTGCTTTAAGAACACGCTACTTGTGCATCCCCTGATTTCCCAGGAACAGGAGCATTTGCTCTTGGTACTAAAAATTGCAATAGATCTCTATGAAGAGGCAAGGGGAGAAAAGGAACAAATATAAGAGTGAGAAAGTACAAGCATGAAAAAGAATTCAAACTGTGGTCTTATCGAGGACCCTAGTCTATGGACATAATGAAAGCCATCTTTAACTTCTTTCTTAAACCCCTCCTAATTAGGCCAGACTCTCCTTATAGAAAGTTTATGCAGACACTGTAAGTCACCTCCCCAAATCCATTCCCTTGAGTTTCCTCCACGGTGGCAGACCCTAATTTCGGAAGAGTATTTGCCCATTCCGTAGGACCTTATGCTTAAAGAAAGCCATCCTATCTTCAGCCCAAGGGGAATGGATCTTGATTAGGCTAAGCTGAGCAGGGCAAATGACGTTATTTTTGCCAGTTTGGGAAAGGACATACAGCCCGATTCTCACCAAGGAGATGTGAGGAGAAGCCTGCTGGTGGGACTTCAGGGAAACGTTTTCCTTTTCTACCCTTGGATGTTAATGTGTGAGATTGTGACACATAGAGCATAGAGTTGCTGTAGCCCTCTTTTTTTTTAGACAGGATCTTGCTTTGTCACCCAGGCTGGAGTGCGGTGGTGCGGTCACAGCTTACTGAAGCCGCTCAAGCGATCCTCCCACCTCAACCTCCCAAGTAGCTGGGAATACAGGTGCATGCCACCATGCCCAGCTAATTTTTTTGTATTTTTTGTGGAGATGGGGTTTTACCATATTACCCAAGATGCTGCAGCACTCTTAATAATCGTGAAAAAAACTAGCTCCCAAGATAAGCTTGGAGTGGCAATTTTTTTTAACGGCTGCAAATTCTTTGACACTCCTCCCACAATCGATGAAATCTAGGTCCCCTCCCCTCAAATCTGGTAGAGCTTTTGACTGCCTCTGCCAATAGAATGTGACAGAAGTGGTCTAGGGCATAAAAGGCTGTGCCATGCTTGCCTGATTCTCTTGGAGCACTCACTGCCGGCATGCTTGTTCTGAGGAAAGCCATCTGTCATGTAAGATGTCTGACAACCCTGAGACCACCACTCTGGAGAAATCTAGTGTAGGCATTCTGGCTGACAGTCCCAGCTAAGGCCAGCCTTCCAGCATCACAGGTTTCTAGATGCGTGAGTGAAGAAACTGGAAGTGGCTCTTCCAGCCCCAGCTGTCCCAGTTCCCAGCCATTTGAGTCATCTTCAATCATTCAGATCACACCCAGCCTCTCAAGGTACCTCCCACAGAGGGCCCAGAATCGTGAAACAGGAACCAGCCATCTCTGCTGTGCCCTGACAGAAGTCTTGACCCACAAAATCCATGAGCATAACAAGTGGATTTATATACCACTATGTTTTAGGGTGATTTGTTTAGGCAGCAAAAGTAACTGGTACAAATGGCAAAGTAAAAAGATGGAAAAACTTCCTCCTTGAGGCAGCCCTGAGTGGCTAAGTTAACAAACCCTGGAGCTGCCTTATCTCTGGGCTTCTGGTTACATGAACTAATTCGTTCCTCTAGTGTTCAAGCTCTTTTGAAGTAGCATCTTAGTCAACTAGGGCTGTCATAACAAAGTACTACAGACTAGGTATCTTAAACAACAGAAATGTATGCTCTCATAGTTCTGGAGGTTAGAAATCCAACATCAAGGCATTTCTCCTGAGACCTCCCTCCTTGCAGATAGCCACCTTCTTGCTGAGACCAGCAAGCTGGAGAAGCCTAAGTGTAGGTGTTCTGGCTGACAGTCCTAGCTAAGCCCAGCCTTCCAGCATCACAGGGTTCTAGACTCATGAGTGAAGAAGCTGGAAGTGGATCTACCAGCCCCTGCAGCCCCAGTTCCAGCCATCTGAGTCCCCACATAGTCTTTCCTCCATGCACACATCCCTGTGTCTCTCCTGTGTGCTCATATGTTTTCTTCTTACAAGGACATTAGCCGTCATGGATTAGGGCCCACCCCAACAGTCTCATTTTAACTTAATCACCTCTTTAAAGGTCCTATCTTTAAATACAGTCACATTCTGAAGTAGTGTGAGTTAGGACTTCAACATAGGAATTGGGGGGTCGGGGACACGACTCAGACCATAACACATGGGATAACACATGGGTTCCCTGTTACCAAAATCATCCTAAAAAGTACAATGAGAAAAAACTGAATCAAACCAGTTTAAGCAAAAGAGTTAATAGTAGAATATCTCAAAAATTTTAAAAAGAACAACATGAAGAAGCAACTCCAGGAATGTCAGGTTCAGTGGCACTCAAACACAATTTCACTCCTCTCTCTCACTCCATGAACTATGATTTTTTTTTTTTTTTGAGACGGGGTCTCGCTCTGTCGTCCAGGCTAGAGAGTAGTGGCAGTCACAGCTCACTACAGCCTCGGCCTCCTGGCCTCAAGCAATCCTCCCACCTCAGCCTCCCAAGTAGCTGGGACTACAGGCATGAACCACCATGCCCTGCTAATTTGTGTTTAATTTTTTGTAGACACGGGGGTTTCACTATGTTTCCTAAGCTGGTCTTGAACTCTTGGGCTCAAGCAATCCTCCTGCCTTAGCCTCCCAAGCATGAGCTACTATGCCTGGCCTCAGCATCTCCGATTCTGTCTGGGGTTTGCCTTCGTTTTCTCAAGAGCATTATCTTGTCACTTACTCACTGAAACATGTCAATCTCCCCGTGAACTGTGAGGATACTGTGGGGAGTAGAGCTAGAACTGGCAGGGTTCTGCACACCTGCTTAGGGAGAGCAGTAAGACTCTTAGTGCTACGTGAAACAAGTGATCAGGCTTCTTGGCTTCCTGGAGTGCCCTACCATATACCTACCCACCTTTTGCCCCAGCCTATAATATGCCACATTCTATGATACTAAGAAAAAAAAACCATAAATATATCTGTGGAGAGCAGGGACATTCCAGCAGCCTCTCTGGAACTCACAGGAAAAAAGTAATTGAACATTACTGAAACAGAGGCATCTGCTATTAACATGCCTACATTCTCACATCATATCTGGACTTTAAGATAATTCTCTCGCTTAGAAAATAACAGAGAGTAATCTAAAATGTGAAAGTTAAACTATGGTGCACCCACAAAAGAAATATTATGCAGTCATTAAAAAGAACGCACCATCTCTATAAGGAAACATATCCAAGCACCATATCAAGATAAAAGTAACGTGTTTAACAGTATATATAGTATGCTGTTATGGGAGGAAAAGGAATATGTATCTTTATCTCTTTAAAAATATGCATCATCTCTGGAAAAAAAGCCCAATAAATCGGTGACGGTAGTTGCCTCTGTATAGGGGAACTGGAAGACTAGGATGCAGAGTTAGAAGAGAGATTACTACACATCCTCTTGACAGTAGATTAGAGCTGCAGCAGAAAAGATTCATGAACTTGAAGACACAGCAACAGAAACTATTCAAAATGAAGCTGGAAAATAAGACTGGAAAAACAAATGAGCAGAGCATCAGTGAACTGTGAGATAATTTTAAGCAGCCTAATGAGATTTGGTGAAAAAAATAAACCCGCAGTTCCAACAAGTTCAATGAACCCCATACAAGAATACCAAGGTACATCATAATCAAATTGCCTAAAACCAGTAATAGAGAGAAGAGCTTTAACACAGCCAGAAGAAAGAGATACATCAAGTACAAAGGAACAAAGCTAAGAATGACAGCAGACGGAAAGCCAGAAAATAGTGAAGCAACATCTTTAAAGTACTGAAAGAAAAACAGTCAGCCTAGAACTCTATACCCACTGGAAATATCTTTCAAAAACAAAGGTTAAATAAAGACTTATTTCAGATGTAAAAAAGCTGGAAGAATTCATCACCCATAGTCACATACTATAAGACATGTAAAAGGAAGTCCATCAGAAAGAAAATGGTACCAGATGGAAATTATGATCTACACAAAGGACTGAAAAGCACTAGAAATGATAAATATGTGAATACATATACGATAATTTGTTCTTATTTTTAAATTACTTTAAAATGTTTAAACAAAAAAAAATCATGAAGATACATCTTACTGTAAAGGCATTATGTGAATTCCTGTAGGATGGCAACACAGAAACACTTTAAAGATCAGCTGCTAGAAAGCTAAAAAGCAACTGAAATCAGTAATAGTTTGTGTTTTTTAATCTTAATCATATTATCATCTATATGTATTTAAAGATAGTCATGCACTTATGTGTAAGACCTATTACTTGTTCTTGGTGAACTCATGAATTTGTGAACTTGTTGCAACAACCCACTGCCCAGAGTGTTCTGCAAACCCAGATAGGGAATCACAGAACTAAGATTCTTTTGTAAAGCAAACAAGAATCTTATGGTAGTATAAACATTGATACTTACCCCCTCATTAACACCTTGATAATAGTCCATTTTACGTATTTGAGTTTCTAAACTGTGCTCTGATCATCTTATCTGCTGTCCCATAAAGCAGGGCTTTGTGCATGGGCACTCAGAAAGGAGCTGTCCAATGCATACATGGCATCTACAATACAGTAGCACCAATATGTGGCAACTATTTTCTGATGGCCTTCAAAACAACACAAGTCCTGGGTCACAAGTGCCAAGACCAGAATCTAAACTTCAGTTTCTCTTCTCAGTTATCTCTACCTTCCCCACTGCATATCTTCAAATCATGCCTGGTTTCTAACAACTCCAG
This sequence comes from Homo sapiens, assembly GCF_000001405.40. Classification (NCBI taxonomy): domain Eukaryota; kingdom Metazoa; phylum Chordata; class Mammalia; order Primates; family Hominidae; genus Homo; species Homo sapiens. The sequence continues at coordinate 155,098,433 of NC_000005.10, read as the reverse complement.
ACTTCAGCCACATTCTCTGAGGCTACATGGCATCGGGTACGACTTACCACAGTAAATCAACTTTCAGAGCCAGACTTAGGAGAATATATTTAAATCACAAAAGAACACAGGTCAGAGTTGTAATTATGATCACAGCAGACATTGGTGTGTTGTGCATAATTAAAATGACTGTAGGACCAGGTGAAAAAGTATCTCTCTCTCTATGGGTATAAAAATGAGACATGAGGCTGGGTGCAGTGACTCATGCCTGTAGCCCCAGCTATTCAGGAGGCTGAGATGAGATGATCCCTTAAGCCCAGGAGTTCAAAGCCTGCAGTGAGCCATGATCGGCCACTGCACTCCCACCTGAACAACAGAAAAAGACCCTGTCTCTAAAAAACAAAAAATGGATGGAAAAAAAAAAAAGATATGAGCAGCTTGTTGTATCCAGGTGAAAACTTGACCTTGACATAACCATCATTTCTATACCCTGGTAATAGACCATACCTGTCCACCTGTTGCCTTTGCCCTTGACAAATTTTAGGTGTTAGAACTACTATGGTCATAAACCACTCAAAGGGTCTAACGTTATGGCCTGGACAAAACTCACATTCTCAGACTCCCTTAAAACCCAAAGAGGTTAGAAAAAGATCTTGCAGAAGGAGCAGGATTGGAATTTTTTTTTTTTTTTTTTTTGAGACAGAGTCTGGCTCTGTCGCCCAGGCTGGAGTGCAGTGGCGCAATCTCGGCTCACGGCAAGCTCCACCTCCTGGGTTCACGCCATTCTCCTGCCTCAGCCTCCCGAGTAGCTGGGATGACAGGCGCCCGCCACCACACCTGGCTAATTTTTTGTATTTTTAGTACAGACGGGGTTTCACCGTGTTAGCCAGGATGGTCTCGATCTCCTGACCTCGTGATCTGCCTGCCTCAGCCTCCCAAAGTGCTGGGATTACAGGCGTGAGCCACTGCACCCAGTGGGAATTTTTTAAAATTAAACATAAATAAGACAAGATTTTGCTGTTCCCCTGGGAAATTCCCAATACTTGTAGTAATGTAGAACGTGCCCACATACCCACCATGGTTCCCCAACAAAGCTTTCTCTCATTCACACCTATTTTACCAACTGCCCATCAATTTTCCTCAGCAGTACCCAACTCTTAGCTGGTTCCCGCCACTTGGTTGGAACTGAAGAGATTCTCACATCATTTGTTCAGTCTGCTCCATGGGAACTAGGAAATATTATTCACACTCTGCCTAAAACGTCAGCTTAGGCAGAGCAGGGGCAGAAGGCAAGCCTCGTTTTCTTAATTTCATATCTGATTGAACATTATTAAAAGAACCGTTAAAGTTATGAAATTCCATGCTCATATTAGGTTTGGGTTGGAGTGGCTAAGGACACATATAAAAAGAATGATTCAGCTTCTCCTTTTCTTAGTAATAACATTTAGTACTCAGATATTGCTTTTCATCTCCATCGTTCTATACAAACATTAACTGTACAATTTCACTACATTAACTGCAAAGGGAGAGTCAGAGATGGCCCTGTAATTTTGTAGTCACTTTGGTGACATTCATTATCTCTCAAAATGATACACTATACCCCAGAGCCTAGGTTTCATCCTGGTTTAAGGTAGAAGATAAGAAAAGAGGAAGGGAGAAAAAGAGACCATATTCTAAAATAACAGAGATCTCAGATGCTTACCTAAGAGTCCAGGGATATGGCCTGTGGATTAGAATGTGGAATTGGAACAGTTAGCAAGTAGGATGATGTAGCTGAATTTTGAAGAACGGTGTTATGTTTAACATATTACAGTTTTTATTTTTTAAAAAGGAGGAGAGACACCAAATTCAAATGGCTCCTCACAGAGAAAAAGATCCTTCAAATTAAAAAAAAAAAAGTATGTGTATTTAACATAGACAAATAAGCATACTATCATTGTTGTCATTGTTGACAATACTTTTATAGCTCACCACTCCCTGTATCACTTTTAGGCAAAGACCCTCCCAATAATAAAAATAACTATCATTTGTTGAATATTTACTATGTGCTAGGCACCATGCTAAGTATTTTAAATACACACTGATTCGACTCAGTTTTCCCGTCTGTAAAATGGAGGAATTTACCTAGAGCAGTGTCAGCAAACTGCAGCCTAATCCATGGGCTAAATCCACACACTATTTTTGTAAATGAAGTCGCTTTGGAACACAGCCATGCCCATTCATTTATAAACTGTCCATGACTGCTTTTACAACACCTGGGTAGAGTTGAGTCACTGAGACAAAAACTATATGGCCCGCAAAGCTTAAAATATTTATTATCTGTTTTCTTACAGAAAAGATTCGCCAACCTCTGATCTAGAAGATGGTTTCAAAGGACCTTCAAATACAACATCCTATGCTTCTGACTCTGGGTGTTGAAACATCTTTCTCCAGTTTCTCCACCACCTCATTAGTAGTATGAAACAGCAAACACAGTATGTCAGCCTGGACTTATCTGTGTGTTGTTATGTAGGCTTTCATGTTGGTGTCAGTTCTTTAGGAAAATATTCTTCATATTTTAAATTCTATAATAACTCATTTATCAGCCCATTGTTGAGAGCTAACAACTTCAGGTAATTCCATTTTAAACTATATGTTATTAATAACACCCACATCAGCTGTGAAAAAAATATCATTATGGGGCTCTAATAAATTACACCAATTTTTTTTAATCAAATTCTGTCACTTTTTTTAACTTTTATTTTAGGTTCGGGGTACATGTGCAGGTTTGTTTTATAGGTAAGCTCATGTCATTGGGGTTGTTGTACAGATTATTTCATCACTAAGCCTAGTACCCAATAGTTTTTTTTTTCTTTTTTTTCTTTTTTTCTTTCTTTTTTTTTTTTGTTGAGACAGTTTCTCTCTGTTTCCCAGGCTGGAGTGCAATGGTGCGATCTCAGCTCACTGCAACTTCTGCCTCCCTGGTTCAAGTGATTCTTGTGCCTCAGCCTCTCAAGTAGCTGGGATTACAGGCATGCGTCACCATACCCGGCTAATTTTTGTATTTTTAGTAGAGATGGGATTTCACCATGTTGACCAGACTGGTCTCAAACTCCTGACCTCAAGGGATTGGCCTGCCTCAGCCTCCCAAAGTGCTGGGATTACAGGCGTGAGCCACCGTGCACAGCCCAGTAGTTATTTTTTCTGATCTTCTCCCTCCTTCCACCCTCCGCCTTCAAGTAGGTTCCAGCGTCTGTTGTTCCCATCTTTGTGTTCAAGAGTTCTCATCATTTAGCTCCCATTTATCCATGAGAACATGCAGTATTTGGTTTTCTGTTCCTGTGTTAGTTAGCTAAGGATGATAGCCTTCAGCTCCAAATTCTGTCACTTCTTACCTCACTTTCTCAAATTCATTGTTCTTCCTTCTCTCTGCCATCATCATTGCCTACTGTAGCTTCACCCCACACCTGAATTATTACCTGAGCAGCATTCAGCCCAATTCTAGGCACAAAGTAGGAGCCTACATACCTGAAATCCAAAATCTGCCTTTAGACAGAAACAGAACTGGGATGTAAGAATTTTCTTAACATTTTTTGGCTAATTGACACATGGAGTCTAACAGGTGACATCTTGATAGAACACATGATTGGGATGGGAATTTACAAGGCTTTAAGCATCCTTTATCACCATCATTGTTGTTTTAGAAAGGCCTGGGAAAGCAACAAGTTAACAAACAATTTGAATTCCTATGCTCTCTTAGGTTCTACAAAGAAAGATCACCCTAAAATAGCCAAAGCCACAGTGTAGCAAGAACATGAACACACTGCATTACACAATGCTGCCAACTCAGTGTCAGTATGTACACGGCACAGTTTCAAACAAGTATTTTTAGCCCCAGTAAAGGCCTGGTACTAGATTTTGGTATTGTTCATGAGAACCTTTTTTTCCTATTCAATCTAAAATATTAATCATTCCTTTAATTGATAAAATCTCTAACTTTACCATTCAATTTTTTGATAGCCTTCACTGAATTCACTCAAATACTTTAGTACCAACCCAGTAATCATCTAGATTCAGTTATTAATTGCAGCTTATGTATTATAAGAAAAAGAGGTAAAAGTATCACTGTCCTCTTTGAGTGTCAACTTTTAATGTTGTCATCAAAGTATTCCTTTAAATACCACCTCTACCCACCCCCCAGGCAGAAGACCGGACATAAGAGAGAAAGATGGTAAAGAATCCAAGTTTAGCCCATCTTGAAAACTTTACATGTAATTAAAGCTATTTTATTCTGTACTAATGCTTCCCATGATTCTCTAGAAGTAAGCAACTGAACTAAAACAGCTTCTTTTTAATTTTTTAATTATTTTAAGAGATGGGATCTTTCTATGTGGCCCAGGCTGGAGTTCAGTAGCCATTCACAGGCATCATCATGGCACACTACAGCCTTGAACTTCTGGGCTCAAGCAATATTTCTGCTTCAGCCTCTGTGAAACAGCTTCTTTAATTAAGTAGCTATAGCCTCTGTCATACTATTCGTGCTTACCCATTTCAAAAAATTTACTGATTATACCTGCATGCCTCTTGTCTTAGACTTACTTTCCTCTTTCCTTTAGCACACCTGTAGAATGTACATAACTTTTGAATGTGTCTGTCTTCTAATAGGAAGACTCCTATTAGAAAAGGCAGGCTCCAACTAATAGCCCCTTACATCACCATCAACCTGAAGGCCAAGAGCTCCCAAAAAAGACACAAGAAGGTGAACACCTCTGCATTAGAGGCAAAGATCCCATAGCAGGCCAGCTACTCCCTTGTTATTCTGGTAATTGGAGGAGGTTAAAACCAGGAGGGTATGGAGAAATGGCGTAGTGGGAAGAGATGTTCTTGTCTCTTTTATATAAGGCTTATTAAGAAATGTAATACTAGGAACCCATTTGTTGAAAGATCAATTGCTCTGCTATGTGCTTTACAAATAGTATCTCATTTAATCCTCTCAAGAACCTCAGGAGGTAGAAACTATCATGTCCATGTTTACACATGAGGGAACTTAGATGAAACACAGCTAAGCAGTGGAGAACCAGGACTTAAACAGTGGTCTCACTGATTCTCTAAGCTGGGCTTGAGACTGTCTTCGTTTTGGCTCCTGTGACACGTCCTAGGTTTACAAAAGTCAGTAAAAGCTAAGATGCAGAAAGTAAGATCACTGGATGTCCTTTTTGTTACCCCAGAACCCTAAAGCTCTCTGATTATTTTAAATGGGGTCTTGGAACTGGCGAAAACATATATTTTGCAAAAAGTGAGTAACCTACTGGTATTTGGCTTTTGAAAGTTACCAGAAGATCAGAGAAGAGCATAGAACACATTTCCCTTGGTTCTTTCTCATGTGTTAGATTCCCTAGGTCTCAAGCACATCAATGCAGGCCAAACACACAGACAGTAACAACCTCTCTTCTTGACATAGACCTTACAGGAATCATGGGGAAGAGAGAAAAAGCATAGTTCGTGGGCCTTTGGTTATACAAAACAAAAACAAAAACAAAAAAACCTCAGAGCCAAGTTAGGATGTAGGAGCTAGGGAGGACCTAATTGTTCTGCACAATAAAGTGAAAGGCATGCTTTCCATGGTTGGAAGAGTGGAGGTGAAGAAAAGGGGAAGGCTGGAACCACTGAGGGCACACATGGCTTAGGGAATATTTTTAAAGAAAAGGAAAGTCCAATATTCACATATGAATCATACATATTATGTGCAATATTGAATTTTTCCACACCTCCTCAATCCTTCAGGAAAGTTAGCTCCACCTCACTAAACCATTTTATGACTTTACCTTCCTTAGAGAAAAGTAGGTAAAAAATTGAAAGAAAGGGCAGAAACAGCTTTCTTAGTACTTTCGAAATGGCAGAACATCCTGTTTTGTAGGCTAGAAGAAATTCAGGAAGAGGGTAAGGATGATGTCACCTCAGAGGCAAGGAAAGGAAAACACCATTAGAGAAACCTGGCCACCAGTTAAGAAATCCTGTATACCTATGCCATTGTTATTTCAGTTCTATATAGAAAGTTACTACCTATAGAGAAACTAAAGTGTGCTCCTGGAACTTTCTGGAACCCAACCAATCAGTCCCCAGCCCTGACTCTGTTCTACTATCCATCTCCCAGCAAAGACTCAGAGATCAAGGAGCTCAGCGGGTAGACACCAGGATTAAACTCTGGTGCACTTTTCAGCTCACATTTTCCACATACACACCCTCCTTATATGATTCAGCTTCAGGATTCATGCAGAGCTTGACTCTTTTGAACTTATTTACAAGTTTTATCATTATACTTGCCCACATTATGCAAGCAGTTTGCAATCTCCCCTAATTCTCTGGCTTTAATTATATAATTGAATAAGCCAAAAGCTCATTTTTCCCAGGAAACATTAAACATTACCATCTTAATGAAATTCTTAATGAAATGGTCCACTATGCATGCAAATGACCAGTAGTGGCTAGGCCACTAGCTTTTCACTGGGCAAGGCAATAGAATAAATGCTCTTTTGTCAGTCACTGGAAATGGCAGTTCCCACCCACACTTTTGGCTGGAATGATAATTCCATAAGACTAGAGGATGAGCCTCTGTGAGATACATGGATATAATTAAGACTGGATGAAAAGAGTTTAAATGAAGTAGGAACTGATCTCAACCTATAAAAATCAAAACTTATTTTCAAGACTGAAAGAGCTCACTTAAACTTCTCTTGCCAATTAAAAAAAAAGTTATCAACTATCCGCCTTATTCTCCAGAGAGTAGAGGTCTGAAAAATTAACAGTATTAAACTTACTTCTCAACTTACTTTCAGGACTGAGAGGAGGAAATGGCTAAAAGAAATTTGGGGGACCTCTGAAAATTTCAGCATAATTAATAACTCTTCAAGCATCTGTTCCTGCCCAACTGCATTTTTCAAATGCCCTGTGGCAAACAACTTAAATCTTATTACATACCGTACACTCTTCTCATGCCAAAGTCACTGTCTGCCAAAAGCTAAAATGGAAGGATTGCAGGCCTGTTCACACTTCTTTTTTTCAAATAGCATGGACAACCGTGTCCTGTGCCAAGTAGACACAAACTTGAAGTACTTAATAGCTACTATTTATATGACAAATTCCCAGTTCTCAAACCTTATCAAATCTTTGCATTGCCAGAAAAATGTCAAGCTGCCAGAAATGTCCAACACAGAAGCTTACCCTGAACATTCAAGCTACAGTACTGTAGAGAAGGGAATGTAGCTCTTGCACCTATCACAGTGCTTAGCTGAGTAAATGTTATTTCCCTTCCTCTTAAGTTCTTCCATTTTTCCACAGAAGAACATAAAGCCAAAGAAAATCATGTTTGCACATTTTTAGCAGCTATATTGGGATATAATTCACATATCATACAATTCACCCATTTGAAGTATAAAATTCAGTGGATTTTGTGTATTACATCATTTTTTAAATTGTGGACAAATATATGTCATAAATTTTGCCAATTTAAATATTTTAAGTGTACAATTCAGTGGTATTAGTTACATTCAAAATATTGTACAACCATAACCATTATCTATTTCCAAAACCATTTCATGACTTCAAATAGAAACTCTGTAACCATTAAATTATTATATATTTTTTTTTTGAGACAGTGTTTTGCTCTTGTCACCCAGGCTGGAGTGCAATGGAGCGATCTCAGCTCACTGCAACCTTTGCCTCCTGGGTTCAAGTGATTCTCTTACCTCAGCCTCCCTAGTAGCTGAAATTACAGGTGCTCACCAACACGCCTAGCTAATTTTTATATTTTTAGTAGAGACAGGGTTTCACCATGTTGGCCCAGCTGGTCTTGAACCCCTTACCTTATGTGATCCACCTGCCTCAGCCTTCCAAAGTGCTGGAATTACAGGCGTGAGCCACCATGCCCGGCCTCTAACCATTAACTCTTTAACCATAGCTGCCCTTTGCACATTCTCTCAGCCCCTAGAAACCTCTAATCTATTTTCTATCTCTATAAATTTCCTATTCTAGATATTTCATATAAGTGGAATCACATAATATTTACCTTCCTGCATCTGGCTTACTTCACTTAGTGTACTGTCTTCAAAGTTCATCCATGTTGTAGCATGTATCAGAATTTTATTCCTTTTTATGGCTGAATAATATTCCATTATATGTATATACCACATTTTGCTTATCCATTCGTTTCTTGGTTATAGATTTTTTTTCTAATACTTTGAGTTCAGAGAATTAAAAAATCTCAAACCTCAATTCATAGAACATACTTATCAGTTAAGATGACCCCCTCTCTTGGGTATTAATTTTTTATCCCCAGAAGCTTCTCCCATACCCTTCTCTTCCAACAGACACCCAGTCTAATGTGTTTGACACAGACCCTTAAATATGTATGTAGGTTTGTAAAATGCAAAACTCTGTGTTGTTTAATTTATATAAATCTCATTCAATTTCTCACTTTTTCACTCGACTCTGTTTTCAGAGCTACACATTACTAGATCTAGTTAGTTGTTAATTGTTTCATGTTTAGTTGCTGAAAGATGGCATAAAGAAATAAAATAGTGTCATTTTATCACATTTTCTCTGCAGAGGAAGATGACTCACAGGGTGATTGCTCTACTTCTCTGTGAGCCACTGGTCAAGCCTCTTAATCTCTCCAAGTCTTGGTTTCTTCATCTCTATAATGAGGTGGTTACACCAGATCAGGGATCTTTGATGGGTAATATGCATCAAGTGACTTGGGAAACTCTTCAAAATAATATGCTCAACCCAACAGCAAGATCTAAGGTAGCAAAATCCTGGTCTAAATAGTGTTAGAGGACAGACATGGTGGCTCACACCTGTAATCCCAGCACTTTGGGAGGCCAAGGCGGGCCAATCACTTGAAGTCAGGAGTTTGAGACTAGCCTGGCCAACACGGTGAAACCCTGTCTCTACTAAAAATGCAAAAATTAGCTGGACGTGGTGGTGTGCCTGTAGTCTCAGCTACTGGGGAGGCTAAGGCGGAGAATCACTTGAACCCAGGAGGCAGAGGTTGCAGTAAGCTGGGATCACACCACTGCACTCCAGCCTCAGTGACAGAGCAAGACTCCATCTCAAAAAAGAAAAAAATAGTATTAGAGAAAAATCCCCCATATGATTCCAGTGTGCTCCCCTGATTAAAAACCCTGCAGCACAAGATGGATCTGTAAAGCCCCTTCCCTTTAGTACACCAGGATTCTGTGATTACAAGGAAAATTTCTTGGCAAAGGTCCTACAGCAAACCAAGGGCTAGAACCTGGCAATAAAAATGATACCTATGTCCCAACTTTCTGTTTTCTAAATATAAAATCTATTTCAAAAGCATTTATGCTATTTTATTGCTCCCTCCTATAAGTATATGCCAAGGATGAACTGCTTCTGGTTAACACACTCCTCTGCAACTCCTCAGGGCTCAATCCTTCCTTAGCTTGGATTATGCCCTCTGGTTCTTGTATTTGATAAAAGCTGAAAGAGACTGGGAACATCTTTTATTTCTATTCCCATCAGAAATTTGTGTAACTCAATAGGATCACCTCTGAGTCTCTGCTTTTGCAAGGAATACAGAACTGGTTTTTACAGCCTGGTTTAGAAAGCAAATGTCTGCACCCTTCTACATGTCCGGAGCCGCTTCTGCCTCATCCTTCACATCTTGTTCTGAATTCAATAATCAGAACTCACCTTCACAACCTTCATTTTCTTGCCCCAAGATATTAGTGTTAATAACTTGGAAATAAAGAAAATAGGGGAAAAAACAAAAATTACTATTATCCCAATGAGTGAAATAATTTTTCCTTGCAAATATGCCCCCTACCCAGTCTTCCCCATTTCAATTAGTGGCAATATATTGGTCCTGTTGCTCAGACCCCAAACCCAGGAATTATGCTCAATTTCTCTCTTTCCCTTACTACCTCCAACCCATCAGTCTGCCCTCCAAATACAGCCTGAATCCATCCTTGTCTTTCTGTTTACATTCCTACCGCCCTTAGGCCAAGCTGCTGTCGTCCCTCCCCCAGGATATCCTCTCAGCCTTCTTGGTAAATTATTTAGAAAAGGAAATATATTAACAGAATCAGAAAGCAAAAAGATCCAGACCAGCTTAAAAAATTAGGCCAAAACTAACAAGATTACATTTAATACAAATAAATGTAAGCCTCTGCATTGACTTTCCAAAATAATATGGCACAAGTTCCAATATGCATAAAGGACTTAGGTAATTTATTTGACTGCAGGCTCAATTAAAAAAACAAGGTGATGCACCGAACCAAATTTTTAAAAAATGTTGGCTGAATGAATAAAAACGCAGCATGCAGTACAAGGACTTAATAGTCTTTTTGTAGTGGTCATACACAATGTTTCATCTGGACACCAGATTTAAAATATACATATATTAGATTGTAAGCAGAGTTTTTTAAAAAAGAAAAAAAAAAAAAAATATATATATATATATATATATATACATAGAATTAATTAAGCATTTTGAGAGGAGCTAAATTGGGTCACATGAGCAACAGCTGAAAGAACTGTAAATGCTTGTCTGGAAAAGAGAAGACTGGGGGTCTAAAGGGCACACCCACGCCTAGAATACTTGAAGGCCTTGCTCCTGCAAGGAAGAGGAGTCTCCAACATTATAGCTTCAGAAGGAGAGGCAGACTTTGGTTCAAAAGAAACCCAGACATCCTTCATAGCTCAGCTGAAATCCCCCCTCCTCAGAGAAGCCTGTCCTGATTACCTTAAAGAGCCCCAGTCGCTCTCCACCAGGTAACCCTGCTTCGTCCACTCTGTTCCTGGCACTTCTTGCCAGCTGGAGTTATCCTGTTTTGGCTTCAGTATACATTCTCTCTCCAACTTGCCTGTACCATCTGTAAGAGCAGGGATCTTGTTTATCCTGTTCACCACAACATCCCAGTACCCAGAAAAGTGTCTGGCGCATAGTAGGAGCTCCATAAGTATTTGCTGACTTGAGGAATGAATTGATAATTGAACGCCTTCCTCCCCACAGCAGCTGCAGGCATTAAAAGGCCATGAAGAGCCAGTCTTAAAGAGACCTGGCAATTCATTTAGGGGTTCCTGCTGGGAAAAGAAGTTGCAGAAAGTTGAGTTCATTATCTTTTTGCCTTGGGCTTTTACCTCACTCAACATTTTTCATTCCATGACTCAATCTGCAGACTCATGCCTGCAGATACCTCGGATGTCCTCTGGTCTCAGATTGTCCTTGGATGAGAATCTTACTCTGGGATCTCCCCCACAGTGAGCTTCCAGCAGCCCTCTGGATTCCCCTGGGGCATTGCTGACCCTCTCGGCCTTCTTCATGCTACGTCACCTGGAGATGTTTGGAAATGCAGGCTCCTGAGGAAACCAAGAGGAAGGTTCCGGAATGCTGTTCTCCACAGCCTGGCATATTCCTTTCTGAAAGGTGAACTGAATCCAGACAGCAGATTTTGTCTTTAGATGTCTACTCTAAATGGATAGCCATTAAAATAATAATGAACGGTCTCTACATGTGGACATGAAACCTACCAATAGTATATTATTATATTAAAACGCAGATGGCCGGGCCTGATGGCTCAAGCCTGTAATCCCAGCACTTTGGGAGGCTGAGGCGGGTGGATCACTCGAGGTCAGACGGAGGCTGCAGTGAGCCAAGATTGCGCCACTGCACTCCAGCCTGGGCAACAGAGTGAGACTCCATCTCAAAAAAAAAAAAAAAGAAGATTTTTTGACTTTAAACCTGAGACTGATCAGAAAGCTGGAGAGCGGAAAGGAGCTTACATTGTAGAACAGCGATAAAAATTGCTTTAATCTCCTTTAGTCCTCACAACCTCCCATGATGTGAAAGCCCCGTTTTATAGCTGGGAAAGCTGAGACTTAGGGAAGATCAGCAATTTGCCAAACTCACAGTTAGGTAGATTGGATTTGAATCCAGCTCTGCCTAATCTTGCACTGGTGTTTCCATAGTTACGACACTCTCCTTCTAAGTCAGAAGCTGGGGCAAGACAAGCACCAGTTCCTGGGTCGGCTTAACATTTGATGAAACTTCTCAAAGTTTTAGAGTCCTCTATCCCCTCAAATTATCCTTCAAGCTCTAGTTTCTCATGGGGTGGCGCATGGCAGCACCAGCATCACCTGGGAGCTTATTAGAAATGAAGAATCTCGGGCACCATCCCAGACCTACTGGATCAGAATCTGCATTGTAACAAGGTGCCCAAGTGATTCATCTGCACATTGCAATTTGAGAAGTGCTGCTTTTAAAATGCCTCCCCAGCCCCATTTTCTACCCAAGTTTCTATAGAAACGACCATCTTTTGTGCCAATGTCCAGTTGCTTCCCCCAAAGCAAAGGGATCTCTCCATCAGACACAGGAACCTTGGAGCCCAGAAGGAGAAAAGCTATCTCCAAAGATAACTTTATTAATCAACATAATGCCTGGCGTATAGGTGTATATGTGCGAGCTTCAGGATAACTGGACCTGGTCCCTCTACAGCAGCCAGAGCAGTGGTATATTGGCAAATATTTAACACCCAGCTTGGGGTAGAGCCCTGATTGACAGCATTTGCCAATGTCTATAAAGTAAATCTTCCCACCAGGGCCAGTTCCAAGCTACTAAGGTGATGTCACCGAATATGGAGCTGAGAAGGGATGTGCGTAATTGACTCACAAGAACAGGCAGGAGCAGGTATAACCAGTCCAGCACACCACTGAGCTGGAGCCTAGTTTTTACAAGTCAAGAGAGGGAAAGCCACAGCATTATTTCAGCTAATGAAGACATAATGTTTTATTGTTGGCTTCCACAGCCATTTAAATTTATCCATCTCTAATTAGCTTTGGAAAACAAAAAAATGACTTGCCAAGTACACTGTGCAACAGCCTGTCAGACTGTAAAATTGCCTATGGTGGCTGTTCTCCTGGAAAATAGAAGAAGTCTTGGGTTTGCAGTGGAGAAAGGATGGGAAGCCCTGACTCAGCCTCATGAATAAATCATTTCTAGCAGCTTCTGGGTGGGAGGATAAAGGGTTCAGGCAAACTCTGTGAAATGTTTTCCCCCTAACTCTTCAGCATCTGCTCTTGTTCATTTCTCAACAGGGACAAGGTATGGCAGCTGCGTAGTTTTGAGTTAGAAAGAGAAAGTCCAGCTGGGAATATCCGAGTGGAGCTGGGTTGACAGAGAGGAAAGATAGCCTGGGTGATGGGAAATTGGGAACAGGTGTATGGAGGAAGGAACCAGGAATTGTTTGAAGAACATTGAGTAGATCTTCTTGGCTGGAGGAGAAAGTTGTTAATTATTGTCATCATCATTAGCCACCACTTACCAGGCACTCAACATGTGCCAGGCTCTGTGCTAAACATTGTAAGTCGATTATCTATCTCACTGACTCTTCACAAAAATCCTGTATTGATATTGTTATCATCATCTCCATTTTACAGGACAGAAAACTGTGGTTTGAAAAGCTTAAGATATTTGCTCAAGGTTACACAGGTAGTAAGAAAAGGAGGCACATTTGCAACCCAAGTCCATCAGATACTGAAGCCATGCTCTAAGTTCTGCAATAAACACATCACCTCTAGATTTATGGGACTAGTAGGAAGAATTTATGAGAGTTATGGGAGGAAAGAGATATGTTCCTCCCTGAGAAATATTTCAAGAAATTTCTCCGAGCAAATCAAAAGGCAGAAGGACTGGAGATGGACCACCATTACTCCCCCTGGGTCTTGAAGGCTGAGAGTGGGTGCTTAAATTCAAAGAGCCTCATCTACCAGTTTCTTCCCTGCACAAACAATCCTGGGGCACATGCTCAGTTCTGGAAAGGGCATTTTCAGGGGAACACTGACAAAACAGTACATGAACATAGAGGAATGACTAGAAAGTATAAAGATTCAAAAGCTACCCTTGTTGAAAAGAAATAGAAGCCAGGAAGGTGGAGGCTGAACTGACAAACAATCAGAGATTGCTGGCTAATCATAAAACCTATTTCCCCCACTTCCTGGACACAGAGCTAGATCCCATTTTTCAGTTGTCCTGACAATTAGTGTGCCCACAAACTGAGTTCTAGTCACTGGAATATGGGTGGAAGTGATGTAGGACACCTCCGGGCTTGGCCTCAAAAACCCTCACATGTATAATCCTTTGTGTTCTTTCTCCTTCCTCAGTGACCTTGGGAGTCATTGCTGGAGATGGCAGAGCCACAACATGGAAGGAGCCTGGTCTTTAAATTACTCCAACCAACGAGCCTCCCATCAATCAAAAACACTGAGTTAAACTTTATGTGAGCAAGAAATAAACTTGTATTTATTGAGTTTTTTAAAAATAACATCCTTGTCAAAGAAACCAGAACTACTGGGCTGGAGAAAACACAGAGGTAGAGAGTGGTGTTAAATCAAGTTTAGCCTAAAGCTGCCTCCTTACATATTGTAAGTTCAGCCTAAAGGCTTTTCTGCACATCATGAACTATATCCTAAACGGAGTTGTAAACAGACTGTAGACTACTCTTGTGCCAATCACTGAGTTTTGGCCAATCAAAGGTGGCCAACTGTTCAAACTGTGTTCTAATAAGGCAAATGCTAAGTTGTAACCAAATTGGCTGTTTCTGTACCTCACTTCTGTTTTCTGTATGCCACTTTCCTTTTTCTGTCCATAAATCTTCCAACTACATAGCTGCACTGGAGTCTCTGAGCCTACTCTGGCTCAGGAGGCCTCCCAATTCATGAATCGTTCTTTGCTCAATTACACTCTGTTAAACTTAATTTGGCTAAAGTTTTTCTTTTAACAGTAGTTATGATATCCAACTTCAAATACCCAGTGGGCCACCATAAATTAAGATTTCTTGGTGTCACTTCCAGGTAGAGAACTAATATCTGCAAGGAGATTGATATGGTTTGGCTCTGTGTCCCTACCCAAATCTCACCTTGAATTATAATCCCCATAATCTCCACCTGTCAAGGGTGGAACCAGATGGAGGTTATTGGATCATGGGGGTGCTTCTCCCATGCTGTTCTCATGACAGCGAGTGAGACTCAAGGGATCTGATGGTTTTATAAGCATCTGGCATTTCCCCTGCTTGTACTCACTCTGTCCTGCCACCCTGTGAAGAAGGTACCTGTTTCTCCTTTGCCTTCTACCATGATTGTAAGTTTCCTGAGGCCTCCCCAGCAATGCAGAACTGTGAGTCAATTAAATCTCTTTCCTTTATAAATGACCCAGTCTCGGGTATTTCTTCATAGCAGTATGAGAATGGACTAATACAGAGACTGATTGTGTAGGAGATTTCCAATGTAAGGAGAAAAAGTCCTAAGAATCAGAGATGTCCAAAGATCTGCCTACTGCCCACCCTTCAACCTCATCATGCTCCCCTTGGCCACTCATCCTTCCTTCTGTTTCATGCATATCCTGGGCTCTTTCTTACCTCTGGGCCAGTATGCCTTCAGATCCCTCTACTTCAAACACTCTTTCTGACTCTTCACAGGCTATATGCATGTGTTAATTCAACAACTATGTATTGCTCTGTGCCTGCTCCATGCCAGCACTGTTCTGGGTGCTTGGGATAAAGCAGTGACCAAAACAGACAAAAATTCCTGCCCTCATGGAGCTTAAATTCAGCCAGAGATCAGTATAAACAGTGACATGATTAATGAGATAATATGTTAGATGATAAATGCTATGGTGAGGAAGGAAGAAAGGCATAGCAAAGAAAGGACGAGGAGTTCCAAGGCAGGGATGAGGGGTGGTCAGAGACAAGTCACCATTTTAAGTAGGGTGGGCATGGCGATGGTAGGCCTCACTGAGAAGATGGTATATGAGCCGCTACTTGAGGGAGGTGAGGAAATGAGTCAGAGGATGACTGATTAGTCAGAGTGTTCTAAGCAGGATGAGCATTCCAGGCAGAAGGAATAGCAGGCAGAAAATCCTTAAGGCAGAAACATTTCTGGAATTTTCAAAGAACAGAAAGGAGGCCATCATGGCTAGAGTGCAACAAGCAAAAAATGGTGTAATAAGAAAGGGAACGAGAGGCAACCAGGGCACATGAGTCTTCAGGTTAAATGCCACCTCCTCTGGGAAGCCTTTCTGAACTCTCAAATCTAAACTGAGTTCCCTCCTTCAATCCCTTTATTCTCTCTCATGCACCCTTGTCTTTTATAATATAAGTTATAATTCATGAATTTAATTTCTTACTATCTTTAACCCCCATTAGACTGTGATGCCACTGAAACCACTTTTGCAAAAATTATAATTGAGGAAATTATGACGGTGAAAGAGAGCTGACCTAACAACCAACTCCATCTTGCTTCTAACCTCTCAGCTGTCCTTATTCATTCCTGGGCATAGGCTGAACTAACCTTGAGAAGGAATTTGTAGTTTAACTTTGAAACAAAAATGGTAGCAGCCCTTTCCCAAAATAAACCTCCTTCTTGCCTTGGGACCAGTCTGCCTTTGTAGGACTAACAAATTAGCTACAAGATTAGAAATTATGGTTTAGAAACCATGCAGCCTCTGGCTGCTCTGAACCTCCCCAAATTGCTCCTGAGAATAACATCACTGTTGTAAAACCTAAGATCAGTGCTTGAGATATTTTGCAGACCCTGCATTCTGATGCACCAGCTGATGCCACCCAAGCCAGTAATCTGGTGCAACCAGTTCTGCGATCCCACCTAGGGACAGAAGACAGCAAGGAGTATTCACCTCCACCTGCTATGATTTCATCTCCAACCCAACCAATCAGCACTCCCCACTTCCCAAGCCCCTACTCGCCAAATTATCCTTAAAAACTCTGATCCGGGAATTATCAGGCAGACTGATTTAAGTAATAATAAAGCTCTAGTCTCCTGTATAGCCAGCTCTGTGTGAATTAAACTCTCTCTATTGCAATTCCCTGTCTTGATAAATCAGCTCTGTCTAGGCAGCGGGCAAGGTGAACCCATGGGGCAATTATATGCCAGGACAGAGGCCAGGTTAACTTCAATCATCTCACTGCACCAGCACCTAGCCCGGTGCCTGGTAGTTGCCCAATTAATATTTGGTGTTTAATTAATATTTCTTGGCCAAATTAATGGCTGTTGTAATAAGTTGCCTTATTGGTAGTCAATTGGTGAGGATTCCCCTGTCACAGGGTGCAGTTAGACAGCAAACTCCAAAATCCTTTCCCACCAGGAGAGTCTGTAATGCTCTGGCATTCCTGAAATAAAGCCCTAAGTTTATTTTCTGTTGCAAACAGGCAAACAACTTTCTCTTGTCCTTCCATTTGGCAGAATTCTTTCTTTCCACTTAAAATCCTCTTCCTTCAGGCTTTTCTTTGTCTGTGCCCCTCAAGGCTGTGCTGCGTTCTGTTTGAAAATTATACATCCTGCTAGGTTTCTCCACTTGATACTGCCCCTTGGCCATTTCCAAAAACAACTGGGTAACAATTCCCGTAGTTTTAATGAAGCTAGGTTTACTCCGCTCTCTTCCCTCCCCCACTCGCCTTGCAACCTTAACACAGCCAGTTGGCTATGGAAGGACACTGCATAGTGTGTAAATATAAACCACCTGGACAGAGACCAAAAAAAACATCCAGAGTTTCATTTGGGGAATCATGCAACAAAATGTCAAAGAGAGCAATGGTGTAGTATAGACATTGGTCTCCATTCTTTAGCCAGATGTTGATTTGTGGTGGAATTTCAGAGATGTTATTTAACCTCTCTCAGCCTCAGTTTTCTTATGTATAAATTGGAGATAACTAATGGGGTTAGCATCATTACAACACAAGGATATGAACACACTATGAAGACTTCTAAGTATTATTCTAATGAGAAAGGTTTCATTAGAATCTATTGATACAGATTTCCTGTCAATCATCTCTAAAGACCTGCAAAATCTGGCCCCTGACTCTCTGAATTCACTCAGAGCCACTCTCCAACTAGTTCCCTATTAGTTCCCTTAACACACAAGTTCTTTCCTGCCTCACAGCTTCTTTCCTCTGCCCGGAATACTTTTCCCTCCCAATATTTATCATGTCTAGATGCTTCTTTCCTTTGAGTTCTCAGTTTAAGCGTTGCCTTCTGCTATGATCTGAATGTTGGTGTCCCCTCCAAATTTCCTGTGTTGGAACCTAATACCAATGTGAATAGTATTAAGATGTGGGAGCTTTGGGAAGTGATTAAGTAATGAGGGCTGCACCCTCATGAATAGGATCAGTGCCCTTATAAAAGAGCCTCAAGCAAGCTCCCGTGCCTCTTCTGCCATGGGAAGATGCAGGAAGAAGTCACCTTTAAAACAGAGGGCAAGCCCTCACCAGACACCAAGTCTGCTGGCGCCTTGATCCTGGACTCCCCAGCCTCCTGAATGTGAGCAATAAATCTCTGTTGTTTATAAATTACACAGCCTAAGGTAGTTTTTCTGTAGCAGGCTGAACAGACTAAGACACCTTCTAAGAGAAGTTTTTCTTTTCTTGTCCATCGTACCTAAAATGAATGTTCTCATTCTCAACTGTATCTGATTTCTTTATAGCATGTATTATGTCTTTCCATTCATTCTAATCACTTGCCGGTCTGCTTCACCTGATCAAGGACCACGTTTCTCTCCCTCACCATCCCCACTGCCCAGCACAGTGCATGCCCAGCCCATGACAATGGTTCAATAAATATTTGTTAAGCACATGAATACATTAATTTATGACAGCAGACTATTGAAAATAACACAAAGACCCAACAAAAGGAAAATGCTCTAGAGCCATTCAAAATTATCACTGAAAAGACTATAGTAGCATAGGAAAATATTTAGGATATATGATTAGGTTAGGAAATGCTATTTACACTTGATTTGCAACTATGTAAAAATATGAGGCCAGATGGCCAGAAACTAGAAGTAAATTTGGAAATAGTCAAATGATTTGCTAGGGTGGTGGGACTGTAGGTGTTTTTGGTTTTTTTCTCTTTTGTTTCTGCTCCTGTTGCTATAATACTGTTTGTTCAGCAATTATAATGTGTTTTTCATCACTAAACAGGGCATACTGTTGAATTGCTCAGAAAGGAAGTACAACATTTGCTCACAGGTGTATTTGGAACTAACTTCTTTTTTATTTATTTTTTTAAATTATTATTATACTTTAAGTTCTAGGGTACATGTGCACAACGTGCAGGTTTGTTACATATTTATACATGTGCCATATTGGTGTGCTGCACCCATTAACTCATCATTTACATTAGGTATATCTCCTAATGCTATCCCTCCCCCCTCCCCCCACCCCACAACAGGCCCCGGTGTGTGATGTTCCCCTTCCTGTGTCCAAGTGTCCTCATTGTTCAATTCCCATCTATGAGTGAGAACATGCGGTGTTTGGTTTTCTGTCCTTGCAATAGTTTGCTGAGAATGATGGTTTCCAGCTTCATCCATGTCCCTACAAAGGACATGAACCCATCCTTTTTTATGGCTGCACAGTATTCCATGGTGTATATATGCCACATTTTCTTAATCCAGTCTGTCGTTGATGGGCATTTGGATTGGTTCCAAGTCTTTGCTATTGTGGATAGTGCCACAATAAACATACGTGTGCATGTGTCTTTATAGCAGCATGATTTATAATCCTTTGGGTATATACCCAGTAATGGGATGGCTGGGTCAAATGGTATTGCTAGTTCTAGATCCTTGAGGAATCACCACACTGTCTTCCACAATGGTTGAACTAGTTTACAGTCCCACCAACAGTGTAAAAGTGTGGAACTAACTTCTTTTTCACACATTGCTAGAGCCATCTGGGACATGGTAAAGAGGGAGCTCTATGTAGCATGAGTTTTGAGCCCCTCTTAACTTTGTCTTGTAGTTAGCCATCAGGAATGGGACTGCACCTAAAGTACCTAGAAAGAGGTGGTTCCTTACAGGAGAAGTCAGGGGTGGCCACCTCCTAGAAAAAAGAATGACTGCCAGCTGGTCACAAATAACACCCATATCCACTATACCAGTTAAGATTTCTCTGTAACAACTTACAAGTGCAAAGCTTTTCTCTATTTTTTAAGACCATTTCACATTCATAATCTCATTCAATCCTCAAAACTCCTCTTTTGAGGTCATTGGTTATCATATACACATTACACAATGCGAAACTGACACTAGTCTTTTTTCTCGCCTTGTAGGGGCTGGTGATGTATCAATGAAGGCAGTGATACATATGACTAGAATTACACTTGCTGGGAAGAAAATTGCACCATAAGTTTCCTTAGCCAGTTCATTAGAGACAGATTCCTGTAACCATACAGCAGTATAAATGCTAAACTACCCAGGTACCTGAACTGCCTCTCACAAAGCCTGTGATGTTAATATTAGGTATCAACGTGGCTGGATTGAGGGATGCCCAAATGGCCAGTGAAGTACTGTTGCTGGGTGTGTCTGTGAGTGTGTGGCCAAAGGAGATTGACATTTGAGTCAGTGGACTGGTAGACAAAGATCTACCCTCAATGTGGGTGGGCACCACCCAATCGGCTGCCAGCATGGCTAGAACAAAGCAGGCAGAAGAAGGGGTAAAAGCAGCTTGCGGGGTTTTTTTTCCTCTATCTCTCTCTATCTCTCTCTCTCTCTCTTCCCTTGCTGGATGCCTTGCTTCTTCTCCTCCTGCCCTTGGGCATCAGATTTGGAAGTTCTTTGGCTCTGGGACTTGCACCAGTGGTTCTCCCACGGGTTCTTGGGCCTTCAAACCTCAGATCGAAGGCTGCACTGTCAGCTTCCCTGGTTTCGAGGTTTGTGGACTTGGGCTGAGCCACTACCAGTTTCTCTCTTTCCCCAGCTTGCAGATGGCCTATCGTGGAACTTCACCATGTAATCATGGAAGCCAATTCTCCCTAATAAACTCCATTTTATATATACATATATCCTATTGGTTCTGTCCCTCTGGAGAACCCTGACTAATACAAAGCCCAACGGGATGGCTCAATAGTTCTTAAACTTCCCCCATGGCACAAATGGTTGACACTCATGTGTACAATACACCTTCATGGAAAACCACACAGTTCCTGCCCACAAGACAGCATGACTTTCTCACCTAGCCAGGTAAGCACCCTACAGCACAAATAAGCCAGAAGGTGAGTAAATCATTTGAATACTTTGGTATTTTCACAATTATTAGCATGAGAAGCAGTTTTGCACAGAGGCTAAGAATAACCTTTAGTGACAGATGGAGCATGGCTTCAAATATCGTTTCTAACTACGTATGTGAGATCGAGCAAGTTTAATTACCTCCCTGAGCCTGTTTTCTCATCTGTAAATTAGAGATGATAACACCCATCTCATAGGAACCTGTAAGAGAATTAAAGAAGATAATACCTACAAGGTTCTTTGCAACAAGCTTGCTACATAGCATGCATTCAATGCACTGGTAGCAGTGTTGGTGCTACTAAAAATTACTTGAAAAATCCTTCCAAAATGACCACAACACACTAGACAAGCTCTGGCTCAGAGTGACCTTGTTCCCAAAGTTTTGCCCTTGAAGAGTTGAGAGTTGCACAGTTGGTATGAAGTTCAGAATGAAGCTGGACCATTCCACTGGGAATCCTGCCAGTGTCTGTGGTGTTTCCTCATTGAGAATTAGACCCCATGGAGTATGACAAAGGAGAAAAGGTCAGAGAACCCATAACGAGATAGGTTGATGGATCAGAGGAGAACACTTGGCACACCCAGCAAACATACCTATAAGTCTCTTTGGAAGGCTTCTGAAAAAAGGAAGGGGTAGGCCTTGAAGTACAGGTAAGATTTGGGTGAGAGAGGAGAGGCAGGCAGAGCCAGGTACACAAGAAAAGGAGGGACATGGGGCTGAAGCACAGAGTTCGTGCCGGAAAGCTGCAAGTAAAGGTCTCCTTGACTTTTTCTCCTTGCCTCTTCCATCATCCTCTGCCCTTCCCAAAATAACTCAGCCCTGTGGCTAAGTTATAATGTTCCAAGTAGGTTCTGCTTGCAGTGTTTCCCCAGCTAGCTAATTAAACATAGCGCATTTAATTGAATCATAGTGAAGCCCATAGCTGATGTCCCTACACCCAGAGGGGAAAAGGGGAAAAGTGATGAAAACTAAGCGTGTCTCACCGGACCCAGCCAGAATTCTGTAGGTATTTTCAGATCTCAGCATAAAAAGCATGATATTCAAGGCAATATCATGTATAGATGAGTAATCTACCAAACAAGAGAAGAGAAGATATCCCTTTTATACTACAACAGTTCAGTAAATTTTGTTTAGCTTGCGTAGGATACAGTTAATTACAGTAATTTATCAAAGTGGCATAAGGTGGTATTCACACACACAAAGAGTATTTTCCCACAGTTGAAAATCCTTAGTTTTATATAAGCTGAAGCTAGTACTAATTGAATTTTCACTTGGGTAGATAAAAATCTTTAACAACTCTGGAATAACTAAATGCTCCTTGCTCAATGATGTGGATCGGGATGATTTACAACACCTATCACACAATCATGCTAATTTTGCTTTTGTATGATTAATTAAAACAATATGTTCATTCTTCCTAAAGTGGAATTAGGGCACCCAAGGAGTTGGCTTTTATTACCAACTTCCCCATTCAGCAGTAAAAGCAATTTCACACATTGACTTTAAGGAGGTGCTAAGGACATAGGGCCCTGATGGAGACACTTTTTCAAGTTCAGCTTTGCTGTTCGGAAGACAATAGAGATGAGTCTGATGGGCAGATAAAGGTTTTTAGGACTTCAGAGCTAAAAAAGGACTTTAGAGCTAAAAAGGACTTTAGAGGCAACATTGTGAAAATCCTCCACTTTGTAGATGAGAAAACTGAGGCTCAGAGGGGACAAACAGTAGTCTCCAAATTATAAGGCCCCATTTTTGGTAAATCTTATATTTGAATCCAGCCACCTGACCCTTAACCCAACCTTCTCATCTGTAAATTAGGGATAATAACGTCATAGGGTCTCAGTAATTAGTACTAGTAAGAAAGAGCACTGTGCTAGGAGTCAGTAAACCTGGATTTAAGACTGCAGGACCTTACAAGCATTGACTCTCTCTAGCTTGCTTCCTTCTTCTGTAGAATTGGGATGAAAGCACTTGCACTGTCAATCTTCCCAAATAAGAAAACAATGGGAAAGTCTGTGACCAGAAAGATTAATAGAACGTTGGCTTCTAGAAGACTGATGAAAGCAGTAGCCATAAAACCAGAGGGCTTCCACTCTTTCAGTATGGAGTGTTTTTCGGGTTACTAACAATATTTTCTGAGGACATGCTATAAGCTAGGCCCTAGGCTAAGTACCAAGGCTCAGACACACTAAATTACTTGCCCAAGATTGCCCGACTTATAAAGGCAGAACCAGGCTTTGAACTCAGGTCTTTCTGATCACAGAGCTGTGTGAATGTGCTCCAGCAGAAGTCTGAATCTCAAAACCCTAGGGGAGCCAGACCAAAAAAATAAATAAAATGTGTGAATTGGGTGAGTGTAAGGACAAAAAGGAATTTGGGTGAAGTGAGTGTGGGAAAATGAGATAGTGGTTTTGCACAGTAGCACATAATTAACTTGAAGTAAATAGATCTGAAGTTCTAGGGGCCATGAATTAAGTTATTCATAGCATTTTAGCATGGATGAAAATCTCCCAGCTCCAGCAAAGAGGAAGCTGGGTTATAACAAGCTGCATCTGGTACTCACTGCCAGTTACTGACAGTGCTGGGGCTCAGAAAACAGTGCCCCCAAATGAAGGCCTCAGATGCAAAAGTTTCTCTCTGACCTTGTCCTGCCCTCTTATATCTCAGTCCCATTCTCCCCCAAAGCTAGCCATAGCAAGTAGAATCCCTCATTCCCAAGGCAGGTCATAGAAACCAGAACCCCTTTTTCCCCAAAGTGGAGCTATAAAACCTAGAAATATTGCTCTAACTTTCCCTCTACCTTTCTGTGTAAAAACTGGCCATAAAGAAATTATCTGACCTACTTTGACCATAGGTCATAAGATCCCCATGCCAGAGAGGGTCCTGCCCCACACCCAAAAGGAAGGAATGCTGCTCAGAGAGGCCAGGAGAAATCTAGACAGACAGATTTCTGTCTGGGTTTCTCCACTTGATCTATTAGCATTAGATCTTACCCTTTTTGTCAAATCCTATTTCTACATGGTTGTCCATAGTTTATTGAACCTAAGCATGAAAATGGACAATTTCCCCTGTATCTCTGGGTTTTTCATTCTAAAGGCTCTCGTTAATAAAATTTGCATGACTTTTCTCCAATTAATCTGACTTTTGTAAGTTGATTTTCAGCAAACCTTCAGAGGGCAAAGGAGAACTTTTCCCTTGGTTCCGACAACAAATTATGACTGATCCATGTTGAGAGCACTACGTGAAGTAGCTATTATTAATGTCATCCTTGTTTTAGATGAAAAAAGTTAGTTTAGAGAACTTCTCTTTGAGTAGTTACCAAGATCACACTGTTAGTAAGAGGCAAAGTGGAGACTCCAAAGCACTGGGCCTTGGGCAGGTCTCTGGGCTTGTTTCCTCATCTAGGAAAGGAAGGGCTAGGGTTTTACAAGCTTTGAATTCCCTTTTGTCTCCAACTGTAATGGTTTCCTGATGGAGTGAGAACCTCCAGCACCTTCTAATCACCTTCACCAAACCAGGAAGCGTTCACTGCTTGGGTTATTCTTTGGCCACTGAGCAGCCTTCCTCTTTCACTTAGGACATTGCATTTCAATGCTTGGAATGAAATGCAATTCTTGTTGCCCAGGACTTACTAACTGCTTAATGGCTTTATATGGTTTGGCTGTATATGGTTTGGCTGTGTCCCCACCCAAATCTCATCTTGAATTGTAGCTCCCATAATTACCATGTGTCATGGTAGGACCTGGTGGGAGGTAACTGAATCATGGGGGCAGTTTTTCCCATGCTGTTCTCATGATAGTGAATAAGTCTCACAAGGTCAGATTGTTTTATAAAGAGGAGTTCTCCTACACAAGCTCTCTCTTGCCTGCCACCATGTAGGACATGACTTTGCTCCTCCTTCACCTTCCACCATGATTGTGAGGCCTCCCCAGCCATGTGGAACTGTAAGTCCTTAAAGCCTCTTTCCTTTATAAATTACCCAGTCTTGAGTAAATCTTTATTAGCAGCATGAGAACAGACTAATATATGGGCGAAGCATCACAATGACTGATATGATTTGGCTGTGTCACCACCCAAATCTCAATTTGAATTGTATCTACCAGAATTCCCATGTGTTGTGGGAGGGACCCAGAGGAAGGTAATTGAATCATAGGGGCCGGTCTTTCCCATGCTGTTCTCATGATAGTGACTAAGTCTCACGAGATCTGGTAGGTTTATCAGGGGTTTCCACTTTTGCTTCTTCCTTATTTTTCTCTTGTTGCTTCCATGTAAGAAGTGCCTTTCACCTTCTGCCATCATTCTGAGGCCTCCCCATTCACATAGAACTGTAAGTCCAATTAAACCTCTTTTTGTTCCCAGTTTCAGATATGTCTTTATCAGCAGCATGAAAATGTATGAATACAATAAATTGGTACCAGTAGAGTGGGGCATTGCTGAAAAGATCCCCAAAAATGTGTTAACAACTTTGGTACTGGGTAACAGGCAGAGGTTGGAACAGTTTGGAAGACTCAGAGGAAGACAGGAAAATGTGGGAAAGTTTGGAACCTTCTAGAGACTTGTTGAATGGCTTTAACAAAAATGCTAGTAGTGATATGAACAATACGGTCCAGCCTGAGGTGGTCTCAGGGTCTTATTGGGAACTGGAGCAAAGGTGACTCTTGTTATGTTTTAGCAAAGAGACTGGTGGCATTTTGCCCCTGCCCTAGAGATTTGTGGAACTTTAAACTTGAGGGAGATGATTTAGGGTATCTGGCAGAAGAAATTTCTAAGTAGCAAAGCATTCAAAAGGTGACTTGGGTGCTGTTAAGAGCATTCCATTTTAAAAGGGAAACAGAGCATAAAAGTTCAGAAAATTTGCAGGCTGATGATGCAGTAGAAAAGAAAAACCCGTTTTTTGTGAAGAAATTCAAGCCGGCTGCAGAAATTTGCATAAGTAGCAAGGAACCTAATGTTAATCCCCAAGACCATGGGGAAAATGTCTCTAGGCCATGTCAGAGACCTTCACAGCAGCCCCTCCCATCACAGGCCCGGAGCCCAGGAGGAAAAAGTGGTTTCATGGGCCAGTCCCAGGGTCCCCATGCTGTGTGCAGCCTAGGGACTTGGTGCCCTGTGTCCCAGCCACTCCAGCCATGGCTGAAAGGAGCCAATGTAGAGCTCCAGCTGTGGATTCAGAGAGTGGAAGCCCCAAGTCTTGGCAGCTTCCATGTGGTGTTGAGCCTGTGGGTGCACAGAAGTCAAGAATTGAGGTTGGGGAACCTCTGCCTAGATTTCAGAAGATGTATAGAAACACCTGGATGCCCAGGCAAAAGTTTGATGCAGGGGTGGGGCCCTCATGGAGAACCTCTGCTAGGGCAATGCAGAAGGGAAATGTGGGGTTGGAGCCTCCACACACAGTCCCTACTGGGGCACTGCCTAGTGGAGCTGTGAGAAGAGGGCCACCATCCTCCAGAACCCAGAATGGTAGATCCACTGACAGCTTGCACTGTGCACCTAGAAAACCTGCAGACACTCAATGCCAGCCAGTGAAAGTAACCAGGAGGGAGGCTGTGTCCTGCAAAGCCACAGAGGTAGGGCTGCCCAAGACCATGGGAACCCACCTCTTGCATCACCATGACCTGGATGTGAGACCTGGAGTCAAAGGAGATTATTTTAGAGCTTTAAAATTTGACTGCCATGCTATATTTTGGATGTGCATGGGCCCTGTAATTCCTTTGTTTTGGCCAATTTCTCCCATTTGGAAGGGCTGTATTTACCCAATACCTGTACCCCCATTGTATCTAGGAAGTAATTAGCTGGCTTTTGATTTTATAGGTTCATAGGCAGAAGGAACTTGCATTGTCTCATATGAGACTTTGGACTGCGAACTTTTGGGTAAATGCTGAAATGAGTTAAGACTTTGGGGGACTGTTGGGAAGGCGTGATTGGTTTTGAAATGTGAGGACATGAGATTTGGAGGGGCCAGGGGCAGAATGATATGGTTTCGCTGTGTCCCTACCCAAATCTCAACTTGAATTGTATCTCACAGAATTCCCATGTGTTGTGGGGAGGGACCCAGGGGAGGTAATTGAACCATGGGGGCCAGTCTTTCCCATGCTATTCTCGTGATATTTAATAAGTCTCACAAGATCTGATGGGCTTGTCAGGGGTTTCTGCTTTTGCTTCTTCCTCATTTTTCTCTTGCTGCTGCCATGTAAGAAGTGCCTTTCACCTCCCACCATGATTCTGAGGCCTCCCCAGCCATATGGAACTGTAAGTCCAATTAAACCACTTTTTGTTCCCAGTTTCAGGTATGTCTTTATCAGCAGTGTGAAAACAAACTAATACAATCACAAATCAGTATACAGCCAGGCAGTCAATTCAGAAGTTCCCAGCCCTTGAGCCTTCCAGTTCCATGACCAGGGAAGATCCAGAGCCACCCTGAGATATCCATCAATTCCCTTTCATTTATTCAATAAATTCACAAATATTTACTGAGCAACTTCTATGTGCCAGACACTGTTCTAAGTCCTGAGAATATAGCATTGAACAAATAAACCCCTACCCTCATGGGGCTGAGATTCTAGTGAGGGAGATAAATGCTAAATATAATAGAGAAGTCAAATTGATTAAGTGTTAGATAGTAGTGTGTGCTAAGGAGAAAAAAATAAACAAGAATGGGAGATATCGATGTTAGGAGGAGGGGGTAAAATGTGAAAGTGTCTTCTCTGAGAAGGTGACTTTGGGAAGAACCTAAAGATGTGAAGCCATTAGGATGTCTGGGAGAAGAGCATCCAGGCTGAGGGAAAAGCAAGGGCAAAGCTTGTCTGTGTGTTGATGGAAAAGCACAAGGAAAATCACAAGGGGAGGAACCAGCCTTGTAGGTCGTGGTCCTGGACT
Organism: Homo sapiens; assembly: GCF_000001405.40. Lineage (NCBI taxonomy): Eukaryota > Metazoa > Chordata > Mammalia > Primates > Hominidae > Homo > Homo sapiens. The sequence continues at coordinate 155,070,516 of NC_000005.10, read as the reverse complement.
TGGAATTTTGGAAGGTTCTGAGCAGGAAGTGATATGATCTGACTTAAACAAGGACACAAGAGGCACCTGAAGGGAGATCTGAAGAGCAGAAGGTGGGAACAAGTTAGGAGGCAATTGCCTTTATCCAAAGCAATAGAGGATATTGTCATGGATCCAGGTGGTGGCAACAGGGGTGCTGAGAGGATATGAGATTTGGGAACTGAGGTATAGGTGGCAAAGAGCAGTCAAAGACACGTTCACAGTTGTAGCTCTGAACAACTGGGCCCTCTCTGCCTCCAGTCTCCTTCATTATTGCACACAGGCTCAGCACATGCTGCCAAAGTGAGAAACTCAGCGTGTTTCTTGCAAAAGCGAATGTATTCATTTCCTATTGCATCTGGAACAAATCACCATAAGCTGAGTGGCTTAAAACAACAAAATTTGGCCAGACCCAGATGTCATTGCTCACATCTGTAATCCCAGCACTTTGGGAGGCCAAGGCAGGAGGATCACTTGAGCCCAGGAATTTGAGACCAGCCTGGGCAATATGGTGAAACCCATCTCTACAAAATATACAAAAATTAGCTGGGTGTGGTGGCATGCACCTGTGGTCCCAGCTACTCAGGAGGCTGAGGTAGGAGGGTTACGTGAGCCCAGGGAGGTCGAGGCTGCAGTGAACTGTGATCACGCCACTGCACTCCAGCCTGGGCGACAGAGTGAGACCCTGTCTTACACACACACACACACACACACACACATATCCACACACACTTATTACCTTACAGTTCTGGAGGTCAGAAGTCAAAAATGGATCTCACTGGGCCAAAATCAAGATGTTGGCAGGGCCGTGTTCCTTCCAGGGGCTCTAGGGGAGAATCTGTTTTCTTGTCTTTCCCAGCTTCCAGACACTGCCTGCATTCTTTCACCACGGCCATAGATCACTTTGACCTGCTTCCAGCGTCACATCTCCTTCTCTGACTCTCTAAGGATCCCTGAGATTACACTAGGCCTGCCCGATAATCTAGAATAATCTCATCTCACGACCCTCAATGTAATCACATCTATGAAGTCCCATTTGCCCTGTAAAGTAGCATATTTGCAGATTCCAGGGATTGGACATGGACATCTTTGGGGTGCCATTATTCTGCCTATCACAATGAGCTATGTGGAATTCTCTGATTTCATAGACAACACAGAAAAAAGGACTTTACATCACCCACCTCACAATAAAACACGACAAAATGTCCATCAGACATTCTTGTCTTCCTGTATGATTCTCAGCAAACTCACTCCGGAGGTCACCTGGGATTACTGGTGCCTCTCTCCTCTTCCTGAATTCCCCTCCCACACACTTCTCAGAACTCCAGGTTCCTCTCCCTTCTGTAATATGGACCGCCAGGCTCTCCCAGGATGAGCAAGGGAACTGTACTTAGAACCGGCAGCACTTCCTTCAAGGAACATGCTCATAGCTCTCCCTAGCTCTCATTCGTCCACACATCTAAGTACACTGGCAGTGTCTATCTTGGCACCTACTCACACAAAAGCTACTGTGGACCTGAAGTAATGGTTGACCTGACCATATTGCATTCCACAACTTTCTTTCTCCTTGTAATCTTCACACACCAGGGAGCAAAACTTGAATACTTAGGAAGGACAACTACATTTGTTCTTGGTTTGCAAATATTTTTACCAGATCCTCAAATACAAGGCCTTTGAGATAGGAACAGGTCACTGTGACCCAAAGCAGAAATTGTTAAGCAGGCTGTGACGGGCAGTGAGAAATCCTGGTTCCTCCTTCCTCTGAGGACAAGCTGTTTCAGTGAAGAATACACACGGTCCAATCTAACTACCTGGGCTGGAATCCCAGCTCATAATCTAAAAGTCAAATTCATAGAAGCAGAGTCGAATGTAGGTTACCAGGGGCTGAGGGTGAAAAGGGGAGATGTTGGTCAAAGGATACAAAATTTAAATTAGACAGGAGGAATGAGCTCAAAATATCAATTGTACAACACGGTGGCTATAGTTAATAACAATGTAATGTCTACTTGAAAACCCCTGAGGGTAAATTTTAAGGGTCCTCACCACAAAATATGATAAGTATAGGAGATTCTATATGTGCTAATCAGCTCGATTTAGCCATTCCTCAATGTACACATATTTCGAAATATCATGTTGTACACTAAAAATACATACAATTTTTGTCAAATTAATTAACTAAAATTAAAAAGCCAGAGGTCAGCAGGGAGTGGTGGCTCAGGCCTGTAATCCCAGCACTTTGTGAGGCTGAGGCAGGAGGACTGTTTAAGCCCAGGAATTTGAGACCAGCCTGGGCAGCACAGCAAGACCTCATCTCTACAAAAATTACCCAGGTATGGTGGTATGCACCTGTAGTCCCACCTACTCAGACTTTCTGGCTGAGGTGGGAGGATCACTTGAGCCTGGAGGTCAAGGCTGCAGTGAGCTGAGATCACACCACTGCACTCCAGCCTGGGTGATGGAGTGAGACCCCATCTAAAAAGCCCCAAAGTTCAACAACAACAAAGAATTCCAGCTCCTAGTTCACAGGTTTCAAGCTGAGTGACTGTGGGCAAGCTACTTAACCTCTGTGAGCTTCAGGGGGTTTTTTAATCTGTAAAATGGGGCCAGTAATAGTAGTTACCTCTTAGCATTAGCTAGAAAACTCAAATGAGATAATGCAGATAATGCCTTGAGCATTGTGTTTGGCACATAGTATAAGCTGTTTTCACTATCATTCGTATTTCAATGATTTTGACTCTCAGGTCAGTCCACATGCTGAATTACATCAAGATTATAAATGTTCCAGATCTAAAGGTAAAATCTGGCCTCAGCTATGAGATAGATGAAGTTTGAGTCACTCTTCCATTCCTAACTGCCCACTTTCTCCTGAATTTCCCAGAACCCTCTGCCTCCACGCCCCTTCACCGGATTCCTTACCATGGTCCACTCCTTAGAATCCTCAAGAGCGGTCCTCCTATTTTCCAGTTGGATCAGCTAAAGCTGGAGACAGCAAAGCCCCACTGCTAATTTGTGGCAAAGTTGGTTTGGAGTCCATCATCCCGGCCACCTCTCTATGTTGCCTCCTCCCGCGCCCACTCCCTCAGGACCCTGCACTCTGCCATGGGTGACAGTGGATAGCAACTCTCTTGGGTGATGACCGTTAATCCTGTGGGAGTCCTACTCACCCTGAGGCTTTGACTCACCTGGCCAGTCCCAAAAAGGATACCCCTTTTAATCAGTACCTATGATATCAGACCCAAATTCTTAGGCAGTTAAAGACAAAAAAGATCTCAACCACCTTCACCTTACATATGGGAAGACTGGGGCCCAGTGGGAAGGAAAGTACCCTTCACTAAGCACCTCTGATGTGTCAGACATCCCTCACAGTGCTTTCTCAGTTGGTCACATTTCATTCAAGGTCAGAAAGAGCATGTGGTTTGTCCTAGGTCACCCAGCTGCTGAGGGCTTGATCAAGACTCACTCAGGGCTTCTCTATTTGACATGCAAATGTTAGCCCTCTCCACAGCTTTCTCCTCTACCACTGATCAACCATAACAGAGTGTTCGGTGTTATCGAAGTGTTCTTCATGCACTAATTTATTTTATACTTTGGACAACCCGCTAAGAGATTGGGAGGGTACTCCTATCACTGCCACTTTCCAGATGAAGAAAAGGAAGCAGAGAGGTGAAGGCACCTGCCCCAACTCACATGACCATTGAGGCCAAAGGCTGAGATTCTAATCCCAGCAGTCTGTCTCCAGAGTCCACAATCCAAACCTCTGCACTAGACTGCCACCTCCAATATGCTGCCTCTCCTTAAACTTCGGTTAGGTCTGCAAGGTCATTGCACTTTAATGGAGCAATGCTCTTTAGGCAAGTGAAAAATAAAATCAATTAGGAGGTGCCAAGTACAAGTGTCAGAGCCTTCAAACTGATGGTGCAAAGGCTTCAAATGGACCTTCAAGAGCTCTTGTTTTCCCCAAGGGGTCACTGGCTGTGGCTCCACGGATGCTATTAGCATAATGACAACCCTGCTTGCCACCTCAGCCCCCACACTGCCGGCGCCTGAGTGAGTGGCTGCCTCCTCCAACCTCCCCTCCACTTCATGCTCTGCTGGATGGCGCAGGCAGCCATGTTCATCTACTGAACAAGTCTCAAAGCCCACTCAGCAGCTGGCATGCCCTTGACCTTGTGGCCAGCTCACCAGAAAGACCCATGGGTTTATCCAACCTGGCCTGATATTCAAAAGGAAAGAAAGCAATTACATGTTTTTAAATGGGCAACATCTGCAGCCACAAGAAAGAACAAAACCATGTTCTTTGCAGCAACATGGATGCAGATGGAGGCCATTATCCTAAGTGAATTAACACAGGAACAGAAAATCAAATACCACATGTGCTCACTTATAAGTGGGAGCTAAACATTGGGTACACACAGACACAAATGGGAACAGTAGGGACCAGGCGCAGTGGCTCACACCTGTAATCCCGGCACTTTGGGAGGCCAAGGCAGGCGGATCGCTTGAGCCCAGGAGTTTGAGACCAGCCTGGCCAACATGGCAAAACCCCCTGTCTACTCAAAATACAAAAATTAGCCAGGTGTGGTGGTGCGCACCTGTAATCCCAGCTACTTGGGAGACTGAGGCATGCTTGAACCCAGGAGGCGGAGGTTGCAATGAGCCAAGATCGCACCACTGCACTCCATCCTGGGTGACACAGCAAGACTCTGTCTCAAAAAAAAAGTGAGGAGGGAGCAGGGTAGGAGTTGAAAAACTACCAATTGGGTACTATGTTCACTACATGGGCAACGGGATCATTAGAAGCCAAGACCTCAGCATCAGGTAGTATACCCATGTAGTAAACCTGCACATGTACCCCTGAATCTAAAATAAAAAATTTAAATGGGTAATATGGGATATACTACAGAAAAAAATGAAGTTTATATCCAGCATGAAAACATTAGTTCATTCATCAAAAGTTCTTATTATGATGTTTCACCTTTTCAAACTCAGTACTTCTAATCAAAGATTCTAGAATTACACCAAATAGCCAAGTGTTTTTTAGATACTTTAAAAAGTAAAAAAAAAAAAAAGGGTTTGTATTTCACTTCTGCAAAAGAAAAAAATTGTATTCACTTCTGCAAAGCAACCACAAATTATTTTGTCATCCTTTGTAGAAAATTTCAGATAGAGAAACAGAAGGTAGAAAACACTTTCTATAAACCTGGATATTAAGATTTGCACTCACTGATCTGAACACTACACATGATATGTATGGAAACATCACCATATGCCTGATAAACATGTACAATTATTATGTGTCCATTTAGAAAAATAAACTTTAAAAAACATTCAGACAGCAATGGGCTTGGGAATCAGATTGCCTGAGTCTTATTCCATCCTACCACTTAACAACGGTGTGACCTTGGCTAAATTTCCTGTCTTGGGCCAGCCTCATTCTCTTCCTCTGTAAAGTGGAGGTGATACTAGTAGGTGTACCAATGTGGTGGGATTGTTAAAAGGATTAAATGAGATTTGTATGTGATATTATTTATTTTGGTTGTTATTAGCATGTTATTATTTATCAACAAATATAATAGTTGTTATACTAATGATAATTCTTTCTATTCGAAGAAATGGAAGCTAGTTTGAACAAAAAGAAAGACAGGGAAAGTATCAACTTACATGTCTTGAGGTACGTGGGTGGTAGTGGCCTCAGGATTCAGGAACTGAAAAGCATTAGAATCTGTCACCGTTCAATGTCTCAGAGTTCATCTCAGCTTTGGTCTATAAGTTGTCCTCATTATCTCAGGCTCCTCGGGGACATTGCTTCCGGGATCAGTTTCTTACATTTTATGACACAGGGGGCAAGAGAGAGCTACCATTTCAATCTTCAATTCAGACATTTCCAGGGAAGTTATATGCCTTTTCCAATGGCCGGGGATGTAGGGATTATAGCTGGTAACCCCACCAGAACTACATAGAGTAGGAGACAAGTTTTCTAAAGGAAGAGGAGAAGGGTGGAGCAAGCGATGCTGGGCAGACAGAATTATAGATGTTCATTACTCCTGTTATGAATATGTGAACCAGTTTGCCATGACAAAGTCCCTTTAAGTCAATCTATGACATTTGATATATAAACACATTATTCAACAATAGAGATGAACCGTATCACCAGAGAAGTTGTACATATTTTGCAAACAGAGATTAAGGTTACACTTTCTCAGGTCCTCCACAGTACCCAGCACAGAACAGGCACTCTAAGAAACAGTTGTGAAGTGACTAATAACTTAGATCTAGAATCAAATTGTGTCACTGTATTAGCTGAGATAAATTAGATCATGCTTCAGTGAAAAACAAAAAAAACACATCTTAGTGACTTAGCACAACAATTTTATTTCTCACTCACGAAGTCCACTATGGGTACAAATGATTCTCCAGGGCAACTGTTCTCCAGGTGATGCTCAGAGGCCCAAGTTAATGAAGGCGCCACCAGCCTGCAGAGTGCCATCTGTAGCACGGGGCCTTCTCAGTCAATGTGCAGAAGAAAGCTCCAGGGTGTCTTATGCAAGCAATTAAGTCCTTCATTCTACAAGTGATCCATATTATTTTGTTCACAGGTCATTGGCTAGACCCTGTCGCCAGCCCCACTTACCTGCAAAGAACTGCGCAATGTCATTTTTCCATATGCTTGGAAGGAGAGGAGAAGCACCTATGTGTGAGCACTAGCCATCTCTACTAAAATCGATTAAAATAAAACTATATTCTATAAAAATACTACTCCAATTTTTTAATGTTAAAAAGATCCATAGAAAAGAAAATCGCCTAAAAACTGTGAAGATGGCGTTCCTTCTCCTCTATCATTGAACACTATTCCCCAGCTAGAATTACAAAAATTTCTGATTAAACCCATATTACAGCCCAGCAGAGAGTAATTCCATTTGAAAGTTCAAAGTTTATGTATTTTGCACCCTCCACTATTAGGTAGAATGACCTTCAAAATCCAATTGAGCGTACAATTCTTACCAGAGGGCAATCGACAGTCCTTTGCAAAAGCCTTTTTAAAGAATATGCCTACTCTTTGACCCTATAATTTAACTTCTGTGATTTAACCTGAGGGGAAAAAAAAAAAAACACAGATGTGCACACAGATGTAACTGTGAAGATATTCTTTGCAGTCCATTTGTAACAGGAAAAGGTAAGAATTAACCTTAATGCAGCAAGAGTGTGTTGGCTCAATAAATTAAACCATATCCTCACCCTGAAATAACATGCAGCCATTAATAATCACATTGTGAAGGTGTATTTATTAAAGTGAAACGAGGTTTCTGGTACATTAAGTGGGGGGAAAAAGCAGGCTATCAAATGGTGTGTATACCACATATACCTGTGAAAGATTCTAGAAGAAAATATGTCAAGGAATTAGTAATGTTTGCTCTTGTGTGGGTGGGATTATGGGTGTTTTAATTTTCTCCTTTTAGCTAAACTATTATTTCCTACTATTATGAGTATTGTCTTTGAAATAAGAAAAACAAGGTAGTTTAAATTATAAATAAAGAATCTCGCCAGGCGCGGTGGCTCACACCTTTAATCCTAGCACTTTGGGAGGCCAAGGAGGGCAGATCACCTGAGGTCAGGAGTTCAAGACCAGCCTGACCAACATGGTGAAACCCCATCTCTACCAAAAATATAAAAATTAGCCAGGCATGGTAGCACATGCCTATAATCCCAGTCACTTGGGAGGCTGAGGCAGGAGAATTGCCTGAATCTGGGAGGCAGATGTTGCAGTGAGCCAAGATCGCGCCACTGCACTCCAGCCTGGGTGACAGAGCAAGACTCTCTCAAAAAAAAAAAAAAAAAAAAAAAAAGAATCTCTTTGGGCTTGTCACATATCCACTGCTCATAATGGGGCTTTTATCTTAGAAACTGACTACCAGAAATGGGGTTCTTCGTAGTCCTTACTCTTCACGTCACTACTGGTGACAATAATGGCAGGAGCATTTGTGAAAGACGGCACTTCCCAGGTCATAAGCCTGTTCACTTTCGCCAGCCTCCCACAACTGTAAGGGAAAGTAGTTCAAGTCTTAATACCCCCACCGCACAACTAAGGCTCAAAACCACTAAGTGACTTGCCCAAGAGAGGAGACAACACGAGGATCCAGGACTCTTCCAGGCTGTCGCTCTGTCCAACTCCAGAAAGAGTTCTGGGGTGCCGTTTACATATAATATAATGTGAAAAGCGTCCCACTGGACTTGTGCAGTGTCAGGTCCTGCTCAAAACCTTACTGGATAGCTGCAGCCCTCCTACACTAATGGGTCACCGTGTGCCAATGTGGAGTACAGGTAAGTAAGCAAATTAATAATCAATAGATATTTATTGAGTACTCCTATAAGTTAGCACTGTTGGGGCAGTGCTTTAGGCAACAAGGAGATATTTGAGGGTTCTAAGTAGCTGAATGATGTGATCAAAGCTATGTTTAGAAAGATAATTCTGGGGGAAATAAGAGTCAGTGGAGGTGAGCAAGATCAGATGAGACAAGGAGTAAAATGAGTCAGAAGGCTGCTACAATAATCCACACAGGAGAAATCAAATGTCTAAATAAGATGAAAGCACCTGAGTTATAGAAAGCATCAATGTCATCATCATTTTTATAATATTAGCAGTAGCTACTTTTATTGAGCACATATTATGCTCCAGATATTATGATAGTCGTTTATATAATGGCCCCATTCAATCTTCAGACTAACCCTATGAGGAAAGTACTATTATTATCCCTATTTCTGAGGTTAGGAAAGCAGGGCTCAGAAGTGCTAAGTCACCTGCCCAAGCTCACATAGCTAGTATGTGGCAATGGTTACAACTTAGGTACATGTAATTTAAAAGCTCATCCTCTGAGCCATCATGCTAAGAATAGAAAAGAAGGTGGTGGCTGGATGATGACAATGACAGAGGGAGATAAAAAGTTTAGTTCTGCTTATATACTGCTGGTCGGAGTGTAAATTAGTTCAACCATTGTGGAAAGCAGTGTGGCATTTCCTCAGAGACCTAAAAACAGAACTACCATTCAACCCAGCAATCCCATTACATGGTATATACCCAAAGGGATATAAATAATTCTACCATAAAGACACATGCACATGTATGTTCATTGCAGCACTATTCACAATAGCAAAGATATGGAATCAACCTAAATGCCCATCAATGACAGATTGGATAAAGAAAATGTGGTACATAGACACCATGGAATACTAGGCAGCCATAAAAAAGAATGAGATCATATCTTTTGCAGGAACATGGATGGAGCTGGAGGCCATTATTTTAAGCAAATGAACACAGGAACAAAAAAACACAAATCGCATGTTTTCACTCATAAGTGGAAGCTAAATGATGAGAACACATGGACACAAAGACAGGAAAAACAGACATGAGCCTAACAGAGGGAGAAGGGTGAGAGGAAGGAGAGGATCTGAAAAAAGTAATTATTGAGTATTAGGCTTAGTACATGAGTGATGACATGATTTGTACAACAAACCCCCATGACATGAGTTTACCTATATAATAAACCTTCACATGTACCCCTGAATCTAAAATAAAAGTTCAAACTTTTTGTATTTAATTTAAAAACAAAAGAGTTCAGTTCCAGAAATTTGGAGGGCCATGTAATATCCACATGAACATATCTAGTAGACATGGAGAAAGGCAAAGCTTGAAAGTGAATCATTGGGTATATCTAGAAAACCCCATTGTCTCAGCCCAAAATCTCCTTCAGCTGATAAGCAACTTCAGCAAAGTCTCAGGATACAAAATCAATGTACAAAAATCACAAGCATTCTTATACACCAATAACAGACAAACAGAGAGCCAAATCATGAGTGAATTCCCATTCACAATTGCTTCAAAGAGAATAAAATACTTAGGAATCCAACTTACAAGGGATGTGAAGGACCTCTTCAAGGAGAACTACAAACCACTGCTCAATGAAATAAAAGAGGATACAAACAAATGGAAGAACATTTCATGCTCATGGGTAGGAAGAATCAATATCGTGAAAATGGCCATACTGCCCAAGGGAATTTATAGATTCAATGCCATCCCCATCAAGCTACCAATGACTTTCTTCACAGAATTGGAAAAAACTACTTTAAAGTTCATATGGAACCAAAAAACAGCCCGCATCACCAAGTCAATCCTAAGCCAAAAGAACAAAGCTGGCGGCATCACACTACCTGACTTCAAACTATACTACAAGGCTACAGCAACCAAAACAGCATGGTATTGGTACCAAAACAGAGATATAGATCAATGGAACAGAACAGAGCCCTCAGAAATAATGCCACATATCTACAACTATCTGATCTTTGACAAACCTGAGAAAAACAAGCAATGGGGAAAGGATTCCCTGTTTAATAAATGGTACTGGGAAAACTGGCTAGCCATATGTAGAAAGCTGAAACTGGGTCCCTCCCTTACACCTTATACAAAAATTAATTCAAGATGGATTAAAGACTTAAATGTTAGACCTAAAACCACAAAAACCCTAGAAGAAAACCTAGGCATTACCATTCAGGACATAGGCATGGGCAAGGACTTCATGTCTAAAACATCAAAAGCAATGGCAACAAAAGCCAAAATTGACAAATGGGATCTAATTAAACTAAAGAGCTTCTGCACAGCTAAAGAAACTACCATCAGAGTGACCAAGCAACCTACAAAATGAGAGAAAATTTTCACAACCTAGTCATCTGACAAAGGGCTAATATCCAGAATCTACAATGAACTCAAACAAATTTACAAGAAAAAAACAAACAACCCCATCAAAAAGTGGGCAAAGGATATGAACAGACACTTCTCAAAAGAAGACATTTATGCAGCCAAAAGACACATGAAAAAATGTTCATTATCACTGGCCATCAGAGAAATGCAAATCAAAACCACAATGAGATACCATCTCACACCAGTTAGAATGGCAATCATTAAAAAGTCAGGAAACAACAGGTGCTGGAGAGGATGTGGAGAAATAGGAACACTTTTACACTGTTGGTGGGACTGTAAACTAGTTCAATCATTGTGGAAGTCAGTATGGCGATTCCTCAGGAATCTAGAACTAGAAATACCATTTGACCCAGCCATCCCATTACTGGGTATATACCCAAAGGACTATAAATCATGCTGCTATAAAGACACATGCACACGTACGTTTATTGCGGCATTATTCACAATAGCAAAGACTTGGAACCAACCCAAATGTCCGACAATGATAGACTGGATTAAGAAAATGTGGCACATATACACCATGGAATACTATGCAGCCATAACAATGATGAGTTCATGTCCTTTGTAGGGACATGGATGAAATTGGAAATCACCATTCTCAGTAAACTATCGCAAGGAGAAAAAACCAAACACCACATGTTCTCACTCATAGATGAGAATTGAACAATGAGAACACATGGACACAGGAAGGGAACATCACACTCTGGGGACTGTTGTGGGGTGGGGGGAGGGGGGAGGGATAGCATTAGGAGACATACCTAATGCTAAATGACGAGTTAATGGGTGCAGCACACCAGCATGGCACATGTATACATATGTAACTAACCTGCACATTGTGCACATGTACCCTAAAACTTAAAGTATAATAATAATTAAAAAAAAAAAAAGAAAAGAAAGTTAATCATTGGAAGCCACCAGTGAGTAGGTGAAAGCTGATTCCATGAGAATGAACAAGCTCATTGAGAGAACGCATGGAGCAGAGACAGCCTTGGATGAGACTCTAGGGACCCTCGAACTTTAAGGATAGGGAAGCATCTTCAAAAACACAACCAAGGCAGGAGAAAAATCAGGAAAGAATGGGGCCAAAAAAGAAAAAAAAACAGAGTGAAAAGAGTCTCAAAAAACAGAGAATGGACTCAGTGGTGTTAAACACTACATACTGAGTAATGACTGTTAGAATTAATAATTTCAAGCCCTCACTACATGCCAGGTACTGTTCTAACTGCTTTGGGTATATTACTTGACTTAATCCTCATAACAGTCTGCTGAGGTAGAATAGACACTATTACTACCCCCAGTTTACAGATATGAAAACTACCCTGCCCCAGGTACCATGGCCTGTAAGTGGTAGAGCCAGGATTCAAAGCCAGGCAGTCTAGCTCCAGAGCTGGTACTCATAGCCTCCACACTGTATTGCCTTCCTCACCAATGTCTAACACTTTTTGAGTACTCAACATATGCCAGACACTGTTCTAAATGCTGACTAATTTAATCCTCCAACAACTTTTTTAGTAGGTGTCATTATTATTCCTATTGGACAGATGGGGAAACTGAGTCACAGAACAGTTTCCCAGGATCACATAGCTAGTGGAACCATGTAGGGATAGTAGATCCCTCCATAAGGAAATTAAAGAATTGTCAATCAGCACTTGGTGAATGAAGGCAATCTACTTTAGAATCAAGAATCCTAACCAAAGTGAAAGGTGGAAATAAAAACTCAGAGTTCAATGGAAACTAGAAAATCATAAAGCTTTGGAGTTGGAAGGGGCCTGGGATATGCATCAATGCTATTCACTAAATGCCAGCATGGTAGCATTGTGCTTTCTGGCCCCCTGTGATTGTGTGAGGCCATAGGACTCATTGGCCACATCCAATGTGTTGTGAGAGGACATGGCATATGTCACTGCCAGGCCAGTTGATTGCCAATGGGAGACCTTCCAGAACATTCTTTCCCTCTGCCACAGCAATCTGTAGCAATGGAAATGGTGGCTGCTCCATCAGCCTGAGTCCCAGAGAACACGGAAGTGAGCTCTCAGCTGATTCACAGCAGACATGTGGCATGAATGAGAAGTAAAGCTTGGAGACATAAGTTACTATGATGGCTGTGCTGGCTGATACAAAGCCTTAAACATGACCAGAATGGGGAAACTGAGAACCTAAAAGGAAAGAGACCTGCTCAATGTCACAGAGCTGGCAACCTAGAGGCACTGAGGGCAAGAATCCAACTCTCTGGCATTCCATCCAGTTATCTTCCTTCTATACCTCACTGAGCATCTCGCATATCTTGCAACTCATTCCCCCTTCTAACCCACAGCACATTCAGTTTCTGTATATTAATGCAAAGGCCGAATTAAACTAATCATTGCCTAAATTTTACAAACTGTCTCCTAGTGCAATGCACTCAGAACTCAATTTTCTGAAGAGGTACAGGAAGAAGGTACAGGGGTCTGGAGGGGTGTGGGGAGGAAAACTTTGTCCTATTATTTGTAGAATCAAGGCTAATTTAATTGAGTTTTGACAGAAAGTGCTCCATTTTGCAGACAGTTGCCACCCGTTTCTCCTGAAGCCTGGATCTCGTCATAGAAACTGACTCCGCTCCATCTTCCTCTTTGATGTATGAGGCTATAAAACAGGGAGTGAGCAAGTCACCTTCGAAGAGGCCTTTCGTCACTGCAATAACTAGAAGTAATTTATGGGCTCCTGGAATCGTGCGTTCTCTGTTTCTGACTCGGCAAGAGACTGAAATCACAATCTGGATGCTGGCAGTCAATTGGAAGGTCAAAAAGACTCTGAAAGGTATCAGCCTTCTAGAATCTAGGATGAAGAAACATCAGTGTCCACATTCAGTGATGAGATCATCAGCAAAGGTTTTAGACAGAGGCTACCTTTTAGGTATTGGGATTTAATTCACCTTTGTGGGGGTGTCCTAGAACAGCCTGCTCTATCCTGGCCACCATCCAAGTCCTCCCCTCCTTCAGGGCCCAGTTTAACTCCTGCTTCTACTAGGAAGCCCTCCCTGCCTACCCTAGCCTATGATATGTATTATGTGCTCTGACTTTACAATTCTTTTGGCACTTGTCACATTCTCCCTTGATATACATTCTTTATGTTTGCACATCTAGAATCTATACATCAGGTTTCTGTAGCAATAGGTTTCATCTCATGAGCTGACTCTGATCAATTAGTAGTGGCTTGCTAGAGTGCTATGACAAGAATTCTACAGCTGTAGGCTGGACGTAGTGGTTCATGCCCATAATCCCAGCAATTTGGGAGGCCAAGCGGGGAGGATTGCTTGAGTCCAGGAGTTTGAGACCAGCCTAGGCAACATAATGAGACCCGGTTTCTACAAAGTACAAATAAAAAAATTAGCCAGGGCCGGGCATGGTGGCTCATGCCTGTAATCCTAGCACTTTGGGAGGCTGAGGCGGGTGGATTATCTGAGGTCAGGATTATCAGATTATCTGAGCCTGGCCAACATGGCGAAACCCCGTCTCTACTAAATATACAAAAATTAGCCAGGAGTGATGGCAGGTACCTATAATCCCAGCTATTCGGGAGGCTGAGGCAGGAGAATCACTTGAAGCCAGGGGGGCAGAGGTTGCAGTGAGCCAAGATCGCACCACTTCACTCCAGCCTGGGCGAAAGAGCAAACCTCTGTCTCAAAAAAAAAAAAAAAAAAAAAAAAATTAGCCAGGCATGGTGGTGCATGACTATAGTCGCAGCTACTCAGGAGGCTGATGTAGGAGGATTGCTCGAGCCCAGAAGGTCAAGGCTGCAGTGAGAGGTTGGGCGACAGAATTAGACCTATCTCAAAACTAAAAATAAAAATAAAAAATTCTGCAGCTCTGCAGCTATATCTGAGTTCAACAGTTAAAAGTGCAGTGACTGACCAGCAAGTTCTGAGATGGGCATGCGAGGTAAAAAAAGGACGTGAAAGGCATGTGTTTGCCTTCTATATGCTGTAAGCACTAAGTTATTTGAAAATAGGGTCCATCACTTACACTTACTTTTATTCCTATGAACATTTACATAAGCATTCTCAAAAAGTATTTGAATGCTCAAAATTTATTTGATAAGTAAACATCTCCCTTTGCAAAAATGACCTAACTCTAATGCATCATGTGTTCTAATTATGATTCGTTCAAACAGTCCTTAACACACCTACGTGTAGAGCTGACTCCCATCAGAAATTTTTCAAAGCTAGTTTTATGTGAGAAATGGCTTTTGACACATTTGGCACTTTAACGTTTCTGAATCTTAAAACATCCGTGCTTAATAACTCCTTGTCTGCAGTTAGCAGTGATTTTCAGAATTTTTGTATCTATTACCTCATTTGACTACTATGTGACCTTCAAGAGGTAAAATGTTATCCCTGTTGTACAGATTTGAAACCACTTGTTCAGAGTAGCAGAATAATAGGTCAGGACCAAAGGAGGTAACCCCACAAACATTTACCAGTTCTGCATAAAGTAAAATAAGCTGTTACAGTTTAGGCCGGTGTTTCCCGAAGTTTTTTTCCACAGAACATTAGGATGTCAATAGGGCCACTGCATGTGTTTTTGTGGTCAAATAAGTTTGGAAAACATTAACAGGTTTCCCTACAGTAGGACGTCTCAGAGCTCTTACGACACTAACGTACTTGGTGAACTCTATAGAGGCCCCACAACGTGGGCCCATATAAATATTCCCCCAAAGGTTCTGTAGAACACAGGTAATTTTTTTCTAAAGTTAGCAGCAGGGGTACCAGAAGAATGGCAGAGTGGTTAAGAGCCTAGGCTCTAAAATTCAACTGGTATCGAGCTCTGGCCCCAACACTTACTGGTTTTGTGGCTATGAATAAGTCACAGAATCCCCAGCCTCGCTCCCTCCCCTGTAACATGCAGATTCAAACGGCCACTCCTGGGGTTGTCGTGAGGATTAAGTGAGACAAGGCAAGTAGAGTGTCTAGCTGATCGTAAGCACTCAATAAATGTTAGCTGGTATTTCTGCCAATGAGGAAGAAAGTCAGAGTGGGATCTAAAAATAAAATAAAATGCACAGGTTGGGCTGAGAAGCCCATTCTGAGTTTATTACATAGGAGATTTACTGATGAGTGCTCTTGGGTCAACACCTATGGAAGGGAGGGGACAGAAGAGACAGAAAATGAAGCTGTGATCCAGCTCAATGACAGCCAACCCCACAAAGAGGTGTAGAGCTAGATTAGCCCTTCAGAATTGTCCTTGGTTGGGCTGAGAAGGCCAGCTCTTTACAACCCCACATGGATGAGTCGATGGATATTGGACACCCCAGGAAAGGCTGACCTTGGGCGAGACAGCTCTCTGCAACTTAGGCAATTCCTCAAGGGGCTACCACCATTCTCAGAAGCCAGGACAATAAGTCTCTTACCCAAGGAGAGTCTGAACAGTGCAGACGTACAATGTCCTGCACTGCAGCAGTGCATACTGCTTCCACCACACCAAAAAAAAAAAAAAAAAGCAAAAGCTTCCTCCGACCCTCTGGGAAGGAAACAGGGCAGTCTGCAGACAGCAACCAAATCTAGTCATTTATTCATTCATCATTTATTAATGCCTACCATATGCCAGGCCCTGAGGCTTGGGGCTTATGAATCAGGTACTGATTCTATAGCAATTGTAATAGAAATGTTTTCTCTTTACTCTTTAAGGCATGAAAATACAGATAGGGAAACAGAGAAGGAAGAGATATCAAATCACTAGAAGACAGGATATATTCTCAGGTGATCAGTCACCTGTCATCCCAGTATGAAAAGTTGCTAATTTGAATGACGAAAGGAACACAGCATTTTTTTTCCCCACAGCAATACATCAAGTTGTTCTCTCAATGACTTAGTGTGCTTGGCAAACTGTGTACGCTGCACAAAATTGAATTCCCAGGTTTAGGGAAGCCTGAGCAGGCTCGAGGTACATGAGGATTTATTGCTTTAAGTACTTAAAATGCCTCCCACTAAATTTGCTGTGACCTTCTCCCCCTGCCTATGGCCCCAAGTTAACCACAGCCTAGGACTGAGCAAAGGTTAACAACACACCAAATAAAACAAATCAGCCCCAAGGAGACAGGTCCCTGCTTCACAGAGGCAATAGAGCCAAGTCCTTCTTGTCCCTGGAAGGGTTGGCTGCATTCCTCTCTCTTCCACGTCATTCCTCAGTGCCTGCCCGCCCTCCATCCTCTTCTCCTCTTGTCACTTAACATATTCTTCAGAGTGGCCCCCCAAGCACTGTTTTCCTGTAGCAGAACTCTTGTTTTTCCCACTGATCTTCTCATTTGTTTGTGTTGTTGGGGATCAGGACACAGCACCCCAAAACATGACCAGAATATATCAACCCAAAATATGCCTGTGTAACATAAGGATTATTGTGAACTGATTATTTGTGGGGAAAGCAGGCATAGGAGAAGTTCTGCAAACAAGAGAAGTTGTCCTTTTTTAAGAGAAATTTGCATCTATAAAGGAGATCTCTATTTTAAGGGTATCTCCCTCTCTGCCCCAGGAAGAGAGAGATTACTAAATCACTAGATTCTCTTATCAATGGGGAAGGTGTCACTTAAGTCTGTATAACAAACCTTGCCCTTGTTAACAGTGCTTTTCCTGCCCTTTCCCATACCTTTCTTTTTTTGTTGGGGGGCCAGCAGGTGAGTGGGGAGGTATGATGGTATTTAAGCCTGAACCCTCAGACAATTCTTTGAGATCTACTCTTGAGATTTTGCTCTGAGATGTCCCTGAATATCTCCCCTGTACAGAGGAGGTATACATGTTATTAGACTTCTCTTCATTTTACTCTTGTTTATCTGTCTTTTGTTACAGGGAATCCCAACTAAGAACAATGGAAGGTAGAAAGAAAATTATTTTTCCTCCCCTACAAGATCTTGTCAAGACGCCAACAAACTACTCTGCTTCTAATGTTTCACATTTGCATAGCACACTACAATTTACAACCTGCTTCTGGGCCTCACAACTGGCCAAGAGGCAGGCACTGCAGAAATGACTATCTCCACTCCGGAAGTGAGGGCCCTGAGAGGCAAAGTGACTTGCCCAAGGTCACAGAGCAAAAAGGCAGGACTTAAGCCAGGCCCTCTGTGCCACAAACTAGACCCACGCACTGCCTGTCAGCCAAAGAGACTAAGTCACATATTGGCAGTGTACCTTACACTTAGTAGGACAATTGATCAAGGTCACAGACTTGGAAAGAAATTGCCCGGGGATCCACAGTGTGGATATCCAGCTTCCCAGAGGGGATGCTTGTCTACATTTATGTGCAAATATCCAACTTGAGCACACCTGCAGAATCCAAGGTTTCTTCTTCCTCTTTGTATTACTACCAAGCCAAAGAAACAAATTAAAATTTGGAAAAAAACAACAGACATTTTTAGCTTCACTGTCCCAGGTGCTAATGGAAAAACAAGACTCTCTTAAAAAAAATCAATTAAAAAAAAAAATCTTTGAGACAAGGTCTTGCTGTGTCACCCAGGCTGGAGTACAGTGGCACGATCATGACTGTGCAACCTCAACCTCCTGGCACGAGCAATCCTCCTGCCTCAGCCTCCCGAGTAGCAGGATTACAGGCATGCACCACCACACCCAGCTACATTTTGTATTTTTTGTAGAGATGGGGTTTCACCATGTTGCCCAGGGTGGTATTGAGCTCCTGAGCTCAAGCGATCCACCCACCTCAGCAACCCAAGGTGCTAGGATTACAGGCGTGAGCCATCATGCCCAGCCTCTGTAAAATATGTCAAAGAGGTTTATTCTGAACCAATATGAGTGACATGGCCCAGGGAACACACTCTCAAGAGGTCCTGAGAAAGCGTGCCCATAGCAATTGGATTACGGTTTGGTTTTATACACTTTAGATAGGCAGAAGTTATAGGTAAAGACACAAATCAATAAATGAAAGGTATACCTTGGTTCAGCCTAGAAAAGTGGGATATCCTGAAGGGGAGGCAGGGTTATAGGTTGTATGTGGATTCAGAGATTCTTTAATTTGCAATTGGTTAAAGGAGTAAAACTTTGTCTAAAAATTTGAAGTCAACAAAAAGGAACGTTTTAGGTTATAATAAGGAAGTCTACTAACCAACATACTGAGTCAGAGAGACCTGTAGGAGTGTGTGACTTAACCATTGTCTGGATGGCCTTAGATCCTGATTATAATTTGGTATCTTATTGTCACAAAGAGTCCATTTTATTAGCCTTAGGATTAATGCTGGCTGGGCGCGGTGGCTCACACCTATAATCCGAGCACTTTGGGAGGCCGAATTGGGCGGATCACCTGAGGTCGGGAGTTCGAGACCAGCCTGACCAACATGAAGAAACCCGTCTCTACTAAAAATACAAAATTAGCCGGGCGTGATGGCGCATGCCTATAATCCCAGCTACTTGGGAGGCTGAGGCAGGAGAGTCACTTGAACCTGGGAGGCGGAGGTTGCAGTGAGCCAAGATCCCGCCATTGCACTCCTGCCTGGGCAACAAGAGCAAAACTCCATCTCAAAAAAAAAAAAAAAAGAAAAAGAAAAAAAATTAATTCTGGTCAGTTGTGCCTAAACTCCAAAAGGGAGGGGCTATAACAAGGTATGTCTGACCTACCTATCACGACTGGGAATTTCATGTTTAAAGTTTTTCTGGGGTCCCCTTAGCCAGATGGGGGTCTGTTCAGTCGGTGGAAGACTTAGGATTTTATTTTTAATCTACAAAAGTGAGTTTAGAAAATTATGGTCCTCCAAGCTTAATTTTTTTTCTTGTGAATCGGAAGTTCTTGTTTTAAAATTTTCCCAGGCAAACTTCTAAGAAGAAGCCTTTGGCGAGTGTTCACTCTGCGCCTTTTGTTTCACTCGACAAATACTTACAGAGAACCTGTGGTGGGCCAGGCACTGTGCTAAATGCTGAGGACACAGCAGAGGAAAGGCAGGCAGATTCCTACCCTCAGGGAATCTTACAGTCTGGCAGGATAATGTGGTCATTAAAAAGGGAAGTACAATGCAGAATTCATAAACATTACTGTTTGTAACTCTGTTGGTGGGAGTTAAAAATAATACAGTCTTTTTGAAAGGCAATTTGGCAGTAGCTATCAAAATTGTAAATGTATATAACTTAGGAGCCAGCAGATGCAAAAGTAAAACAAAGCAACCTTAAAAAAAGTAGATATTAAAACAAAGCATAAAGTTATGGGTAAAAAAAAATTCATTGCAACATCATTTATAATAGCAACAAGAAAAATAGCAGGAAGGAAGGGAAGGAAGGAAGGAAGGAAGGAAGGAAGGAAGGAAGGAAGGAAGGAAGGGGAAAGAGGTATTAAAAGACGCAGTTTATTTGAGCATTTAACCATTCATAAACTGGGCAGCACCAGACCATAAGCAGTTCATGCCTCCACCAAGGGGGTGGGAGAGAAAATTTTTATTAGGTGTTTGAGGAAATAAGACAAAGATAATATTTGATTGGTCAAAGTGGAAAGTCTCTAGTTAGAGGTTAGCTCCATGCAGTTTCTCTTTAAAGGGTCTTAATCCTGCTAATAAGGGAGCAGCTCTCATGGCCCAATCACCTCTTACAGGCCCCACCTCTTAATACAATCACATTACAACACCTACATTTTAGAGGGGACACATTCAGACCATAACAGCCTTTCCACTCAACACTTTCAGGCCCAGCAACCAGTCTTGCTTCTGAGACAAGAACTCCCTGCAAAGCCATCTCTGTCTCCCTCCAATAAAACTGGCTGAGCCACATTTTTCTCTTGCTGCTCGCCAGGGGGCAGGATGTAGGACCTCACTCTGCAGATCCACAAACTTCACTGCTCTCATCCTCTCCACCTGTGCTCTCCTCCCTATATCATGGGGAATCTTTCTAACCTGGATGGGGCTGTGGGGAGTTGTAAATCCCTCTGTTTCCTCCAAACTCCACCAAAGTCAATCAATGAAAGGACAAAAAGCCTAGAAGTCCCAGCCTCTCTGTGGTGAGGAAGTGCAGTGCAGGACAGACTAGGGTGCAATGCTGAGATGGAAAGAAGGAAAAACATAAGGAAAAAAAGAGGATCCTAATGCACCACAGGTAACACTGTAGCCTGGTGGCTACAGGTTTGGTTCTTGGTATATGATTGTCTGGGCCTGAATCTCCACTCTACCACTCACTAAAATTGGTCAAACTATTTCACTTTTCTTTAAGGATAATTGTATCTACCTCAGGGGGCCATTGTGGAAATTAATGCAAAGGAACAGCAGATTCTGAATCAATCATCCTTCCTTTCTTCCACTTACAACTTAAGACTGCAATTTGACATTGGTCCATTGTGATTCAATTCAGGGTGCTTTGCCCCCCACCCTCCATCTTAAGGTGGGAAATGTCAATTGTCCAAGAAAGAGCCTCATGCTGACATCACTTATCCTCTGAAGGATGAAGGACAGAGAGCAGTGTCACCCTCTATAGCTCAGCTTCTGTAAGGAATGTTCAAGTTAACATCCTTAAGGAATTATAACTTTTCCCAAGGCTGAAAGAAGCGATGGTTGGAGCTTATGGCAGTATCACTCAAAGCCTCCTTAGGGTTTAATCTCAAAGACCTTGCTCACAGAAGTCTTCACAGGCATGTATCCTTTGAACCCTTGAACCAAGGGGCAAGCCTCTCCTAAAAACAGAAGAAGGCAGTGGTTTTCCCAGCTTTAAAGTGCATCAAAATCACTGGGAGGGCTTTTTGAAATAACCTGCTGGGCCCCACCCCACACAGCATCTGATTCTGTACATCTCGGGTAGGCCCCATGAATTTACATTTCTAACAAGTTCCCAGGTAACAGTGTTGACAGTGTTGATGGAAGACCAATCTGAGAACCTCTAGGCTGGGGAGACATACAGCTCAACAGAGAGGACCAGCGGGAACTCTAGACTAAGACAAGGGATTTGCATATGTAACTCGTTCCCCCTGGGGTAAGCTTACAAATCTCTTACATGAAAGAGTGCAATGATACCTTGTTCAAGATACAAGATATAGGGGTCTTACATTTATTATTAACACTCATTATTCCCATTAGAATGGAAAACGTTACATGACTGATGGAAACTTTCAGGCCTCATTGGAAAGAATTTTCTAAAAATCCCTCAAATCCTACTCCAGTATTATCCATGTGGACAGGACCAGGGAATCCATCAGTTCTGTAATTTCTACATACACATTTCTTCCCACCCACCCCTTCTGCAGATCCCACCCATCCCTTCTTCCACAGACTCAGCTGGGCAAGGCAGCCACTGAAATGCACGTATGGCAGCTCAAAAGCCCTTTCTGTAGAAACCCACACCCCCTCATCCACGGGAGAGACAGGGAGCCACTATGTGACCCTGCTCCCTACCATTTCTGATTAGACAAGGAATGGATACCTGACGCAAGCTCAGCCAATCAGATTTACTCCTGGAAATTTGAAATTGAGATTCAGAGATATCCACTCAGTATTTGAAATTGGCTGGACTAATAATTGTGAGGTGGACAGAATTCACCTGATAGTCTGAAGAACAGAGGAAACTACAGAGAAAAAAGAACAAAGTAACTGTGAATCGGTGGAGAGAGAAGGTAAGTGTGTCCTCATGGCATTCCAGACGCTGATTATATTTCTTCCTGAGGCCTTTCTGGAGCCTTCCTTCTCCCCACCCTTGGGTTCTGATAGGATTTGGCTCTGTGTCCCTACCCAACCTCATCTCGAAGTGTAATCTCCACGTGTCAAGGGAGGGACCTGATGGGAGATGATTGGATCATGGGGGCGGAATTCCCCCTTGCTGTTCTCATGACAATGAATGAATTCTCAGAAGATCTGGTTGTTTGCTAAGTGTCTGGGCTTCCCTGCTCTCTCTCTCCTGCCACCACGTAGGAAACGCCTTGCTTCCCTTTTGCCTTCCGCCATGATTGTAAGTTTCCTGAGGCCTCCCCAGCCATGTAGAACTGTCAGTTAAACCTCTTTTGTTTATAAATTACCCAATCTCAGGTAGTATCTTTATAGTAGTGTGAGAATAGACTAATACAGGTTTTATGTGACATTTTATGTCTTTATTATTATTTTCCGTTTTCTATTTAAGCTAGTGGTTTCACTCACTTTTTCAGTCATCAGCTGTTTATTGAGCATGCTCTCTGAGCCAGGTGCTGCCCCTGGTGCTGGAGAAACCATAGAGTTTACCTGCGACCACTTGTGTTACCTGCAACTAGGACAACTAGTATAGCCACTTACACCTACCATAATGTAAAGAAATGCACGCACAGAAAGAAAAGTTGTAGAAAAACATATATAATTTATTGAACACCTACTATGTGCCAGGCACCCTGCTAAGTGCTTTACATGCATCTTCTCTCACAACAACCCTATGAGGCAGGTACTATTATCTGCATTTCCTTAAGAACACACAGGATTCAAACATATGTAGCCTAATCCCTCAGAACCACTAAAAGGCAAGAGAGTGGAAAAGATCTAGAATCATGGTAACGGTGAGGGAAAATACAGACACACACTCACACTCATGCTCACACTCACACAGAATTCAGGCCTGGCTATATCAGCACACACTCAGGCATCCTGTTGTTCTCTGTCAGGCACTGTCTTTTCAGCTCCTCTCCATTCCTAAAAGTAGGGGGGAAAAATCAACATCTCCTTCTTTAGAAATCATCTTGAGAAGTAATTGGTCTCGATAATACTTTAATTGGACAAGAGTCTTCAAATTTGGCCTCCTGAGCACAGCAGGAATGCATTTCTATCTGCCTTTGAGAAAATGTGCCCATCTTGGATTGCCTAAGAATGCTCTTAAGGTAATGCCAGAGAATCCCCTTAAATGTTCCTCACCAGCAGGTCAGCACTTACCCACCGGATGCCTCTTCAGGATCCCCATTCAGGTTCCCTTTCAGTTTTGTTCCAGCCTACTCCCTGCCAGGTGCAGGAGAGCAGGGAGCAGCTCTGGCTCAGGTGGACAGAGCTGTGAATGGTTCCTGCCAGCAACCCCCTACCTCCTCAGGGCAAACAAAGCACTCAGAAGCCTGCCAGGGCTTCAAGGCTGTAGAGCCTGGGGAGAAACAGGATTCTAAAAGGCGAAGGCATTCCAGCAAGAGAGAACTGGGGAAGCAGGGTTCCCAGACCCATTCAAACCACATGCAGCTCAGCTTCCTCATCTGTAAAGTTAGGATTCCCAAATATGCCCTGCCTAGAAACAGACACCACTTACTGAGCATTTTTTATGTGCCAGGCACTACACTACACATGTTTGCACATGATTTTTAAAGAACCCCATTTGGCAGGAATAACTGTCTCCATTTTATAAAAGGCAAAACTGAGGTTCCAAAAGGTAAAGCTGGTTCAAGAGCCAGTCCTGGTTCACATGGTTAGCAAATGGCTGAAATGTTACTTCCTAAATCCCATGCTCTTAGCTACCAGCTGGCTTCCTTTGGCTTCTGTTTAGGAAGATAGAACTGGTAGTGAGGAAAAAAAAATGGCAGAGCCACCAGAATGTCTTCATAATTTGCCAGCATCAAGCCCTATCTAGCTGGAACTCCACTTCCTCACCTCCCCCACCCCACCTGCGAATTATCTCCCAACCCAGCTGAAGACTTTCTGGACCATTTTCAGGATCTTAAGACAAGAGGTTTAGTCCCTGAAGGCCTCGGCTGCCACCCAGCCCAGCAATGACACTGGGCTCTGAAAAAAAATGTACCAACAAACACATATCCCATCATCATGGCTAGAGATTTTTAAAAACAGAAATCTGAGATGTGCTGAGGGAATTGGGGAGTGGGAAGTGGTATCAGAATTTAGGCTTCAAATGCTTCTCTAAAGAGCAATAGGAAATGTTTGTCTTAAAGGCCTAGAGAATGGAACTGTATGATACATTTGGGGTCATGATAAATTTGGGATCACAACTTTGAAACCTTTCCTGTCTCCTCATCCTTTCTACTGGAAAGAGTCGTTCACATTCTTCCTTGTTTCTTGCTTTGCCCTCACACAAGTTGCAGGGTGAGCTCCTTCTTTTCTCTTGTCCTTCCTGAATTCTCAAAATTCTCAGCAGAAGAAAACAAGAAAAGCACACAGCCAAACATCCAGTCCTCTGTGAGAAAAGAAATCCTCACACATCTCAGAAATTGAAAGATATTCTTTTATCCCACATCAGATCAGATATGTTTTCAGTTGCAGAAGAGAACAACCAATAACTTAGGACCTATCAACAAAGAGAGTCAAACTCCGGAAAATATGTAAAGAGATTTATTCTTAGCCAAATGTGAGGATCATGACCTGTAACATAGCCCCAGGAGGTCCTGAGAACCCAGGGTGATTGGGTTACAACTTGATTTTATACATTTTAGGGGGGACAGAAGTTACAGACAGACATCAATCACTATGTGTAAGGTGCACATTGGTTTGGTCCAGAAAGGTGGGACAACGCAAAGTAGCGGGGAGGGAGCAGTGTTCAGGTCATATTTAGATTCTAAAGTTTTCTGATTGGCAACTGATTGAAAGGGTTAACTTATTATCTAAAGACATGGAATCAATAGAAAGGAGTGTCTGGGTTAAGATAAGGGGTTGTGGAGACCAAGATTCTTATTATGTAGATGAAGCCTCCAGGTAACCAGCTTTAGAGCTCTTATCAGACCTAAAAAGGTGCCAGGCTCCTAGTTAATTCTCTCCTGGATCAGAGAGAAGACCTGGAAAGGGAAGAGGATTCTCTACAGAATGTTGATTTCCCCACAAGAGACAGCTTTGCAGGGCCATTTCAAAATATGTCAAAGAAATACATTTTGGGGTAAAACACTTCATTTCCTTTCAGTGCCTGCTATTTGTCATGTGATGCTATACTAGAGTCAGGTTGGAATTTGGTACCTTATTGCTACAAAGAGTCTGTTTTGTCAGTCCTAAGATTTCTCTTTCAATGTTAATGCTGGTCACTTGTGCCTAAACTCCAAAGGGAAGAGGGTATAATGAGGCATGCTCTACCCCCACTTCCCAGCATGGCCTGAACTAGTTTTTCAAGTTTACTTTGGAATGCCCTTGGTGGAGAGTGGGGGTCCATTCAGTCAGCTGGGGATTTAGAATTTTATTTTTTATTTACAAACCAATTGTAACTCAGCTGTCAGCTGGAGCCTCTCTGTCCTTGTCATACAGAGAAAATAGAATGTAAGCTCTTTTAGAGCAGGCATTTTTGTCTGTTTTTCCCTCTGCTCTATCCCCAGTGCCTAGAATAGTGCTGATATGGTTTGGCTGTGTCCCCACCCAAATCTCATCTTGAATTGTAGCTCCCATAATTCCCATGTGTCATGGAAGGGACCCAGTGAGAGGTAATCGAATCATAGGGGTGGGTCTTTCCTGTGCTGTTCTTGTGATAGTGAATAAGTCTCATGAGATCTGATGGTTTTATAAAGAGAAGTTCCCTACATAAGCTCTCTTGCCTGCTGCCATGTAAGATGTAACTTTGCTCCTCATCTGCCTTCCGCCACGATTACGAGGCCTCCCCAGCCATGTGGAACTGTGAGTCAATTAACCCTCTTTCCTTTATAAATTACCCAGTCTCAGGTATGTTTTTATTCGCGGCATGAGAACAGATTAATACAAGTGCGTAACACATTGTAGGTATTCAATACTCATGCATGCACGTACACATATCATATCCTCTGTGGTAGGCAGACTTATAAGATGGCCCCCAGTGTTTCTCATTTTCTAGTGTGGAAGTTCAAAAATTATTGACATGAGACAGATTAGTGGGAAAAAAAGGCATGCAAATTTATGTAATATGTATACATGGGAGCCTTTGAAATGAAGACCCGACCCCTCAATGAGGTACAGAAGCTTGTATACCATCTTGAGGTCACAGAAAGAATGCAGGTTCAGATGATAGCCAAAAATAAGTTATGTTGATGAATCAGGTTTTAGTGGGAAGATAGATTATGAAATGGGGAGAAGAGGAGGCTTTGCTAACAAAAGTGGTCTTGTTATGTAGGTGAAACCTCAGACAGAAAAGGTGGTAAATATTTATTTTCACACTTCTAAAGGTATGAGACTCTCAGTTAATCTTTCCTAGATCTGGACCAAGGTAGGGCAGACTGCCTTAATACAGAGTCTCCACAGATCTACAGATGCAAATTCCCTCCACAAAAGACAGCTTTTCAGGTCCACTTCAGAATAAGTCAAAAAAAAATATTTGGTGGTAAAATATTTTTATTTCCTTCACTAGCATTTACACTTTTGTGTAATTATCCCTTCCCTTGAGTGTGGACTTTGCCTAGTGACATACTTCTGACTAAAAGAATATGGCAAAGATGATGGGATGTCACTTCCATTATTGATTAGATCACAAAAGATGGTGATTTCTGTCTTGCTAGCAAACTCTCTTGTTGGCTTTGATGAAGAAAGATGCCACATGCCCGAGAAGCCCACATGGCAAGAGACTGAGGCAGTCTTCAACTAACAGTCAGTGAGGAAATGGGGTTTTCAGTCCAACAGCCCTCGGTAACCTGAATTTTGCCAACAACCATGTAAATGAGCTTGGAATCAAACCCTTCCAGGAGAAAGGGAATGGAGCTATGCAAAAGCAAAGTTTTGTACGTTATTTAATTTAAGTTTGTATTAGTCCAAGCTAGACTGTTATAAATTAAGATGTTAATTGTAATCTCCAGAGACACCACCAAAAAAATTCAAAAATATAATCAAAGAAACAAGATGATAATTTAAAAGGTATTGAAAAAAATCTATATATAACACTAAAGAGGGCAGTAACTGAGGGACAGAAGAATGAAAATATATAGATTTATAGAAAACAAATAGTAAAATTGCAGATACGAATCTACCTTCTCAGTAATTAAATTTAATGGAAATGGATCAAGCACTCCAATTAAAAAGCAGAGCCAGGAAGAGTAGGGTGCACCTGCAATCCCAGCTACTCGGGAGGCTGAGGCAGGAGGATCGCTTGAGCCCAGGGATTCAGCAATATAGTGCATAGTGATTGTACCCTGGAATAGCCACTGCACTCCAGCCTGGCAATATAGCAAGACCTCGCCTCCAAAAATAAAAGCAGAGATTGGCAGAATAGATTTTTTAAATGATCCAACCATATGCTGCCTATAGGAGACGCATTTGAGATTCAAAAACACAAATAGGTTGAAAGTAAAAAGACTGGAAAAGATATATATATACTATGCAAACAGTAATTGAAAGAGAGCTGGAATGGTTATACTATATTATACAAACTAGATCAGTGGAAAACAATTGTTACTAGAGACAAAGAAAGATATTTTATAATTTTTAGGTCACCCATCTAGAATATGTAACAATTATAGAAATATATACACCTAACAACAAAGCCCCAAAATGCATTAATAAAAAACTGACAGAATTGAAGGGAGAAAAAAGCAATGCAAAAGAGACTTAAGAGACATATCAAACAAATGCAATTCAATGCATGTACCTTATTTGAGTCCTGATTCAGATAAACGAAATGTGAACACTGACTGGATATTTAATGATACTAAGAAATTACTGGGCTTTTTAGGTATGATAGAGGCATTGTGGATATGTCTAGAAAGAACGCCTCCTTTCTTTTAGAAGTACACTCGAAGATTTTTAGATAATTTTATATTATATCTGCAATTTTCTTCAAAAAATCTGAGAGAAGGAGATGGAGTGTGAGGAAATAAATAAAACAAGATTAGTCATAAATTGGTAATTAATGTTGCAGAATGATGGGTGCATGGCAGTACATTTTATTATTCTTCTTTTATATATATACATCTTGAAATTTTTTCATAATAAACGGCTATTTATTTATTTAGAGACAGGATCTTCTTCTGTTGCTCAGGCTGGAGTATGGTGGTATGATTTTGGCTCACTACAACCTCCACCTCCCAGGCTCAAGCCGTCCTCCCACCTTAGCCTCCCAAGTAGCTGGACTACAGGTGCCCGCCACCACACCTGGCTAATTTTTTGTATTTTTAGTAGAGATGGGGTTTCACCATGTTACCCAGGCTGGTCTTGAACTCCTGGCTCAAGTGATCCACCCACCTCAGCCTCCCAAAGTGCTGATATTACAAGCGTGAGCCACCACGCCTGGCCCTAAAAGGCTTTTAAAAGGCACAACACAGTTACTCACTCTGAGCTGCATGGGACCAGAATATTAACAATTATCCATCCACTCAACATTTATTTATTGAGCATTTACTATGAACAAGTCTCTGAGATAAACATGCCCTCAAGTGGGTACCGATGAAAATAATTATAATCAGAGCAGGAGACATCACAAGAGAGGCCCAAATGCAGGGCGCTAGTGAGTCAGTGAGGGAGGGGTTATTACTGATGGGGTACAAGGCAAGACTGAATCATAGACTATTCAAGCAGGAAGAGTCTTTATTACAACTATTTTATTTACATTTGATAAATCTAAGCTCCAGAGAGAGGAAGTCACTTTCCCCATTTATCACAGCAACATTTTTTTCTGTAGTTAACATTCATTGAAAATGTATTATGTCCTATCACCTTGCCAAGAACTTCGCCCATACTATTTCATTTAATTCTCATAATGTATTCCATTATTATCCCATTTTCCAGAGAAGGAAACAGCACCTCAGAGAGTGTAAGTGACTCATCCAAGTTAGCACAGCCAGGAAGTGGCAGAGCTGTGTCTCAAACCTAAGTAGTTTGTCTCTAAAAACTTTCTTCTTCCCACTATTCTTGGGTTTAATCAGAATTCCTTCCACTACTCCATGCTGGGTTATGCTGTAATAAGATGTACAGAGAAAGACAGAGAGAGAGAGAGAGCAGCAAATATTTTAGGTAGAGGAAATGGAGAAGATGAAACTAACGTGATTACTTTGTCCTGCAGGGCTTTCTAGGACTGACAAATAAACACAGAGAGAAAAAGCCTATGATATTAATAATTTTGTCACTAGACAATGATTGCATTCATACAAATGCATGAAATTTGCCTACTGTAGCCATTTTCCAGACAGGGCTTTCTGCTCCCTTGCTGTGGGCTTTTACATTTGACAGTATGAAGCCCAGTTGTAGTCTTCAGTCCTGCTGAGGGTCTCTGAGCCTCCTCTGGCAGTTTTCCCCACTCCCACTCACACTGAGCTGCAGTGTGGAAGGCTACAGGGGCCAAGGCTCTCACATGAGACCCAGCTCTTTTCTCCTCCCAGAGGGGCTCTGTGGCATCATGGAAAACTGGGCTCTCATTCCCAGCTTTGGCACTAACTCACCAAGTGACCTTAAGTGAGGCATTCAACCTCTCTGGGCCTCAGTTTTCCCATCTGTCACATAAAAAGTGTTAGACCACATGAGATTTAGAAAAGCACATTATTCTCTGACAAGGCATAATTACGTGAAATCCAGAAAGATCTTCTCTTTGTGTTCTATCAATCAGTGAAGTCAGAGAAGGAGAAAGACATTGTAAAAAAAATTAACAGAAACAAGAAACTTTTATAAACCAAATATAAAACTTGTTAGAGACTGAACGTTTGTGTTTCCCCAAAACTCGTATGTTGAAATTCTTCTAATCTCCAATGTGATGGTATTAGGAGGTGATTAGGTGATGAGGCTGGAGCCCTTATGAATGGGATTAGTACTGTTATAAGAAGAGACACAAGAACTAACTGTCTGTCTCCTCTCTGGCCTGTGAGGACACAATGAGAAAATAGCCATCTGCAAACCAGAAAGCAAGCCCTTACCAAATACCGCATCTGCTGGCACCTTGATCTTGGATTCCCAGTCCCCAGAACTGTGAGAAATAAATTTCTGTTTGTTAAGCTACCCAGGCTATGCTATTTTTCTTATAGCAGCCCAAAAATTAAATAATGTGTGTGTGTATATACATATATATTTATTTATTTCACTATAGAGTGTTTGAGTGCCACATTATTTTTTGTTACTATTGGACTCAGAATATCAGATAGATTAGGGTTTGTACCTCAGCTTTGCAAAGCACTAGCTACGGACCTCATTGGTTATAATAAGAATAATAATTAATATTCCTTGAATACTGTATATATGTTACAAATGTAACACTCTCATGTGTCCCTCTGGGGCAAGTCACATGACTTCAGCTCATCTATCATGACAAGTGGGTGCACATGTAATACAGTGGCTGTAACATTACAGATTCTTGGCAAACACTTTTTGAAATCATGTCACATTATTTTGAACAATGTGTAAACTTATTCTTGACTATTACTCTATAAACATCCAGGCTTATACAAAGTTTGCAGCCACCTACTGTGGAAAAAAATATATTCAGATACGCTTGTCTTTACATCCTTGAAAACTAATGTTTTTAAATGTCACCTTATATCTTCTGGGTTGTTCATTCCAACAATAATAATAGTGATAAATGTGTTATTTCCATGTTTTCTACTATAATTCCAAAATAATTTCTCACAAACTCAGGTAGCTCATTATAAGATGCCACAAAGATCAATAAGAAAAATATATAAAACATCCATGGGAGGGATATACTCCATTGAAAAGTTAAAGCCAAAAATCGAGGATTTTAAAATGATGCGTATCACAACTGGATGGTCCATTGCTCTTACCAGGCACTCAAGTGTTAATGACAATATTTTGTCACCATCATGAGCATGTTGTTTTGATTGGATTTTAATTACAAGCACACCTCATTTTATTGCATTTCACTTTATTGTGGTTTGCAGATACTGCATTTTACAAATTGAAAGTTTATGGCAACTCCTCATTAAGCAAGTCTATTGGCACTGTTTTTCTAACAGCATGCGTTCATTTCATGTCTCTGTTTTGCACTTTAGTAATTCTCACAATATTTCAAGCTTTCATTATTTATTATATCCATCATGGTGATCTGTGATCGGTGACCTTGGATGTTACTACTGTAATGGTTTTTGGGTGCCATTAACCACGCCCATATAAGAGAGTGAACTTAATCGGTAAATGTTGTGTGTGTTCCGACTGCTCCACCAACCAGCCATTCCTGTCTCCCTCCCTCTCCGTGGGCCTCCCTATTCCCTGAGACACAATAATATTAAAATAGGCTAATTAATAACCCTACAATGGCCTTCAAGTGTTCAAGTGAAAGGAAGAGTTGCATGGCTCTCACTTTAAGTCAAAAGCTAGAATTGATTATGCTTAGTGAGGAAGGCATATCGAAAGCCAAGACGGGCAGAAAGCTAGGCCTCTTGCACCAGAAAGCCAAGTTGTGAATGCAAAGGAAAAGTCCTTGAAGGAAATTAAACATAATACTACAGCAAACATACAAATGATAAGAAAGTGAAACAGCCTTATTGCTGATACAGAGAAAGTTTGAGTGGTCTAGATAGATGATTAAAGCAGCCACAACATTTCTTAAAACCAAACCTAAAAACCTAATCCAGATCAAGGCCCTAACTCTCTTCAATTCTATGAAGGCTGAGAAAGGTGAAAAAAGCTGCAGAAGAAAAGTTGGCAACTAGCAGAGGTTTGTTCATGAGGTTTAAGGAAAGAAGCCATCTCCACGACATAAAAGTGCAAGGTAAAGCAGAAAGTGTTGATGTAGAAGCTGCAGCAAATTATCCAGAAGTTCTAGCTAAGAAAATTGATGAAGGGCTATACTAAACAACAAATTTTCAATGCAGAAAGGAAGCCTTCTATCAGAAGAAGATGCCTTCTAGGACTTTTATAGCTAGAGAAGTAAAGTCATATAGACCAATGAAACAGAATAGAGAACCCAGATACAAATCCACACACTTATAACCAATTCATCTTTGACAAAGATACCAAGAACTTACAATGGGGAAAAGATAGTCTTTTCAATAAATGGTGCTGGGAAAACATATTTGGGGGAATAATCAAGGAAAACCTCCCTGGCCTTGCTAGAGCCCTAGACATCCAAATAGAAGCACAAATCCAATAGAAGCACAAAGAACACCTGGGAAATTCATTGCAAAAAGATCTTCACCTAGCCACACTGTGATCAGGTTATCTAAAGATAAGATGAAGGAAAGAATCTCAAGGCCAGTGAGACAAAAGCACCAGTAACCTAGCAAGAAAAACCTACCAGATTAACAGCAGATTTCTCAGCAGAAACCCTACAAAGCTAGAAGAGATTGGGGCCCCATCTTCGGCCTCCTCAAACAAAACAATTATCAGCCAAGAATTTTGTATCTAATGAAACTAAGCTTCATATGTGAAGGAAAGATACAGACTTTTTCAGACAAACAAATGCTGAGGGAACTCACCACTACCAAGCCAGCACTACAAGGACTGCAAAAAGGAGCTCTAAATCTTGAAACAAATCCTGGAAACAAATAAAAACAGAACCTCTTTAAAGCATATATCTCAGAGGACCTATAAAACAAAAATACAATTTAAAAAACAAAAACAAAAAACCAAGGTACACAGGCAACAAATAGCACAATAAATGGAATGGTACCTCACATCTCAAAAGGCCTAAATGCTCCTCTTAAAATATACAGAATTTGCAGAATGGATGAGAATTCACCAAGCAACTATCTTCTGCTTTCTTTCAAGAGGCTCACCTAACACAGAAGGACTCCCACAAACTTAAGGTAAAGAGTTGGAAAAAGACATTTCATGCAAATGGACACCAAAAGCAAGCAGGAGTAACTATTCTTATATCAGACAAAACAAATGTTAAAGCAACAGCCATTTAAAAAGACAAAGAGGGAGATTATATAACGATAAAAGACCTTGTCCATCAGGAAAATATCACAATCCTAAACATATATACACCTAACACTGGAGCTCCCAAATTTATAAAACAATTACTAATAGTCCTAAGAAATAAGATAGACAGCAACACAATAATAGTGGAGGACTTCAATACTCCACCAACAGCACTAGACAGGTCATCAAGACAGAAAGTCAACAAAGAAACAATGGATTTAACTATACCCTGGAACAAATTGACTTAACAGATATATACAGAACATTCTACTCAACAACCACAGAATATATATTCAATTCAATGGCACAGGGAACTTTCTCCAAGATAGACCATATGATAGTCCACACAACGAGCCTCAACAAATTAAGAAAATTGAAATTGTATCAAGCACTCTCTCAGACCACAGTAGAATGAAACCAGAAATCAACTCCAAAAGGAACCTTCAAAACCATGCAAATACACAGAAATTAAATAACCTGCTCCTGAATGATCGCCGCGTCAAAAATGAAATTCAAGATGGAAATTTAAAAATTATTTGAACTGAATGACAACAGTGACACAACCTATCAAAACCTCTAGGACACAGCAAAGGCAGTGCTAAGAGAAAAGTCTATAGCACTAAATGCCTACATCAAAAAGTCTGAAAGAGCACAGAGAATCTAAGGTCACACCTCAAGAAACTAGAGAACCAAGAACAAACCAAACCCAAACCCAGCAGAAGAAAGAAAATAACCAAGATCAAAGCAGAGCTAAATGAAATTTAAAGAAAAAAAATACAAAAGATAAATGAAACAAAAAGCTGGTTCTTTGAAAAGATAAATAAAATTGATAGACCATTAGCAAGATTAACCAAGAAGAGAAGAGAGAAAATCTAAATAAGCTCAATAAGAAACAAAACAGGAGCTACTACAACTGACACCACAGAAATACAAAAGATCATTCAAGGCTCCTATGAACACATTTACATGCATAAACCAGAAAACCTAGAAGAGATGGATACATTCCTGGAAAGATACAACCCTCCTAGCTTAAATCGGAAAGAATTAGATACCCTGAACAGACCCATAACAAGCAGCGAGACTGATACGATAATTTAAAAATAACCAACAAAAAAAAGTCCAGGACCAGACAAATTCACAGCAGAATTCTACCAGACATTCAAGGAAGAATTGGTACCAATCCTATTGACACTATTCCACAAGATAGAGAAAGAGGGAATCCTCCCTAAATCATTCTATGAAGCCAGTATCACCCTAATACCAAAAACAAGAAAGGACATAACAAAATAGAAAACTACAGACTAATATCCCTGATAAACATGGATGCTAAAATCCTTAACAAAACACTAGCGAACCAAATCCACAATATATCAAAAAGATAATCCACCATGATTAAGTGAGTTTCACACCAGAGATGCAGGGATGGTTTAACATACCCAAGTCAATAAATGTGATAACACAACATAAACAGAATTAAAAACAAAAATTACATGATCATCCCATTACATGCAGAAAAAGCATTTGACAAAATCCAGCATCTCTTTATTTGACAAAATCCAGCATCTCTTTATGATTAAAACTCTCAGCAAAATCAGCACATAAGGAACATATCTCAACATAATAAAAGTCACCTATGACAAACCCACAGCCAACATAATACTGAATGGGAAAAAGTTGAAAGCATTCCCTCTGACAACTGAAACAAGACAAGGATGCCCACTGTCACCACTCCTCTTCAACATAGCACTGGAAGTCCTAGCCAGAGTAATCAGACAAAAGAAAGAAAAAAAGGGCATCCAAATTGATAAAGAGGAAGTTAAACTGTGACTGTTTGCTGATGATATGATCGTTTACCTAGAAAACCCTAAAGACTCCTCCAGAAAGCTCCTATAACTGATAAAAAAGAACTCAACAACGTTTCCAGATACAAAATTAATGTACACAAATTGGTAGCTCTTTGATACACCAACAACAACCAAGCTGAGAATCAAATCAAGAAATCAACCCCTTTCACAATAGCTGCAAAACATAAAAATAAAATACTTAGAAATATACCTAACCATGCAGATGAAGGATCTCTACAAGGAAAACTACAAAACATTGCTGAAAGAAATCATAGACAACACAAACAAATGGAAACACATCCCATGCTCATGGATGGGTAGAATCAATATTGTGAAAATGACAATTCTGCCAAAAGCAATCTACAAATTCAATGCAATTCCCATCAAAATACCACCGTCTTTCTTCACAGAATTAGAAGAAAAAAAATTCTAAAATTCATATGAAACCAAAAAAGAGCCCCATAGCCAAAGCAAGACTAAACAAAAAGAACAAATCTGGAGGCATCACATTTCCTGATTTCAAACTGTACTATAAAGTTATAGTCACCAAAACATCATGGTAGAAAAATGGGCACACAAACCAATGGAACAGAATAGAGAACCCAAGAATAAACTCAAATACTTACAGCCAACTGATCTTCGACAAAGCAAACAAAAACATAGAGTGGGGAAAGGACATCCCTTTCAACAAATGGTGATGGAATAATTGGATAGCCACAGGTAGGAGTATGAAACTGGATCCTCATCTCTCACCTTATAAAAAAAATCAACTCAAGATGGATTAAGGACTTAAATCTGAGACCTGAAACTATAAAAATTGTAGAAGATAACATTGGAAAAACCCTTCTAGACATTGGCTTAGGCAAGAATTTCATGACCCAGAACCCAAAAGCAAATACAATAAAAACAAAGATAAATTGTTGGGACTTAACTAAACTAAAGAGCTTTTGCATAGCAAAAGGAACAGTCAGCAGAGTAAACAGACAACCCACAGAGTGGGAAAAAATTCTTCACAATCTATTCATCTGACAAAAGACTAATATCCAGAATCTACAATGAACTAAACAAATCAACAAGAAAAAAAATCCCATCAAAAAGGAGGCTAAGGACATGAATAGACAATTCTCAAAAGAAGATACACAAATGGCCAACAACATGAAAAAATGCTCAACATCACTAATAAACAGGGAAATGTAAATCAAAACCACAATGCGATACCGCCTTACTCCTGCAAGAATGGCCGTAAGCAAAAAATCAAAAAATAGTGGATGTTGGCATGGATTCGGTGAACAGGGAACACTTCTACACTGCTGGTGGGAATGTAAAGTAGTACAGCCATTATGGAAAACAGTGTGGATATTTCTTAAAGAACTAAAAATAGAACTATCATTTGATCCAGCAATCCCACTACTGGGTGTCTAACCAAAGGAAAAGAAGTCATATGAAAAAGATACTTGCACATGTATGTTTACAGCAGCACAATTTGCAATTGCAAAAACATGGAACCAACACAAATGCCCATCAATCAACGAGTGGATAAAGAAATTGTGGTATATAGACTGGGTAAGGTGGCTCACGCCTGTAATCCCAGCACTTTGGGAGGCCAAGGCAGGTAGATCACCTGAGGGCAGGAGTTCAAGACCAGCCTGGCCAATATAGCAAAACCCCCATCTCTACTAAAAATACAAAAATTTGCCAGGTGTGGTGGTGCATGCCTGTAATCCCAGCTACTTGGTAGGCTGAGGCAGGGGAATCACTTGAACCCAGGACGCAGAGGTTGCGGTGAGTCTAGATCATGCCATTGTGCTCCAGCCTGGGCGACAAAGTGAGATTCCATCTCAAAAAAAAAAAAGAAAGAAAGAAAAAAGAAACTGTGGTATATACATATAAAATATATATATTTTTTTATATATATAGTGTGTGTATGTGTATATATGTGTGTGTGTATATATATGTATATTGTATATATACATATATATACACATATATACATATATTATATATACATATATACATATATATACATATATATACATATATAATATATATACATATATGCATATATATTATATATACATATATAAATATATATTATATATACATATATACATATATATTATATATACACATATATACATATATATTATATATATACATATATACATATATACATACATATTATATATACATATATACATATATACATATATATTATATATACATATATAATATATATACATATATAATATATTATGTATACATATATACATATATATTATATATACATTATATATATACATATATACATATATATACACATTATATATACGTATATACATATATATTATATATACGTATATACATATATATTATATATACGTATATACATATATATTATATATACGTATATACATATATATTATATATACGTATATACATATATATATACATATATATTATATATACATATATACATATATTATATATACATATATTATATATATACATATATACATATATATTATATATATACATATATACATATATTATATATATACATATATATAATATATATATTATATATACACATATATACATATATATTATATATACATATATACATATATATTATATATACATATATACATATATATTATATATATACATATATACATATATATTATATATATACATATATATTATATACATATATACATATATATTATATATACATATATACATATATATTATATATATACATATATAATATATATTATATATATACATATATACATACATATTATATATACATATATACATACATATTATATATATACATATATACATGCATATTATATATACATATATACATGCATATTATATATATACATATATACATACATATTATATATATACATATATACATATATATTATATATATACATATATACATATATATTATATATATACATATATACATATATATTATATATACATATATACATATATATTATATATATACATATATACATATATATTATATATACATATATAATATATATTATATATATACATATATACATATATATTATATATACATATATACATATATATTATATATACATATATACATATATATTATATATACATATATACATATATATTATACATATACATATATATTATATATACATATATATAATATATACATATATACATATATATTATATATATACATATATATTATATATATACATATATATACATATATATATATACACACTACTCAGTCATAAAAAGAAATGAATTAATGGCTTTCACAGTGACCTGGATGAGATTGGAGACTATTATTCTAAGTAAAGTAACTCAGGAATGTAAAACCAAACATTGTATGTTCTCACTCACAAGTGGGAGCTAAGCTATGAGGATGCAAAGGCATAAGAATGACACAACGGACTTTGGAAACTCAGAGGGAAAGGATGGAAACGGGGTGAGGGATAAATGACTACAAATTCGCAAATCACCACTAAAGAACTTACTCATGTAACCAAACATCACCTGTTCCCCAATAATCTGTGGTTATAAAATTTTTTTAATCTTTGTAAACAATATCAGTATGATAAATTTACATTGTCTAATAAAAAAAAAGTCTGAACAAACCTATCACTAACAAAGGGATTGAATCATTAATTTAAAAAACAACAACAACAAAAAAAAAAAACTCCAAACAAAGAAAAGCCCAGGACCAAATTACTTCCCTGGTGAATCCCACCAAACATTTAAGGAAGCATTAATACAAATACTTCTCAAATTCTCCAGCAAATTTGAAGAGGAGGGAATACTTATAACCTCATTTAATAAGAAGAGCATCACTCTGCTATTATAGCTAGACGAAGACACCACGTGAAAAGAAACTACAAGTCAATATCCCTGATGAATATAGAGGTAAAAATCCTTAATAAAAGGATAGCAGACAAAATTCAACAGCACATTAAAAGGATCATACACCATGACCAAGGGGAATTTATCCCTGGGATGCAAGAATGATTAAACATATAAAAATCAATTAATGTGATACACCACGTTAACAGAATAAAGGATAAAAATCACATGATCATCTCAATAAATGCAGGAAAAGTATTTGACAAAATTCAATATCCTTTCACGAAAAAAAAGAAAACTCAACAAACTAGGAATAGAAGGAAATTGCCTCAATATAATAAAGGCCATATACCAGGCTCAGTGGCTCACTCCTGTAATCCCACCATTTTGGGAGACCCAGGCGGGTGGATCACCTAAGGTCAGGAGTTCAAGACCAGCCTGGACAACATGGGGAAACCTCATCTCTAGTAAAAATACAAAAGTTAGCCGAGTGTGATGGCGGGTGCCTGTAATCCCAGCTACTCGGGAAGCTGAGATAGGAGAATTGCTTGAACCCGGGAGGCAGAGGTTGCAGTGAGCCAAGATCACCCCACTGCACTCCAGCCTGGGCGACAGAGAGAGGCTCTATCTCAAAAAAATAAAACAAAATAAAAATAAAGGCCATAGGCTGGGAGCAGTGGCTCACGCCTGTAATCCCAGCACTTTGGGAGGCCAAGGCAGGTGGATCATGAGGTCAGCAGATCGAGACCATCCTGGCTAACACGGTGAAACCCCGTCTCTACTAAAAATACAAAAAATTAGCTGGGCGTGGTGGCGGGTGCCTGTAGTCCCAGCTACTCAGGAGGCTGAGGCAGGAGAATGGCGTGAACCCGGAAGGCGGAGCTTGCAGTGAGCCGAGATCGCGCCACTGCACTCGGGCCTGGGGGACAGAGCGAGACTCCGTCTCAAAAAAATAAAAAATAAAAATAAAAATAAATAAAGCCTATATATGTAAAAACTACAGCTAACGTTATACTCAATTGCAAAAACAGAAAGTTTTCTCCGTAAGAACAGGAACAAGGCGAGGATGCCTACTCTCACCACTTCTATTCATCATTTGGTTTTCAGTTGTGTGGAATCTCTTTTTCTATCCCTTCACTTTCAGTCTATATGTGTTTTTATAAGTGAGGTGGGTTTCTTGTATGCAGGATATAGTTGGGTCCTGTTTCTTTATTCATTCAGCCATTTTATGCCCTTTAATTGGAGAATTGAGTTCATTTACATTCAGTGTTATTATTGATATGTACGGACTTAGTACTGCCATTCTGTTGCTTGTTTTCTGGTTGTTTTGTAACTCCTCTCTTCCTTTCTTACTGTCTTCCTTTTTGGTTCAGTGATTTTCTCTGGTAGTATGTTTTAATTTGTTTTTTATTTTTAGAGAATCTGTTATAGATTTTTACATTATGGTTACCATAAGGCTTACAAAAAACATATCATACATATAATCAGATATTTTAAAGAGATGACAACTTGGTCGGGCATGGTAGCTCACATGTGTCATCCCAGCACTTTGGGAGGCTGAGGTGGGTAGATTGCTTGAGTTCAGGAGTTCGAGACCAGCCTGAGCAACACAGTGAAACCCCGTCTCTACTAAAAGTAAAAAAATTAGCTGGCCGTGGTGGAGCGTGCCTGTAATCCCAGCTACTGAGGAGGCTGAGGCAGGAGAATCGCTTGAACCCTGGAGGCAGAGGTTGCAGTGAGCCAAGATGGCACCACTGCACTCCAGCCTGGGTGACAGAGCAAGATTCCATATCAAAAAAAAAAAAAAAGAGATGACAACTTATCTTAGATCACAAAGAAAATAATAGAGACAAAGAAAAAAACAGAAAAATAAAACCTTCTACAGCTTAACTTCATTCCTCCACATTTTAACTGTCTCAATTTGCATATTTTTATGCTGCCCAACTCATAGCAGGTTGCTATAGCTATTATTGTTTTTGGTAAATTTGTCTGTTGAGCTTCATACTGGAGTTATGAGTAGGAAATAATAATACAGTATTACAGTACTCTGGGTTTGTTTGTGCAGTCAATTTTACCAGTGGGTTTTATACTTTCAATTTTTTTGGCACGTTAGTGTTGTTTTCTTTCAGATTTGAGAACCCTCTTTAGCATTTCTTGTTAGATAGATCTGGTAGTGGTAAATTCTCTTAGCTTTTGTTTGTCTGGGAAAAAAACTTTATCTCCCCTTCAGATTTGAAAGATAATTTTGCTAGATATAGTATTCTTGAATGTCAGTTTTTTTCTTTTGGCACTTTGAAAATGTCATTCCATTCCCTCCTGGCCTGTATGGCTTCCACTGAAACGTCTGTTGCCAGATGAATTGGAGCTCCTTTATAAATTATTTGCTTCTTTTCTCTTGCTACTTTTAGGATTCTCTCTTTGTCCTTGACCTTTGAGAATTTTATTATTACATGCCTTGAGGTAGTCTTATTTGGGGTCAAAGCTATTTGGTGTTCTCTAACCTTCCTGTGCCTGGTTATTTATAACTTCACCAAGTTTTTTAAAGTTTTCTGTTATTATTTCTTTGAATAAGCTTTCTACCCTGTACTCTTGCTCAGCTGCCTTTTGAACATCCATAATTCTTAGATTTGGTCTTTTAAGGTAATATTTTTGTATCTTGTAGGCAATCTTGCTGTTCATCCTTTTTGTTTCTCCTCTGTTTGTGTGTTTTCAAATAGTCATCTTCTAGCTCATCGATTCTTTTCTCCACTCTATCAATTCTGCTGTTGAGACCCTCTAATAAATTTTTCAGTGTAGCACATATATTTTTCAGTTTCATGATTTCTGTTTGATTTTTTAAAATTATTTCAATCTCTGTTAAATTTTTCTGATAAATTTCTGACTTGCTTTTTTGTGTTATCTTGGAGATCCCCTAAAACTACTGTTTTAAATTCTTCTTCAGAGAGCTCACATATCACCATCTCATTAGGGTCAGTTACTAGTTCCTTGCTTTGTCTGTTTGGGGAGATCATGGTTCCTTGTTTGCTGTTACTTCTTATGGATGTATGTCTATGTATTTGTATTGCTTTAATTATTTATTCCAGTCTTCTCTAACTGGCTTGTTTAGGTTTTTATTAGATGTGTTTGCTTGGATGTTCTTTACTATTTGGTCACTGCCTCCCCTTTGGCTCTAGGTGGCACCTTAAGCCCAGGTTCTCCTCAGCTCTAGTAAATAATTGAAGCACTGTCCTTCCTGAATGCAGAAGCTCCTAAAGGGGATATCCCAGCATTGTGGGAAAGCTGGCTAGGGGTTTGTGCCCAGGGGACCTGTGGAATGAACCACCTTCAGCGTGGTGTGCTACTGTGATTTGGCATCTCCTTTGGCCAAGTTACAGAGCAGAGTTCCCAGGGCTGGAAATGGTAATCATAACTCCCACTTTGTCTCTGCCTGTCTTCAGGGATATTTCTCTCTTCAGACACTCTCGATGCTACCCGTGGCTTAAGGAAGGGACAAATCTCCTGCCAGGGCATCCAAGATGGTTGTCCACCTTAGTCTCACTGTTTCCAGTGTAGAGACAGTGAATTGGGGGAAAATATTTCTGCATGCTTGGTGCTGGGCAGAATGGAGGGAGGAGCATCACAGATGTGGAAGTCCTATTCTCTGCTCAGAATTTTTTTCACTTCTCTGAGGCCCTGGGAGCTATCTCATCTTCATATTTGAGTTCTGGCGTATTTTTTAGGATAATCTCAGCACTCAATGTTTGTTTTTGGTTTTCTGTGAAGGGGAGTAAATCCAGCTTGCTTCTGCACCACCATTTTGGAACTGGAAGTCCTCTCAGTAAGCATCTTTATGATGGGTATTTCTGGACATTTATCTTGTTCCTTTTTGTTTGGAACATATTTCCCTATTTATTCATTCACCTTGAATATTTATTTATTAATTTACCTTGACTGTGTTGGTGTCTGCTCATTAGAAAAAAAAAGTCCACCTCTCCTAGTCTTCATGGACTGGCCTCATATAGGAGAATATCTTCATCAACCAGCCCAGCCAGAAATTCTGGGGCCTCAAACTTTTATTGCTAGTCCAACCTGCTTTCTTTATTTTCAGTGACTCCCAGGTATGTTTGGTCCAGTTGGTGCTCTGAGACAAGTGAAAAATGAAGCCAATTCCTTGGGAAGCCCCCCAAAAACTTAGATCATTAGACGCTGTCCAACTCTTTTCCTCCCCCAAGGAGCAGCTGGAATTTGAGTGTTGTTTTTTTTTTTCTACCTGCTCACTGTGCACCAAGCTGGGTGGCGGGGAGTGATGACTAATTATATGCTAGGTAAAAATTCTATCTTTCTTTCACTAGCCCCCAGGTGACTAGAATGCTAGGTTCCATTAATGCTCTGAGACAGGCAAGAAAGAAGCCAGTTCTTTAGGCAGCATCCAGAAAAGTTAGAGCATTGGATGTGTGGTCTCTTTCCCTCCCCACAGAGAAGCTGGGAGCTAGGGTTTTTCATTCACTAATTCTGTGCTGAGTGAGGAAATGGGGCTACGGAGACTGTCAGCCTAAACCTCTGTCTGTCCGCAGGGCACGGTGGCTCACGCCTGTAATCCCAGCACTTTGGGAGGCAGAGGCGGGCAGATCACCTGAGGTCAGGAGTTTGAGACCAGCTTGGCCAACATGTTGACACTTCATCTCTACTAAAAATACAAAAATTAGCCGGGCATGGTGGCGTGCCGCCTATAGTCCCAGCTACTCGGGAGGCTGAGGCAAGAGAATTTCTTGAATCCGGGAGGTGGAGGTTGCAGTGAGCCGAGATCATGCCACTCCAGCCTGGGTGACAGAGCAAGACTCCTTCTCAACAAGCAAAAAACAAAAAATAAAATAAAATAAACCTCTGTCTCTGTTTACCCTAGACCTCAGGCAGCTAGATTATGCTGGGTTCTATCAGCACTCCAAGACAAACTCCAGTCATTTGGACAGTGCCTGCAAAAGGTGGGGCATTGGGCATGCAGACCAACTCTTGCTGTTCCTTGGGAGAAGCTGGGAGCTAGGGTTTTTCATATGCTCACTCTGTGCTAAGCTGGGGTAGGAGCTATGGCAACTGTCAGCTCAAACCACTATCTTTACTCTCTTCTAGATGATTAGGGT
Source organism: Homo sapiens (assembly GCF_000001405.40). Taxonomy (NCBI): domain Eukaryota; kingdom Metazoa; phylum Chordata; class Mammalia; order Primates; family Hominidae; genus Homo; species Homo sapiens. The sequence goes on along the minus strand of NC_000005.10, from coordinate 155,026,279 downwards.
ATGCTGGGTCCTATCAGTGGTCCAAGACTGGCAAGACAGAAGACAGTCCTCAGGAACCTCTGAAAAAGCTGGGGCATTGTACATGCAATTCAATTCTTTCCCTATTCAGGGAGAGGCTGGAAGCTAGAGTCGTGGTTCTTCTCAATCTTATGGCACTGTGCCAGGGGTAAGGGTTGAGGTGAGAGGGCGTCAAATTTTCCTACTGGCTTTGATGTGTCAAGTTTTGCACTCACCCAGGGTGAAAGAGCCTCTCAACTAGTTTCTGTATTTCTCACAAAGGGAATTTGTCCATGAATTGTTGTTGAATCAGTGTATTTGTTGGGGGAAAGGAGAGTCTAGGGCCTCTTATTCCACCATCCTGCTGCCCCAGTACTTTTTAAAAACTTTTTTCAACCAGCAAATATTTACCGGACATCCATCCACTCTGCATCTGGCACTAAGTAGGTCTTGGGACACAGTAGAATGTAAAACAGAAATTGCCCCTGCCCTCAGAAAAAGTATATTCTAGTAGCATAGGCAGGCAGAAGCAAGTAAAGAAACAAATAAAATAATTACAAATTGCATAAGTTCTACCAAAAAACAATGAGGAGATGACACGCAGAATAACAGTGAAGTTTAAGGAAAGAGGAGGTAACATTTCAGCTGAGATGCAAAGAATAAGGCAAGAAGGCCATTAAAAGAGGTGTGCCTTTGTATAATTCCATTTCTAGAAAACATCCAGAAAAACAAATATATAGACATAGAAAGTAGATTAGTGGTTGCCTGGAGCTGGGGGTGATATGGAGAGTGACTGTAAACGAGTATGGGGTTTCTTTTGGGGATGATAGAATTGGATTGTGATGGTGGTTGTATAACTCTGTAAATACACGAAAAAGATTATTGAATAGTACATTGAAAACAGTTAAATTTTATGATGTAAAATTATCTCAGTAAAGCAAGAGAGGGGGGAAAGAAAGAGAGAATAATGACTGGGAAACAATCTTTTCTGAAGGCCCCCTGACCAGCTCTCATGAAACTCACAATGCTTCTCCCGGGTTGCTCAAGATTCTGATTCGTGAATTAAAGGGACTCTATAGGAGAAGACAAAGGGTTTTTTTTTTTTCCTTACTTATCTTTTGGGTTGCTCTGACTCAAAATAGAGAACATACATTAATTACTAAGAGTGCTACTTCACATGATCCTATTTGCATTATAAGTATACTGTTCCCGAATTGTGGTTCACATAAACAGAGAGAGAGAGAGAGGTGGGAATATTATCGCAGGTGGAGGGAACTGCAGGTACAAACGTTCTCATGTGGGAAGGCATGTGGCATGTGTGAGGAACAGAGAGGACACCCCTGATCTGGACACAGAGAGAGGTAGGAAAGTAAGAGAACTGAGCAGCCAGATCACGTAAGGTCTCCTAGGTCATGGTAAAAATCAAGTTGCTTTCAACTTTATAAAACACACCCATGCCATTATTTCCTAAAGTTATTCATGTCTTATTAGGTTGCTGCAAAAGTGATTGTGGTTTTTGTCATTACTTTCAATGGCAAAAACCACAATCACTTTTGTACCAACCTTAATAATAAAGAAAGGACAGAGTATAGAGAAATGATGCCAACCTGCTGTTTTATAACGTGCTGCCCCATACTTTCTCCCATTTGCTCTGCCCAATAACCCACCCCAAAGAATCTACTTTGTTAACTTCAGTTATCAGATGAGGAAATTGAAACAACTTGCCCAAGTTGATACAGCTATTAACATGAAACCTAGGAATTATTTTTATTTATGAATGAATTATCCTTACTTTTCTAATATCTGGCTTACCAAAATCCAGATTGTCAATCTCCCTGTATCAGTTATCTGTCACAGCATAACAAATTACTCTAAGATGTAGTAACTCAACCTTTAATATTGCTCAGGAGTCTATGGGTCAGCTAGGTGGTTGTGTTGACCTGGTCCTGACTCAGCTGATCTTCACTGGGCTTGCTCATGTGTTTGCAGTCACCTGGTTGGTCTAGGGTGACCTCACTAACATGTTGGTCATTGGCTGACTGGTCACTGGGGCAAAGGAAGTAACTGGGTCACATCCCTTTAATCATGCAACAGGCTGAGGTTTTTTACATGACAACAGCGAGGTTCCAAGAGAAGAAGTGAAAGCACGCAATGCTTAAAGACGTAGGCTTAGAAGGCCAGGCGGGGTGGCTCACGCCTGTAATCTCAGCACTTTGGGAGTCTGAGGCTAGCAGATTGCTTGAGCTCAGGAGTTTGAGACCAGCCTGGGCAACATGGCAAAACTGCATCTCTACAACAAGTATAAAAATTAGCTGGGCATGGTGGCACACTCCTGTAGTCTCAGCTGCTTGGGAAGCTGAGGTGGGAGGGGGCGACCGAGCCAGACCCTGTCAAAAAAAGAAAAAAAAACGACTTAGGTTTAGAACAGACACCTATCTCTTTTGCATTCTATTGGTCAAAGACAGTGACAAGGCCATCAGAATCAGGTATCTTTGCAAGGTATCTTTGCAATCCCATTTCACAAATAGCAAGAGGTAAGTTGTTCTTAAAGTACTAATGATTAGGAACTATATCTAGGGTCCTGCTGTTCCCTCTGATCACTGCTAGGTACCCACAGACACCTCTGGTTATAAGGAAGCACAAAAAAAATTATTATATCTGTTCATCAATTTGCCTGCTCCTTCTACATCCCCTTCTTAGAGATTCTTCTGCACAGTGTCTGGCTCGACCCCTCCACCCTGGCCATAGCTAAACCAGGTGAATGCACAAGGTGGACATTGGACCCAGTTGGGCCAAAGAAACTCTCTCTGTTTCCCAGGGCTGCCATAACAAATGACAACGACTGGGTGGCTTGAAACAACGGCAATTTATTCTCTTACAGTTCCAGAGGATGAAAATCTGAAATCAAGGTGTTGGCAGGATTGGTTTCTATGGCAAGCCCAAAGGAAAATTTGTTCCACTCTTCTCTCCTAGCTTCTGGTAGTTCCTGGTAATCCTTGGCATCCTTTGACTTGTGGAAGGGTAACTCCAATCTTTTCCTCTATCTTCACACAGCATTCTCTCCTATGCCTGTCGTCCTATAAAGACCTCAGTCATTGGATTAGGGCCCACACTAATCCAGTATGACCTCATCTTAATAAATTACACCTGTGAAGACCCTATTTCCAAATAAGGTCACATTCTGAGGTTCCAAGTAGACCATACATTTTGGGGATACACTATTCAACCCAGTACAGGCATTCTCTGTCCCAGGCATTTGGAGTCAAGACTTGGAAATGTCCATTTGCCTTTGTTGGCTCTTGAACAGAAAGGACATGTAAGGACTGAATGAAGTAGCCATTTTCTGCCATATACGTAAAAGCAGAGGACATCAGTCTGTACAGAGGAAAAGAATGAAGCAGATGTTTAGAGAGAAGCAGAGATGACAAATCATGCAAAAGATGCTGGGACAGACAGACAGACAGACAGATAGACAGACACACTTTCCATTAGTTTCTGAGGGTTTTCAGAGTCCTGGCTTAGTCCCTCATGGGGCCAGGTTGAACTTCCTACCCTTGCATTCCAGGAGATAGCTCTGTATCCTTATAATAAATGTCCTTCTTTAGGGTAAGTTATCTTGAATGGATTCTGTTTATTGAAACCTAAAGAGATCCTTAATGCCAGTGATGACCTTTTATCCTGCCAAGATAGCTTCCAGTCAGCATGACTAGGGCTTTAGCAGAAAGTATCAATCACAAAGTGGAAAGTCTCGTCCAGGATGTTGCTGCTGTCTCTGTTCCTGGCACAATGTTACAAGTAGTGATGGTTCCCAGGCCGATCACAAAAGCTTCTTTAATACTACAGTGCTATTAGCATGCTAGCTTAGCTACAGAACAGGAAGATGAATAGGTAGATGTTTAAAACTTCATACAAATAACTCAAGTAAATTCATACAATCTCTTTTAGGGCCTGCCAAAATTAGGGATATTTCTCCTCCCTTTCTAAACATTTTTTGTTTTGTTTTGTTTTTAATTTTACAAGAAAGAAAGAGACAGTGCCTGATCAACGTGTTTTCACTCTCCTTTTAATTGCAGATAGCTGCTATGTGAGACGAGTAATGTCATAATATGTTATAGACATTTTAACCATCTAATATCTTGTGAACATGTTATAAGTCGATCTTCTCCAAGAAAGAAGCCAGAACTCACTTTCCCAGGCTCCCTTGCTGCTCAGATTTAAGCACGTGATCTAGCTCTACCAGTCAGACATATGTGAGACTTCAGTTTGGAAATGAATCACATGAGAAGGCAGACACTATGCCAAATCCATATTTTAATGACTGAAGTAATGAAAGTATTGAGATTTAGGAGGCCGTAGTAGCACAGCTTCTGTGGTCCAGTCCCTCACATGATCAGTGATAGCACCATATGTATGCTGAGCAATAGTGTTGTCCTCATTGTAGTGACCCCACAGTGTGATTTGGGCTTGGTTTCTAAATGAATAGCCTCAGACTTCATCTCTGGCCTTCCCTGAGATTCTGTAAGCCTCTTATATCCTTTAATGAATTTCTTCTTTGAATAAACCAGCAAAAGCGGATTCTGTTGTTTGCATCTGAGAACCCTAACTGATATAAGATATTTCTAGCATTTCTCCTACCTTCTGCTGAAGGTGTAATTCTTTAACCTTCTACACTGTCCTCAATCCCTGAGCTGGCTTGTTATATGCAGGCAATGCAGCTGTTTCCTTTGAATGTTTTCCTCATGAAAGCAACTCAGAACCTATGATAGAGTCCCCCATCAAAATTGAAAGACATGTTTTTTATATGTTATGAAGACATAAAAGCAAATAAGCATAATTTCTAAATACTGAGGTTTAAAACAATAAAATTTTAATTCTGTAAACTGCCTCCATTGCAAAAATACAGACTTTTTTGAGGAGCACCAAGACCTCAGCATGCCTTGCTAGACAATATTAGTCATAGTCTCTTAAACATATCTGTTATCCCATGCCAGTGACAAGTGTCTCAGCCTCCAGAAAGCGTATCTTTTCAAGGGTCTTCCATGACTCAATCCATTGGTATATATAAAGTAGGTATATTTTTTCTGCAAATTTTTAACATGTATCTAATTATGCCACTCTACTGAGTAAAACTCAAGTCATTCCATACCATCTTTAGAAGAGTTCAAATGCCTTAGCATGGTATATAAAGCCAACAATGCCTGTCTCTCCAGCTCCATGTCTCACTGTGCTTTAAAACTCTAGTTCCTGCTGTCCACATCCCATTCTCCACCACACTCCACTACTTATGATTCATTCACTGAACAAAGTATTCTGTTCCTTACTTCTGTAGCTTTGCCCACTCTGCTCCCTCTGCTAGAGTCACCTTCTATATTTTGATAAACACCCATTTATCTATACTCAACACCAGTGTCAGTTACTTTAGGCTATCGGCACATGTAGATTTTCTCTTGATGACAACTCTTTTATTTCCAAGTAACAAGTCATTCCAACTGGTTTTAAATGGGCAAAAGATTTAAACAGATATCTTATGAAAGAAATTTTCCAACTGGCCAAATAAGCACATGAAACTATGCTCAATAAAACTAGTCATAAGAGAAATGCGAATTTAAACCACAATGAGATACCATTTTACATACTTTAGAATGTCTAAAATTACAAAAACTGACCATACCAAGTGTTCACTAGTATGTGGAAAAACGAACTCTCTTACATTGCTGGTGGGAGTATAAAAATGGTGTAGGTACTTTGAAGAACTGTTTGTCGGTTTCTTCTCAAGTTAAACATACATCTACTCATGACCCAACATTTCAATTCCCGAATATTAATCCATGAAAAATGAAAACATATGTCCACAAAATGACTCATAAAGGAATATTTATTACATCCTTATTCATAATAGCATAAAATGGAAATAATCCAAATACCCACCAATAGGAGAATGATAATCAAATTGTTATATATTCATAATATTGACTACTACTTAGCCATATAAAGGAACCAACTACTGATGGCAGTGGCTGCTGCCATCATGCCGGCTGCAGCAGGGAAGCGGGACTGGGGCTGCACATTCCATGGAGTCTGTGGGAGCCCTGCCCCTTCTGAGTTGAGACGGGAGCTCTCCCTGCAGCTGCAGCCACCCAACCTGCAGCTGCAGACCCAGGCCTCCTGCTCTACAAAGCAGGCAGGAGCCCCGCCCTCCTGGAGCTACAGCCGCCCAAACGTCAGCTGTGGATCCGAGCCTCCCTGTGCTCTTGGCGAAGCCAGGGACAGGCAGGATCTGCACCCCCAGGTGCAGAAGCATCTGCAACACCGGCAGCTGCAGACCTGGGCCTCCCACTCCAGGAAGCAGGCATGAGCTGGGCTGAGTTGGCGGGGCGGAAGCTCCCGGGAGCAGCTGCGGCCGCCCTCCCAGGCGCAGGACCCAGGCATCTCTGCAGCCTGCACCCTCCGGGGCCCCAGGAAGTCTCCCACCCCACCCCCACCCCACTCCCAGTCCCTGCAGGCTTGGGGGGTGTCTGCTTCCACTGTCTGGCCCCTCTTTGCCCTGCTCTGGTCTCAGAGCAGGGGTTGGGGCCGAGCCCCGGGGCCATGAATGACAGCAGGAGGCAGATTGATTCCTTGGCGGAAGGGGACAGGGTCCCCAGTAAGGCCCCACCCTCAGGCCAGGGAGGGCCTGAAGGCTGGGGGCTGGGCTGCCAGTCCCGCGGACTGGAGTGGGAATTCGTAGTGCCTCTTCCGGCTCCCCATGGCCGCTCATGGACCAATCAGCACATACTTTCTCCCCTTTGAGGTCCATAAAAGCCCTAGGCGCTCAGGCAGAGCAGGCCAGAGGACAGCCAGAGGAGGGAGAGGGCAGAGAGACGACGAGGGGACAACCAGCTGCAGAGCGGAGCACTCGCTCCGATGATAGCTGGAGGTGATGGGACGACCGGTGCAGAGAGTAGTACTCTCTCCACTGAGAGCTACAGAGACGACCTGCCGGCAGAGAGGAGCGACCCTCTCAGATGAGAGCTTCAGAGACCTGTAGAGACATCCAAATGACTTGTCTGCGGAGAGGAGCCACCCTCTCCAGGGTCTCCTCTCTGCCGAGAGCTGAACAGTTGATGGAACAACCTGCTTACAGAGGGAGCTACCCACTCTGAGCTGTTCTAATACTAGATAAAACTATTCACCCTTCACTTGTCTGTGTACCTCATTCTTCCTGGACGCTGGACAAGAACCCAGGCAAAGGTGCTGTGGCCACAGAGGTTTCTGGCCAGAAAAATCTACACCCCAGAGATCCCGTAACACTACTAATATACACAACAGCATGAATGAATCTCAGAAAACATGATGTGATTATATTATCAAAACCAAAGACATCATAAGAAAATGAAATGAAGAATTATATGCCATAACCTAGTAGAATGTATCCCAGGTATGCAAGTCTGGTTCAACATTCAAAAATCAATGTAATCACCTCAGCAGGCTAAAAAAGAAAAATTAACACGATCGTATCAATAGATGCAAAAAAAGCATTTGACACATCCAATACCCATTTATGATGAAAACTCTCAGTAAACTAGGAACAAAGTTGAACTTATCTTGATAAAGAATATCTACAAGAAACCTACAGCTAACGTCATATTTAATGGTGAGAAATTGGAAGTTTTCCCACTAGGATACAGAACAAGTCAAGGATGTCCTCTCTCTCCACTTTTTTTCAACATTGTACTGAAAATATTAGCTCACGTCATAAAACAAGAAAAGGAAATAAGTATACACATTGGGAAGGAAGAAATCAAACTGTCTTTGTTAATGGCCAGGTGCAGTGGCTCACGCCTGTAGTCCCAGCACTTTGGGAGGCCGAGGCGAGCAGATCAGTTGAGGTCAGGAGTTCAAGACCAGCCTGGCCAATATGGCAAAACCTCGTCTCTACTAAAAATACAAAAAATTAGCCGGGCATGGTGGCATGAGCGTGTAATCCCAGCTACTTGGGAGGTTGAGGCACAAGAATCACTTGAACCATGGAGGCAGAAGTTGCAGTGAGCTAAGATCACACTACTGCACTCCAGCCTGGGCAACAGAGTGAGACTCTGTCTCAAAAACAAAACGAAACAAAACTTATCTTTGTTCACAGATGGCATGATAGTCTATGAGACTTTTTTTTTAACAGTAGATGGGCTAAGGTTTATTTACTTAACATTTAAAAATAATTCATTTACTTCAACAACATGGCATACAATCAAGAGTACTATTGAAACACTTACAATTCAGAGGGGGTCAGGACAGGAAAGATCACAACCCCATTCCCGAGGTGGAGTGAAAGATCTGAGCCAGACCTCCATCCTAGGCCAGGCTCCTCCATTAAGCAGAGACAACCAAAAGATAAGAAAGCCTTGGCCTCATCCCCATCAGGAGATAGCCTGAACTGCTCACAAATAAGAAGGAACTTGATCATACTGAGGACTGGTTCCTGATGAGTCATTAGGAAAGTCTGTTGGTTCTCTCTTCAGCAGGTGGTTTAGCAGCCTTCTAGAGAGCAGAGAGCAGTAGTCTGGGGATGGAGACTGAGGGACAACATCCAACAAAGGTTACCTTCTTTTTAGTAATGCTTTGTTCCTTTTTTTCAACGGCAAGAAACCTGAAATCCAGAGAAGTCATTTAAAAAACCCCTTCTGGCTGCAACTGGAAAGCATCTCCCAAGCCAGATTGGGGGTAGAGATGATGACTCCAACTTCAGTGGGCCTCTTCTTCGATAGGGGAGCAGCCAGAGAAGAAGCTGGTGTTGCTAGCCAGAGCTCGTTTCTTTTTCTTCCCTGGAGGCTTATTTTGTTGGTATTCTGTTGCTCCATGTTTCGACTCTGGGAGGTCAAAAGGGGAGGGAGCTGGAGCAGTCTTCTTTGACAGCACCTGCTCCATGTCACACATCTCTTTCAGGATCTTGCTATTGGGGGTGGCACAGACAGGGTTAAAGAAGCTCAATCCTGGGGTCACCTCGGTAGGATCCTCCAGTTTGAAGGAGCCTTCGGAATCCTGGGTCTGTTCAACAGTGCCCAAGCTATCCTTGCCTTGCTGGCGGTTCCGACACTTTGTGGGGTCACAGCTACAGTCCACACCACAGTCTGACTTTTGCTTCCTGCACCCACACTGCTTGTTCCCACACCAGCCCTTGCAGGAACACCCTTGGATGTTCTTCCTGGACACCTTGACTAATTTTGTTGGCTTCCATTCCTCATCATCCCCCTCATCACTGTCGCCATCACCATCACCATCTTCATGCTCATTCACAGAATGCTCTGAACAATATTTTAGATCCTCGATGTCCATGCTTTGCTCCAGAAACTTTTCTTTAACACGAGAAGGTTTTGGCTTAGGTGGGATATATTCAAAAGAAGAGTCTGGAGATAGAAGGGTATCATTAGGAAGATGTTTCTGTCTGCTGGCTACCTGGAGGAGGATCAGTTTCTGCTTGATGATTTCATTCTCTTGGAGAAGCTGCTGATTTTGCTCACACACTTCTCGCATCTTCTCAAGTTCTTCATCCTGACACTGCAGTGTGCTCACCAGCTGTTGTTCCTTTTCACTGGCTGATTTCTCTAACTGCTTCTCTGCCATTTGGCTTTCCTGCAGCTGGCTGACAAGGTATAGCACCTTCTCTTGGTGCTGTTGCTCCATTCTGACCAGCTCAGCTTGTAACTCTGTCTCTATCTCAGAAAAATGATTTTGTTCCTCAAATAGCATCTTCTGCATGTCAGCACAGCTGGCCTTGCTCTGTCTCAGGCTGTTTTCAAGTTTGGTGACATGTATTTTGGAGGAGACCAGCTCTCCAATCAAATATTTCAGGGCACACTTGGCTTCCAGAATGGTGGCAATATTCTCCCAGCATTGTTTTGGCCTATCTTCACTTTCTGCATCCAGCAGCTTCTGCTGTAGGTCAGCAATCTGAGCACTCCTGAGTTCCATTTCAGTCTCTAGGCTTTCAATCTGTTTTGTAATACAATCTTCTGACTCCAAAACTTGACCATGCACCTCAGAAAGGGAGAATGTACACTTCCGGAGTTTAGGAGGTGGATTCTCCCGAGATTCCTTTTTTTCTTTGAGTTGAACCACATCCTGAGCCAGGATCTTTCTGTCTTCAAGGAGGTCATTCAGATGGCGTTTGGCTTCCTCAGTACTGACCATAACCTCAATTTCATTTCCAAGCCAATTCCTCACTCGAGCTGCAATACCTTCCTTTCCATGGCTCTGAGTCTCTTTCCGCTTATCTGTGACCTCTCGTTGTTTCTGGAGAGCATCCTTGAGTCGCTTGTTGGCAGCTGCTGCCTCTTCCGTTTTACGTCTGAGCACACTGGATTGTTTCTGGAAGTTTCTTTCAAGTTTGAGCAGCTCATATTGCCTCTTACGGTCTCGTTCTTTCAACTGTATTACTTCTTTGTCTTTTTTCTGCTTCCATTGTCTAAACTTCTCAGCATCCTCTTTCATTTGACGCATTAACTGTACCCGCTGGTTTTTCATCATCCATATCTCTTGGTTCAGCTTGGAGACAGTACGCTCTGTGGATTCCTTTAGTTTCAGAAGTTTGGACTGCTCATTCAGTTTCTTCTTCAGATCAGCTATTTGACCCTCCAGCTCCTGGAGAAGTTTGTGGCGGTGCTCACTCAGCTTGGCTTGGTTGACATTCTTCTTTGCTGTCTGAAGTTCACGAACCAATTCTTCCTTTTCCTTTTGCAGATTGATGACTTCTAATTCTAGATTTTTTATGTTATCCTGGTATTGAAACTGAATGGGCTGTAGTTGGTTGTCGTTCTGAGTCATCTTCCTAACTAGGGCCTCTTTCAGTGCAAGGGCGTTATTCAACTCAACCACCTCCTTAGACATCTGAGCTTGATGGAGAGCATGCTGAGTGGTAAAAGCGTCAGAAGACCTGCTTGTCTCTGGACTGGTTTCCACTTGAGCTTCTTCTTCTACCGCAGTATCAATGGCTGCAGCCGTGCAAGCAACAGTTTCATCTGATAACTGGGTAATCAGTTGCTGCAGGTTACAAATTATCTCTACATTTTCTTTCAATTCCTGGTCTTCCAAAGTCTCCACTAGCTTTTGAAGATCCAGCTTGCAGGCCACATGCTGCCTGAGCTCTTCTAGCTTGGCGTTCAGTTTTTCATTCACTTGCTCTGTCAAAATGATCCTCTCCAACATCTGGGCTGTCTGACCAGCTGCCTTGCTCAGACAACGACTTAATTTTTCATTCTCCTCTACCAGGGACTGATTCTTCTCCATCAGGGATTGTAGATTCTCTGATGGTTCTGCATTTATAGATCCAGGCAGGGTACCTCCATGGGCTTGTAGCAACAAGACTTGTAGCTGTTGTACCTGTTGCTTTAGATGATTAAGTTCAGCTGTGTGGGGATCAATATTAACAATAGGTTTGTTCTTGATTTTTCTTGCTCTGTCAGCATAGCGAAGGGTACTTAATGTTTCCTCTAGATTGGAGTCAGCAGGACTCACACAGGCTATCATAAGAGTGTGGCTGTTACCTCCTAGAGAATCTTGCAGCAGTCGAGTTAACTTGGAATCTCTGTAGGGCACAAAGCTACCCTTTTTGTCATCTCCAAGAGCACTGATTACATTTCCCAAGCATAGGAGGCCTCGGTTAATATTAATACCCTCTTTTAGACGATCCCCTTCAGCCTTGGTTTTCTTCTGTCTTTCTGATCCAGCGAGATCTACAAGATGCAGCTTGGAGCGAAAGCTGCAATTCTTGTCACTTTTCTTTCTTTGCTCTATGGAGATTGTAAAGATGGCATGAGATCGGGACGACTGGGAGTTCATAGCTGTGGAGGCCACAGTCCTAGAGTTGTTGCCCTGCTCCAAACAGGAAACAGTATCCAAGGCAACTAAAACAGTCTTCTCAGTGAGTCCCACAATCTTTATGCCTTCCTTAGGATCCTCCCGTATATTTATTTGAGCTTTCTCACGAGATGGGCATAGAAGATCCAAAATTTCTTCATTGTAAATCTCTAAGTAAGACACTTTCAGAGTAAATTCAAAGTCACTCTTTTTATCAATTTCTTTGAAGAGCAGTTGTATTACCCTAGGAATAATGCCAACTGTTGGTTCATTCTCCTGCTCCGCAGTGTATGCACCTCCCATTGAATAGGTTTTTCCAGAGCCAGTCTGCCCATAGGCCAGGACCGTTGCATTATATCCTTTAAATATGCCTTTTATGAGCGGCGCTACTGCTTTATTGAAGACTTCTTCCTGCTCAGTACAGGGGTCAAACACAAAATCGTAGGTGAAGGATTTATCAGTACCAACCACCACCTGAGTCTCCCCGGGCACGAAGGAAAGGCACATCTGGCAGCCCTCGCTAATCTCTTTGGGGACCAGAGGGCGACAACGCAGTGCCACTCTTACAGGAATTCCCTTCACCTCTTCCTTCATGATCCTATCTCAGCACCGTCTCAAACTAAATGTCCCTTCCCCGTTCACCCGGGGTCTCCCGCCGCCCTGTCCCAGCCGGAGCTTTAACCGCCAAGTTTCAAATCCCTCCCAGAGACACCAACCAATTGCAGTGCAGGCGGCCCGAGGGCGGAGCGCGCACGTCCGCGCGCGCAGGCCAGCACGGTGGGAAGGGGAGGGTAAATCGAGAAATTTCTTTTTAACCAACAACAGAAAAATGTCCTGGAACTAATAAGTGAGTATAGTATAAACTTAAAGGATACAAGGTTAATACACAAAAGTAAATTGGTTTCCTATATACCAACAGTGAATAAGTGATATTCAGAATTGAAAGCACAATACCACTTACATTAGCACTTAAAAAATGAAATAGGTATAAACCTAACAGAATATGTATGAGATCTACGTGATGAAAACTACAAAACTCTGATGAACAAGATCAAAGGGGAACTAAATAAATGGAGAGATATTTTATGTTCATGGATAAGAAGACTGAATATCGTAAAGATGTCAGTTCTTCCCAAACTGATCTATCCATTCAATGCAATTCAAATCAAAATCCCAGCAAGTTGTTTTATAGATATTGACAAACTGACTCTAAAGTTTATATAGAGAGGAAAAAAAAAATACAATGGCAAACATAATATTGAAGGAGAAGAACAAAGTCATAAGACTGACACTACCCAACTTCAAGACTTACTATAAAACTACAGTAATCAAGACAATGTGGTATTGGCAAAAGAATAGACAAATAGGCCAATGTATTAGAGTAGAGAGACCATTTAGATACAGTGAATAGACCCACATAATATAGTTAAATGATCTTTGACAAAGAAGCAAAGGCAATACAATGAAACAAAGATAGTTTTTTCAACAAATGGAACAAATGGTGCTGGAACAACTGGACTTCTGCATGTTAAAAAAAAAAAAAAAAAATCAGACCTTACAGCCTTCACAAAAATTCACTCAAAAGGATCATAGTCCTAACTGTAAAATGCAAAACTATTAAACTCCTAGAAAATAACATAGGAGAAAACCTAGATGAATTCAGGTGTGAGATGACTTTTTAGATATAACACCAAAGGCACAATCCATGAAATAAATCATTAATAAGTTTCATTAAAATCGAAAACTTCTGCTCTTCAAACAAAACTGTCAAGAGAATAAGAAGAGAAGCCATAGACTGAGAGAAAATATTTGCAAAAGACACATCTGATAAAGGAATATTATCCAAAATATACAAATAACTCTTAAAATGCAACAATAAGTGAACGAACGACCTGATTTTAAAATGGGCCAAAGGCTTTAGCAGACACCTCACAAAAGAAAATATAAACATGGCAAAAAGCACATGAAAAGATGCTCCACATCATATTTGGTCAGGAAAATGTAAATTAAAACAATAAGATACTACTACACACCTACTAGAATGGCCAAAATCTGGAACACTGACAACATCAAATGCTGACAAGGATGTACAATGCTAAGAGTGAACCCTAATGTAAACTATTGGCTTTGAATGATAATGATGTGTCAGTGTATGTTCATTAATTATAACAAATGTACCGTTCTGGTGCTGGATGTTGATAACATGTCTGGGGGAAGGAGGCATGTGGGAAATCTCTGTACTTTCCTCTTAATTTTGCTGTGAATCTAAAACTGATCTAAAAAATGTTGTCTTTTTACAAAAAAAAAAAGTTGAGCAAAAGATGCAAGACAAAAGAGCAAAAACTGTACAGTTCCATTCACATGAAATTCTAAAACAAGAAAAAAATAAACTGTGGTCATATGAAATAGAAGTCAGAAAGTGGTTGCTGGGGGAATGGGGGGCAGGGGAGGATTGACTAGAAAGTGACATAAGGGGTGCCCTTTGGGTGTGATGAAAATGTTTTAGGTCCTGTTTTGGATGATGGATGCTCAAGTTATATATTCGTGGAAACTTATCAAATTGAATATTTAATCTGTACATTTTAAGATCTTAATTGTATCTCCGTTAAAAATAAGGTGGCTTTAAAAATTGATCTCCTCTACCGATTCAAAAATGTACATACACACATTCTTCCTCTAATTTCAGTGTGTTCCCAGACCTCAGAGGTTCACAGAATTCAGATTAAGAACTCCTGGACTAAATGACTTCTAAGGGCTTTCCAATATCTCACATTCTCTAAAGGAAAAAGAGTTCTGGAATCACAATGCAATTACAGAGTCAGCAGGGAAAAATGATTACCCCAAATTCCATTTACTCATATTTCACCTACAGCCTAAAGCAAGAAACACACACATCTTTCTTGGAAGTTAACTGCAAAGGTCAGTGTCTTCATTCTGGCCTGGTGGAGTGGAGGTGGAAGCCAGGGAACTCATCATAAACAACAGCATGGACTGGAGAAGGCTGCTAGCTGGAGGAGATATGTCATGAGGAAGAAGCCCTAGTTTGGAGCCTTGGCTTTACCACCAACAAACTGAAGGACCTAGAGGGAATCTGGGAATCAATCAGTCCAACTGTGTCTTTTTTTTTTTTTTTACTTTTTTTTTTGGTTTTTTGAAACAGGGTCTGACTTTGTCACTCAGGCTGGAGTGCGGTGGCATGAACATGGCTCACTGCAGGCTCTACCTCCTGGGCTCAAGTGATCATCCATCCCATCTCAGCCTCCCAAGTACCTGGGACTACAGGTGCATGTCACCACGCCTGGCTAATTTTTGTTCAATTGTTTGTTTTTGGCAGAGATGGGCTTGCACCATGTTGCCCAGGCTGGTCCCAAACTCCTGAACTTAAGGGATCCTCCCACCTCAACCTCCCAAAGTACTGGGATTACATGTATGCACACCACACCCAGCCAACTGTGTCATTCCAAAGAGGAGCACATTGAGTCCTAGCGAAGGAGACTGAGTGGCTCAGCAAGTTTCTAGCAGACCATAGATTAGAACCCTCCCTTATCAAACCCAATTGTTTTGGACCCTGTTGCCTTGTTTGCCCAGTCACTATTTTCTAAGAATTTCTTCTTCTTCTCATTATGCATAGGGTTATAGAAGTTGCTATATTTCTTCAGTGTAACCCACCTTATCTGGCCTATGGTTTACAGATCCAGATGTGAGTATCTGACTCAGGTTATGCCAATCTGTCTTTTCCAGAGAGAGAGCAAGAAAGATGACAGAGAGCGAGAGAGAGAGAGAGAGAGGAAGAAGAGAGAAGGGAGGAGGAGGATAGAAGTAGGCCAAGAGAAAAAAGATTCCATCTCCTATTAGATGCTTACACTACCCATACAAACTATGGAGCCGTCAGCAATGGCCAGTATCTGCCCCATGTCTAGGAAATCTGTAAATCAGACGTGCCCAGAAACTAGAGCTGCTGGTCAGCTTCCAGATTATTTCTATAAAGCTGCTGAGAGTTCAGAGATAATTCAAGAGGTGCTTAGTCCAGAGGCCATAAAAAAGCTGTGGGAGAAATTAAACCTAATGGTGGCAACTAAGATTGAGAGTTGGCATATGAACTAAAAAGGAGTATCTCTGAAGCTGAGATTCCTTATTCTAAGGAAAGGATGTGTGAAAAGATGTGACTATTTATCATACAGTTACTTATATTAGCAAAAAATTGAAAATTGCCTAAATGTCCAAAATAAAAGTGTTAAATGTGATTTAGCCCTGTGATAAAACATTATATAAACATTAAATATCCTGTCCTAGAAGAATACTTAATGATTTGGCCATTGCTTTCCATATAATGTTAAGTATAAATAGAATACAAACTATATAAAACATAATAATTCCAATTTTGTAAAAGCATAGCAACTTATTTATATTTACATGCATAGAAAAAAAGCCCGGAAGAAGAAAACATGCTAACAGATGTTATCTTTGGTAAATCAGATTTGGTTTTGTTCCAACTGGTCTCTGGTTACCTAACAGAATTAAGGACAGGGAAAAGCAACTTATTCTACTTCTACCCAATCCACCCAATTAAATTAAATACCCTAAATGCCACATTTCTTAAAGGGGAAAAGGGACGTATCTATTGGAGTTGTAGACGAAGAGGAAAAATGGCACCAACTCCATGTCTTTCTAAATGTTGTACTATTGGCCCCAGGCAGGGTGTTTTCAGAATCCTAAGCATCACTCTTGAGATAATGTGGCAAGCAGCAGTTGCAAGGTAATCACCCCTCATGACTCCAGTTTGTTTTGCCACTGGGTTCCTGCCAAAGATGCTTGTTCCGGAGAAACCAAAGTGGTCAAGGTGGCTCTCAATGTGCCACCTGATGAAATGGATGTGACCTATAGCATCCCAGCTTGTCACCTGGGCTTTGTTTTCTCATAGTACCCATCTTGTTTTTATCATCGGTGGTCTCTGACACAAAATTGTCTTTAGAGAAACAAGGGCATGGTATTCACTGAATATTTACTCATAAGTAGGGGTAATAATAAAAATATGTAACAACCTGATCAGCACATCCTCCATCCCTTCTGTGCCAACAGAAATAGGCACAGCAACAGCTCTGGAGCCATGTTCTAGAGGCCCTTTGCTGTTCTCAGCATTAACCTTTCAGTTGCTGGATCATGAGGAGGGCAGGGGAGGTGGTTTCTGGGGAGGGCCAGGGTAGGGGGAGTCACGGGGAGAGATCATTTGGGATGCAAAGCAGCATCTATTACCAACTGTATGAACAGAATTCAATATCTTAACAACCAGTGCGGTCATGCCAGTGTAGAGTCCCACCCATAGACCTGGGCAGGAGGGGCCCCGCTCCATTTTAGAAGATCCCACATGTCATAAAAAATCTGTTTATTAAAAAATATATTGGCCCCTTTGTCCATCAGTGCTCAACTCTAGTAAGCATGGCCCATTCCCTGAACACTTGCTCTCAAGACCAGCACCATCTAGGCCCCAGGGAAGCAGCCCTGCTCTGGCTCTGTGTCCTTGAACACAATGAGTCCAAATGCCATGAAGGTTTGCGGATTGTGTCACTGCTGACATCAAAGACAGGCAGTGATTCAGAGTGCACAGAGCATTTGTGTGATGGGAGTGGTCAGTTTAGAGAAAAGGCAAATTAATTCATTTGTCACATCCTTCCACAAAGATAACGCAAATGTGATAAATTCTAAATAATCAAGTATCATTTCCCAGTAGTGCCGAGTGTCCTTTTTTCTTGTCTTTGTTGCTTCAATATGTATTCCAGAGATATTCACAAATTAACATGGTATTCATAATTCATGATATTCAAAAATTAACATGGTACTCATAACATGGCACTCAATGACTAAGGTATATTTGCCATATTCACAATTTATCCATATGTGCTGTCATGGAAAGGTATTTGGAATTTATTAAGTAGAATAATAAGGTGCTGGGATCACACCTGTAATCCCAGCACTTTGGGAGGCCAAGGCGGGCAGATCACCTGAGGTTGGGAGTTCGAGACCAGCCTGACCAACATGGAGAAACCCCATGTCTACTAAAAATACAATAATAACATTATGCTCCCATTTGTGGTTTTCTTTTAAGATCATATGCATAGAGACATACATTTGTGCAGGTAGAGTAAATTTCTGGAATTTTTTGTCTCAAGGGAAGGGGACTTGGGGGTCCAGCAACAGAGGATCTCACTCCTTATTTCATGCCCTTCTGAAGCGTTTGAGTATTTGGTTTTCATTCATAGATTTCTTTTCTCATATTTTTAAACTGGTATTTAATTTAAAAATTCCTTATACACTCAGTGATTTTCATTTGCTTTTTTGTTTACCTATATTTTCTAATTTTTCTGTGTTGAACATGTATTATTCAGTAACTTTTTGAATTCATAAAATTTATAGTCATCAATTTCCCTCACTAATTGGCCCAATGTGCTTCCATGGGTTGTCCTCCTTGTCTCTATAGCTGAGAATGTGTGGGTTTCTAGGTGTGTTGGGAAGTGAAGCTACTGCAGCAGGTGGTGGGGGGTTGTCTGAGAGAGAGAGAGGATGAAACAGAAAGACAGAGACAGAGACAGATATAAATATAGACAGAGAGAGAACAGAGACAGAGATGGAGAGAATAATCACAACAGCTGCCACAATCCCCCTGGATGAGCAAACCCAGGAAAGCAGCAAGGATAACTCTTCCTCCTAGGGGGTGTCAGGGAAGCTTCCCAGCAGCACTCTCATCTCTGAAAATCACAAGGTCCAGGCCACATAGATGGCATAGAAATTGCAACAGGAGCTGAGGCAGAGAAAGCAAGCAGTCCCGCTGCTAATGTTAAGTCAGTATCACTCTTTAGACTGCAGTGGCCCGCAACAACCAGCCTGCTAACCTTCCCAGCACCTAGGTGTCCTGGTCATTCCAGCTGCCGGCCCTCCAGTTTATGCACAAGCTGTCCAAGACTCTGAAACCAAAGCAAGAAGTCTCCTTGATCCTGAGCTTCATACCTCCAGCTCCAAATCCCTTAGCCTTCTTTTTAAAAATGCCTTTTAGCTCCATTTCATTTCATCTCATTCTAAAATCTACTACATCGTTTGGGGAAATGGGACTCTTTTGATCTGCGATTGCCTGATCATTCATAATTGATAAACTGCCTTGGGAAAAAAAAAAGTCACCATTAGCTGTTCCATTTGATATGCCCCAAGCCTCAATTATGGAAGCCCCACTAGTTGAATGGATCTTGATTCCAATGAGGCAAATCCATAAGTGAAGGGGGCAGGGAAGAACATGGGAAAGAGACAAAGAGAAAGTGACAGACAGAGACCAAGAGTCCAACCAATAGAAACAGATACCCACTTGAGAGCATGTTTGTTTATCTCAGCGACTTGCTCATAGTAAATGTTCAATAAATATCTGTTGAGTGGATGGATAATTGTTAATCTAGAACCAGAAATACCATTTGACCCAGCAATCCCATTAATGAGTATGTACCCAAAGGATTATAAATCATTCTACTGTAAAGACACATGCACATGTATGTTTATTGCAGCAATATCCACGATAGCAAAGACTTGGAACCAACCCAAAGTGCCCATCAATGGTAGACTAGATAAAGAAAATAAGGCACGCTGGCCAGGCACGGTGGCTTACACCTGTGATCCCAGCACTTTGGGAGGCCGAGGTGGGCAGATCACCTGAGGTCGGGAGTTCGAGACCAGCCTGACCGACATGGAGAAATCCCATCTCTACTAAAAACACAAAAAATTAGCCAGGTGTGGTGGCACATGCCTGTAATCCCAGCTACTCAGGAGGCTGAGGAAGGAGAATCACTTGAACCTGGGAGGCAGAGGTTGCAGTGAGCCAAGATCATGCCATTACACCACAGCCTGGGCAACAAGAGCAAAACTCCATCTCAAAATTAAAAAAAAAAAAGAAAAAGAAAAGAAAAGAAAATGTGGCACATATACACCATGGAATACTATGCAGCCGTGAAAAAGGATGAGTTCATGTCCTTTGCAGGGACATGGATGAAGCTGGAAACCACCATTCTCAGAAAACTAACACAGGAACAGAAAACCAAACACTACATGTTCTCACAATGAGAACACATGGACACAGGGAGGGGAACATCATATACCAGGACCTGTCAGAGGGTGGGGGCTAGGGGAGGGATAGCATTAGGGGAAATACCTAATGTAGATGATGGGTTGATAGGTACAGCAAACCACCATGGCACGTGTATACCTATGTAACAAACCTGCACATCCTGCACATGTATCCCAGAACTTAAAGTATAATTTAAAAAAAAAAAAAGAATTTTCATCAGGAAAGGATGTTGAAAAAAAAAAAGAATGCTCTGTTACTGTAATTTATATGTGCCTGGGTGCAATTTCACTATTCAAGATGTATGTGTATAATGTTCAATCACATCAGTTCTGGGGGCAGTGGCATGCTTAAAACATCTGAGCAGATGGCTCTTTTCTGGAATATTCTATTGCAATGTAAAATCTCACGCACACAGACACACACAATGACCTGACCCCAAGATAGTTTTAATAGGCATCCAAGCACCCAAACAGGGGGGTTACTCACACCAAATCATGTGTGTAGAGTCTCAGTAGGCAAGAAAGTTAGAATTCAACCCCCACAAAACACAGCTTTCACATCACTGCAGCTACCTCTACTTAATTCTTATCAATTTGCTTTGAAAAGCCTGAGATGGGCCTTTTTGAGCTCTGAGCTGGGGTGACTGCAGCTCTCCTCAGAAAATTTGATCAGCAAGCTACTTGCAAAATTCAAAGTCCAAATCCCTAATCGCAGGTAACTTGTTTTCAAATAATGATACCACCTGGAAAACATACAGTGCTTCATATTTTCAAAGTGCCTTTACCCACATGGCCACATTTGACCCCCTCCTAACACTGGCAGCCAGGCAGGGCAGGGAAGGAGAAACCATGAGAGGCAAGGTGATATGCCCAAGCCTGCATACGTGGAAAGTGATGCCCCAGCTGTACACCACGGATGAATCAGAAATAAAACCCCAACCCTAGGGTCTTTCTGTGATGGGTGGGAAGCCTTGCATTTGACTGAGCTGCAAATTTTACATGTCATTACCCTACTAGCTTACTTGAATATTCACACTCATTCTCTCCTACCTTGGGGCCTTTTGTCCTCCCTCTGCCTGGAATACTCATCCCTCCTACCTCTCACTCCCCAGAATAGCCACTTCTTTCTCATTCTTCACATCTCAGCTCAAATGCCTCCTCAGAGAGGTCTTTCCTAACCACCCTTTCTAGGAGGTAAGCCCCCACTATCACATACGTTGCTTTATAGTCTGCATTGAACTTAGCACTTTCTGAAATTGTTTTGGGTACTCATCAGTAATAATTTCTTGTTAATCACCTATTTCACCACAAGAACAAGAATGAGGACAGTGATAGTGACAGGAGGCAACCAAATGCCCAGGTAGATAGGGGCAGACCACCAGTGAAACCCCACCTTCCAGCCAAAAAACAGCCTGAAGTCTGAAAGATCAGACTGCTGGTCCCAGATGAAACCCACAAGCCAGAGTGAGAACTTCTGTTCTTGTTTGTCCACCCTTTCCCTATTGAGTCTTTCTGAATAATGCCTCTTAACCAATCAAATGTTGCCTTTTCCAATACCACCTATGGCCCTGCTATTCTGAGGCCATAAAAGCCCCAGACTCAGTCACACTGGTTCCCCGCATTCAGTTAGGGGAACGTCCTGTCTCCACAGAAAGCTGTTTCATCACTCAATAAAACTCCCTGCCTTGCTCACTCTTTGATTGTCAGCATATCCTCATTCTTCTTGGATGCTGGACAAGAGCTTGGGACCCACTGAGAACGGGTACCCAAAAAGGCTATGACACTGGCCTTTTGCGCCTGCCAGCAGAGGGCAGCCATTCCACATGATGGGGCCAGGGGCTGACTGAGCTGCTAACATGCCACCATCCATCAGGCTGTGTATGGCAGAACTAAAAGAGCTAATTAGCACCCTAACACTCCCTCTGGAGCTTCTCTGTCATGGGCACCCTTGCACCTGGTCTGGCCATGGGCCCCACACAGAGCTTGCTCCTGTGTCATGCTCGGAGTGGCCGGCCAGATCCCACACTGGCTCGCTCATATGCTCCCTCCCGGAAGGGGCTGAGTGCGGCAGGCCAAGTAGACAGGGCACCACTGCTGCGAGTCCAGCAAAGGGGCCGAGAGAAAAATCTTCTGTCAACAGGAACCTGGCCCAGCTTGTTCACTATTATATCTCAAGTGCCCAGAACAATGCCTGGTATATAGTAGTTGCCCCCAAATATTTTGAGGGTTACTAAACTATTTTATTAATATTCATTAATGACTTGTAAAGCAAACAGGACAGTGTTAGTATTCCCACTTTACAGATGAGGAAATGGAGTCCCAGAGAGATTAGGTGACTTATTCAAGGGCACACAACTGGAAAGTGACAGAGTTGGGAAAAGAACCCAGGTCTTTGACATCAAGCCCAATGCTATCTCCACTATATAGTTTTTTAATATAAAATTTGGGAAACGAGAAATTATTATTAATCAAGAATTATTTTATATAACATTCATTCACTCAACGAAAAATTTTGAGCATTTACTAAGTCCAAGAAAGTCCATTAAACACTGTGGGAGATAAAAGGATAGAGATAGGATATACTTCCTGCCTTCAAGGAGCTTACCATCTTCTAAGGGAGTTAAAATAAGTGCACAAATATCCATAAAATAAAATAAGAAGTTTTAAGTGCTGTTATGGATTGAATTGCGTCCTCCCATCAAAATTTATATGTCAAAGTCCCAACATGCAGTTCCTCAGACAGTAACCTTATTTGGAGACAGGGTGTTTAAAGAGGTATTCAGGGATACACGAGGTCATATGGGTGGGCCTTAATCCATGCGCCTGTATTTGGTATAGCATTTCAAATAGTAAATTAAAATGAGGCATCTAGGATGGGACCGTAATGCAGTATGACTGGTATCTCTGTAAGAGGAAGAAAGACCAGTTGCAGTGGCTCACGCCTGTAATCCCAGAATTCTGAGAGGCCAAGGCAAGAGGATTACTTGAGACCAGGTGTTCAAGACCAGCAACACCACAGAGAGATTCCCATCTCTCTTTTTTTTTTTTTTTTTTTTTGAGATGGAGTCTCACTCTGTGACCTAGGCTGAAGTACAGTGGCACGATCTCGGCTCACTGCAACCTCTGCCTTCTGGGTTCAAGTGATTCTCCTGCCTCAGCCTCCCGAGTAGCTGGGATTACAGTTGCCCGCCACCATGCCCAGCTAATTTTTGTATTTTTAGTAGAGGTGGGGTTTCACCATGTTGGTCAGGCTGGTCTCGAACTCCTGACCTCAAATGACCCACCCACCTCGGTCTCCCAAAGTGCTGGGATTACAGGCATGAGCCACTGTTCCCGGCCCCATCTCTTTAAAAAAAGAAAAAAAAAAAAGCCAGTCATAGTGGCATGCACCTGTAGCCCCAGCTACTTGGGAAGCTGAGGTGGGAGCATTGCTTGAGCCCAGGAAATTGAGCCTGCAGTGAGTCATGATTGTGTCACTCCAGCCTGGGCCACAGAGTGAGACTCTGTCTCAAAAAAAAAAAAAATAGGCCATGAGAGGACCTGGTAAGCAGGTAGCTGTCTATAAATCAAGGAGAGATGCCTCAGGAAAACTAAGCCTGTCGATGCCTTGATCTTGCACTTCTAGCCTCCAGAACTGTGAAAAAATTAATTTATATTGTTTAAGCAACCCAGTTTATGGTATTTTGTTATGAAAGCCCTGGCAAACTAATACAAGTACCTTAATGAAAATGGAGAAAAAGTCCAGAGGCCAGTAAAAACTTCCAGCTAAGAAAACATCTGGGAAGCATCTTGGAGGAGACAGTATTTGATGTAGGCTTTAGAGGGCAAGTCAGATTTCTACATATGGAGATGGTAGGTGCTGGAAGCCAGCCTGAAAGTGCCTGTCAAGGTCAGTTTAAAGAGCGGGATTTTTCTTCTGTTGGTTTGGGGAAGCTTCGAAGGATTTTGCACAGGAGAGTGGTAAGAGCACAACCAAAACTGAGGAATAATAACCTGGCATCTTGTATAAAATAGGATGGAAAGAGAAGAGGAGGAAAACTTGAAGGAAAGTTGGGCGATTCCATCAGGAACTCAGGCAAGAAGTGCTGAGGACCTGAAATAGAGAATTAAATGTTTGTTTGTTTGTTTGTTTTTGAGATGGAATCTCGCTCTGTTGCCCAGGCTAGAGGGCAGTGGCGCAATCTCGACTCACTGCAACCTCCACCTCCCGGGTTCACACCATTCTCCCGCCTCAGCCGCCTGAGTACTGGGACTACAGGCGTCCGCCACCACGCCTGGCTAATTTTGTTTTTGTATTTTTAGTAGAGACGGGGTTTCACTGTGTTAGCCAGGATGGTCTCGATCTCCTGACCTCCTGATCCGCCCACCTCGGACTCTCAAAGTGCTGGGATTACAGGCGCGAGCCACCGTGCCTGGCCGAAATAGGGCATTAAATGTTATAGTGGACACTTCCAGTTCTTGCCTACGCAAGGTTCCATTTCTCCTATTTTTGAAACTGCTCCTCGATTTTCCTTTAGAGGACCAGCTTTCCCTCTCTCACAGCTCTGGTTATTTGAGTGGGCATGACACATGGGGTGACCATGTGCCCTGGGCCTCGCCAATTGCCTTCCTCCATTCTCCTGGCAACAGCGGTGTGTCAGTCTGCTCAGGCTGCCTGCTGTAACAGAGAATCACAGACTGGGTGGCTTAACACAGCAGAGAGTTCTGTTCTCACAGTTCCAGAGACTGAAAGTGTCATCAGGGCCATGCTCCCTCACAAGCCTCAAGGGAGGATCCTTCCTTGCCTCTTCCAGCTTCTGGTAGCCCCAGGTGTTCTGTGGCTGTTGGCAGCATCATTCCAATCTCTGCCTCTGTCTTCACACAGCCATCTTCCCTCTGTGTCTCTATGTCTTCATGTGGCATTCTCCCCTCTGTGCCTCTCTTCTTTCTAATAAAGACACTACTCATAGTGGATTAAGGTGCCATCCTGGCCAGGCGTGGTGGTTCACATCTACAACCCCAGCCAGCACTCTGGGAGGCCAAGCAGGGCAGATCACTTGAACCCAGGAGTTTGAGACCAACCTGACCAACGTGGTGAAACTCCATCTCTATAAAAAATACAAAAATTAGGCTGGGCACAGTGGCTCACGCCTGTAATCCCAGCACTTTGGGAGGCCGAAACGGGCAGATCACGAGGTCAGGAGATCAAGACCATCCTGGCTAGCACGGTGAAACCCCGTCTCTACTAAAAATACAAAAAATTAGCCAGGCGTGGTGACGGGCACCTGTAGTCCCCCCTACTCCGGAGGCTGAGGCAGGAGAATGGCGTGAACCCAGGAGGCAGAGCTTGCAGTGAGCCGAGATTGCGCCTGGGCGACAGAGCAAGACTCTGTCTCAAAACAAACAAACAAACAAAAAATCAGCCGAGCGTGATGGCACGTGCCTCACGCTACTCAGGAGACTGAGGTGGGAGGATTGGCTGAGCTCAGAGAGGTCAAGGCTGCAGTGAGCCGTGATTGCACTATTGTGCTCCAGCCGGGGTGACAGAATGAGACAACACCTAAAAAATAAAAAATAGCCAGGCACAGTGGCTCACACCTGTAATCCCAGCACTTTGGGAGACTGAGGCAGGTGGATCACCTGAGGTCAGGAGTTCAAGACCCAGCCTGGCCAACATGGGGAAACTCCATCTCTACTAAAAGTACAAAAAATTGCCAGGTGTGGTGGTGGGGGCCTGTAATCACAGCTACTCGGGAGGCTGAGGCAGGAGAATCACTTGAACCTGGGAGGCAGAGGTTGCAGTGAGCCGAGATTGCGCCATTGCACTCCAGCCTAGGCGACAGAGCGAGACTCTGTCTCTAAAAAAAATAAAAATAAAAATAAAAAATATGTGAGGGGATACCTAGAGAGCTGATTGCCTTAGCTAGATCACCTGTTCTGCTTTGAAGCTGATATGGAATTCATGCCCCTGGGGACCACATTATTTCCTAAATAGAAACTGGGGGGCAGGCGTGGTGGCTCACACCTGTAATCCCAGCATTTTGGGAGGCCGAGACGGGCAGATCACTTGAGGCCAAGAGTTAGTTCGAGACCAGCCTGGCCAACATGGTGAAACCCTGTCTCTACTAAAAATACAAAAAAATCAGCCAGGCGTGGTGGCACATGCCTGTAATCCCAGTTACTCGGGTGGCTGAGGCACGAGAATCACTGGAACCTGGGAGGCGGAGGTTGCAGTGAGCCAAAGTTGCACCACTACACTCTAGACTGGCTGACAGAGCGAGACTTTGACTCAAAACAAGAAAAAGAAACTGGGGATATGAATGTTGACACACCCAACTTACTATGTATAACTGAGCCTTACTCTTAAACTCTCTGAAGCCTGCCCATGTTCCCCAGATTAAGAATTTCTGGTCTAATTCAATCACTTTATTTTAAAAATAGAGCTCTGGAGACCAGAAAGTGTCATGAATGCCCAAAGGCACACAGTCCACTGACTGTCATTGTGCTGCTTTTCCCCCCAAAACTCTTCCACTCACATGCAAAAGTAATCAGACTGCCCAAAGTAATTTATAGATTCAATGCTATGCCCATCAAGCTATCACTGACTTTCTTCACAGAATTAGAAAAAACTACTTTAAATATCATATGGAACCAAAAAAGAGCCATATAGCCAAAACAATCCTAAGCAAAAAGAACAAAGCTGAAGGCATCACGCTACCTGACTTCAAACTACACTACAAGTCTACAGTAATAAAAACAGCACGGTACTGGTACCAAAACAGATATACAGACCAATGGAACAGAACAGAGGCCTCAGAAATAACACCACACATCTACAACCATCTAATCTTTGACAAACCTGACAAAAACAAGCAATGGGGAAAAGATTCCCTATTTAACAAATGGTGTTGGGAAAACTGGCTAGCCATATGCAGAAAACTGAAACTGGACCCCTTCCTTACACCTTATACAAAAATTAACTCAAGATGGATTAAAGACTTAAACGTAAGACCTAAAACCATAAAATTCCTAGAAGAAAACCTAGGCAATACCAGTCAGGACAGAGGCATGGGCAAAGACTTCATGACTAAAACACCAAAAGCAATGGCAACAAAAGCCAAAATTGACAAAAGGGATCTAATTAAACTAAAGAGCTTCTGCACAGCAAAAGAAACTATCATCAGAGTGAACAGGCAACCTACAGAATGGGAGAAAAATTTTGCAATCTATCTATCTGACAAAGGGATAATATCCAGAATCTATAAGGAACTTAAACAAATTTACAAGAAAAAAACAGCCCCATCAAAAAGTGGGCAAAGGATATGAACAGACACTTCTCAAAAGAAGACATGTATGTGGCCAACAAACATGAAAAAAAGCTCATCATCACTGGTCATCAGAGAAATGCAAATCAAAACCACAATGAGATACCATCTCACACCAATTAGAATGGCAATCATTAAAAAGTCAGGAAACAGACTGGAGAGGATGTGGAGAAACAGGAACGCTTTTACACAGTTGGTGGGAGTGTAAATTAGTTCAACCATTGTGGAAGACAGTGTGGTGATTCCTCAAGGATCTAGAACCAGAAATACCATTTGACCCTGCAATCCCATTACTGGGTATATACCCCAAGGCTATAAATCATTCTACTATAAAGACACATGAACACATGTTTATTGCAGCACTGTTCACAATAGCAAAGACTTGGAACCAACCCAAATGCCCATTAATAATAGACTGGATAAAGAAAATGTGGTACATATACACCATGGAATACTAGGCAGCCATAAAAAAGGATGAGTTCATGTCCTTTGCAGGGACATGGATGAACCTGGAAACCATCATTCTTAGCAAACTAACACAGGAACAGAAAAACAAACACCACATGTTCTCACTCAAAAGTAGGAGTTGAACAATGAGAACACATGGACACAGGGAGGGGAACATCATACACTGAGGCCTGTCAGGGGGTTGGGGGGCTAGGGGAGGGATAGCATTAGGAGAAATACCTAATGTAGATGACGGGTTGATAGGTGCAGCAAACCACCATGCTGCAAACCACATGTATACCTACGTAACAAACCTGCACATCCTGCACATGTATCCCAGAACTTAAAGTATAATAATAAAAACAGTAAATCAGAGATGAATAAATAATAAGTGGGACACTTAACAAATCCCTAAGCTCCCTAAGGACCCAGGACAGATGGGTTCTAATGAAGAGACAGGGAGGAACTATGTCCAGGAGCTGAAAGGGCCCCGGGTGGGAGAGGTGCTGGCTTGAGTCGCTGCCGGCTAGAGACCTCCCATCTGAGACAGCATGAAAGGAAACGATAAAAACAAGGAGGGAGGAGGAATGATTATATTATTCATGCCTGTATCTTGAAGATAATCATTGTAATTTCCTAAAAACCTGCTTACTCAGAGGAAGCGATCATATTCTAATAAGCCCTTGTTTATGAAACTCACAGTAATTGGATTGGAATGTGAATTATTAAACTGTATGTGGGGTGGCACTTCTTGCCAGGTGTTTAATGATTATGTTCAAATGTGTAGGTCTGGCCTGTCAGCTGGGAAGATAATACTCCCAGGAAGAAAATTGTTTAACTCTGGGTCAGAGCTAGGGTGTCTTTCACAAACTTCTGAAATAGCTGGACTGAAGAGGCCCTTACAAATCACATAATTGAACGGCCTCATTTTAGAGATGAGGAAATGGAGATCCAGAGTAGAAAAGGGCTTGTTGAAGGCCATACAGTGACCACACTGATGACCAATTGCTCCTCTATCTGTTTTCTCATAGTATTCGTGCATCCATCATGGCAGAATCAGTGGCTTGGCTTTCTTAACTGCCATTTCGTCTTCTTTCCACCTGGAGAGATTGGAAACCTAATCCATTTTTCTCAAAGTTAAGATTCCAGCTGCAAGATAAGTTCCACCAATTGCATGAGATTTTTCTGCAGCTGTAGCTGTTGAGAGACAAGGTGGTGGAGATGTAACTGTTAAGAGGCAGAGGTGGCTGAAGTTTTTAGCTACATGAGCCAATGAATTTTCTTCATTGTTTAAACAGCTTTGAGCAGGGCTTTCTGTAGCTTGAAACTAAAAGCAACTTAAATGATGTTGTTTAAATGTGTTAAGATCTTAGGAACAGGGCAGGCACAGTGGCTCACGCCTGTAATCCCAGCACTTTGGGAGGCCAAGCCAGGTGGATCATCTGAGGTCAGGAGTTCGAGACCAGCCTGGACAACATGGTAAAACCCTGTCTCTACTAAAAATGCAAAAAAAATAGCTGGAACTGGTGGTGTATCCCTATAATTCCAACTACTTGGGAGGCTGAGGCAGGAGAATTGCTTGAACCCGGGAGGCGGAGGTTGCAGTGAGCTGAGATGGCGTTGCTGCCCTCTAGTCTGGGTGACAGTGAGACTCCACCCCAGAAAAAAAAAAGGTATCAGGAAGTAAGCCATAGTTCCTAGGAGATCCTTAAAGGGGATCCATCACCCTCCCTCATCAAAAAAAAAAAAATTAATTAATTTTTTTTTGTTTGGTTTGGTTTGGTTTGTTTGTTTTGAGACAGAGTCTCGTCCTGTCACCAGGGTGGAGTGCAGTGGTGCAATCTCAGCTCACTGCAATCTCCGCCTCCCAGGTTCAACCGATTCTCCTGCCTCAGCCTCCTGAGTAGCTGGAACTACAGCCACATGCCACCACGCCCAGCTAATTTTTGTATTTTTAGTAGAGACGGGATTTCTCCATGTTGGCCAGGATGGTCTGGATCTCCTGACATCTTGATCCGCCCGCCTCGGCCTCCCAAAGTGCTGGGATTACCAGCGTGAGCTACCGCGCCCAGTCTTAATTCTTAAACTAGGACAATCTCTAAGGTCCCTTGCAGCATTAGCATTCTGTAATCTTATGAATCTATAAAGTTCTAAATTGTTGATTTGACTGATAATGAGTAACCTCTGCCATTATAAAAAAGTTTTATTTTTTAAATAAAGTTGGGTTTTTCCATTGCAAAAGAAATACATGCTTATTATAGAAAATTTGTAAGCTATAGGAAAAAACTAACCAAAAAGGCAACCACTGTGAATATTTTGGAAACTTCCTCCCAAATTGTTCATTTTTCTACGTATAATCTTAGCGAGGTTTTAATATAGCCAAGTTCATACTATATGTGCAATTCTGTACCATACTTTTTTCATTTGACGTTATAACATAATGCCACATAACTCCCACATTATTATAAGCCCTTTGTAAACAGCTTTTTTAAATGGCTTACCATTCCATTGAATGGATATTCTATAATTTAGTTTATTCCCCTAATGTTGGGCAAAATTAGGCTGTTTCCAGGTTTTGTGTTTATTTGTTTGCTATTCTATTTCCTTTGTAACAAAGGACTTCTTACTGAATGTAAAAGGAAGGGTCCCCAGCAGTAGAGTGGCGTTCCCCCATGTCAGACCACATGGGGGCAGAAGCAGGACAGCTATCTCATTGTCTAGGAAGCCCCTGCCTTGTCATGGAGACCACTCGGATGGGCCTATAGCTAAACAATGTGAAGAGGCATCTCTCTCTCTCATGACTTTCCTTCTATTTGGAAGATGGTCCCCTAGGGCCATTCCTGGCTTCGCTCCTAGAGGCAGAGTCCCTGCCCTGTTTGGTGGGCTTAGGAACGTGCCCTATTGCAAGGGGCTAGCATGGCCTCTGTTCCCTCATACTGTAAGTGTATCAAGGACAGACCACAATCTGGGCAGCTGTCCAGTGATCCAGCCTTGTCTATGGTGGGGTGAGAAGTCTCATTCGGGGATTCAGCAATATGAAATCCCTTTAATCTCCAAAATCAGCTATATCTCCCCAGCCTTCTGTCTTATTTTTCTTTTTTTTTTTTCATTCGTGTATTTATTCCACAGTCAAAATAAGTCATAATTTAAAGCCACAATATTTTTAAAAGATAACGGAGAATTGGTGGCACAGCTGCATTAGCAAAGAAGACACCAGTCTAAAGTGCAACACTAAACAAGTGTTCTCTGTTCCCATCATGGAATAAATACACACCATTACACACACAATTTCACTAAAGATCAGAGATGAGGCCAATAGCCCTTTGAAATGAACTGCCCAATGAATAGAGGCAGACTACAGATAATTTCTATTAAGATTTTACTGCAAGATAGAAAAATCCCCAAGGTGACTACTAACTTGAGCCCCTCATTTTATGCTCCTGGCCTTGGCTTCTGTTTTCTTTCCTCAGCTGTATCCAAATCCAAAAAGGCTTCTCTACCCCATGCTCAAAAATGCGACCTCAAGTAAGTCCCTAAGGTCCTCAGCACAGACTGATGTGAATAAGCCCGTGGGCAACCAGAACCGCCAGGGAAATCAGGAACACAAGCATAGAGCACGGCATCACTTGTTTAAATGATAGTTTTAACCATCGAATGAGCTCTGAAGCCACATGCTTTTCCTAAACAAACAGAAACACTGTCTTCATATCTTTCTATTCTTCTTGCAATAATGTTAAGTAAGCCATCCAAGTAAAAAAAAAAAATTAACAGAAACAATCAAAAATGAAAAATCAGGCTGGGCAAGGTGGCTCATGCCTGTAATCCCAGCAGTCTGGGAGGTCGAAGCAGGAGGATCACCTGAGATGAGGAGTTTGAGACCAGCCTGCCCAACATGGCGAAATCCTGTGTTTACTAAAAAATACAAAAATTAGCTGGGTGTGGTAGCGGGCTCCTGTACTCCCAGCTACTTGGGTGACTGAGGCAGGAGAGTCGCTTGAACCCAGGAGGCGGAGGTTGCAGTGAGCCAAGATGGCGCCACTGCACTCCTGCCTGGGCAACAGAGTGAGACTCCATCTCAAAAAAAAGAAAAAGGAAAAAGGAAAATTCAAAGGGTTTACACCAAAAAGCAAACCAGTCCTCTGCAACCTAACTAACTCCTTAGTTTGAGGGCTGTGAAGCCATGAAGAGGGCGATCAGGTAGTAGATGGTCCCTCCCACAGTTCAGCACCATGGCTGTCCCATAATGCATTTGGTCAGGCAGGCCTTGTTTCAGGTGGATGGTCACACTGTCAGATTTCTGGAAAAACTTCTGCAGTTCTGGAACTTTGTTTTTCCCAGCAGATTCACATGCAGTGGAATTGGAGGTCAGTTTAGTTGGTGTAGCAAACATGATATAGGTGGTGCTTCTGTGAAAACCACATGCTTGGCTGGGCGCAGTGGCTTACACCTGTAATCCCAGCACTTTGGGAGGCCGAGGCAGGTGGATCACCTGAGGTCAGGAGTTCAAGGCCAGCCCGGCCAACATGGTGAAACCCTGTCTCTACTAAAAATACAAAAAATTAGCCAGGCATGGTGGCTGGTGCCTGTAATCTCAGCTACTCGGGAGGCTGAGGCAGGAGAATTGCTTGAACCCGGGAGGTGGAGGTTGCAGTGACTCAAGTTTGCACCACTGCACTCCAGCCTGGGCAACAGAGCTAAACTCCATGAAGAAAGATGGAAGGAAGGAAGGAAGGAAGGAAGGAAGGAAGGAAGGAAGGAAGGAAGGAAGGAAGGAAGGAAGGAAAGAAGGGAGGGAGGGGAGGAGAGGGGAAGGGAGAGGGGAGGGGACAGGGGA
Organism: Homo sapiens; assembly: GCF_000001405.40. Taxonomy (NCBI): domain Eukaryota; kingdom Metazoa; phylum Chordata; class Mammalia; order Primates; family Hominidae; genus Homo; species Homo sapiens. Next base: position 154,993,768 of record NC_000005.10, on the reverse strand, counting down.
GAGGAGGGGGAAGGAAGCGGAGGGGAGGGAAGGGGGGAGGGAGGGGAAGAGAGAGTAGAGGAGGGGAAAGGAGGGGAAGGGAAACCACAGGCTTTAATCCCTGTGGGCTTTAGGCCTCAAAGCCCATGCTCCCACCAACTTCTGCTTGAAGCCACTAAATTTGTAGTGCATGATGCCCAGGGCCTGGCTTCCAGCATCTGCTGCCTGAGCAGCTGCCCTTTGTCTTATTTTTCAATTGGTTTAAGACTCACTCAGACACGGAAGAAGAATGCTATTTATTAGATCTTTTCAAAACAAAAAAACTAAGACAATAATAATATCTTTGATTGTTGCCAAGTCTCTACACCTCCCACCCCGCAATAGGCTGTTGGGGTTTGGGATTGTTTTTAAAGGATTTAGCTGAAGACAAAACTTCTTGCTACCTCTGGATCTTGGCAACCAATATTATGCTCAGGCAGATACAACAGATAACAGAATTATTACTTATAATAGCCACTACCATTTATTGAATGGTAGTAATACTCCCTGCATTGTGTTAAATGCTTTACATGCTTAGTTCATGCTAACAAAAGCATGATATTCTCATCCCCATTTAACAAGTGAGGAAATTGAGGCTCAGAGAGGTTCTGTAACATCCAGATTCACACCATCAATAGTGGCCTGGTCAGGATTCACAATTAGGTTAAGATCCCCAGAAAACCCATACTCTTAACCACTTGGCATTGGTGCACGCAGCCCTGCGGGTTCTTCTGTGAGGGGTAAGAAGAGGAACAGGTCAGAGGGAGTGAGGACTACCCCCATCCCCACAACACTTAGCCATGGGCATTGCACTGGGGTCAGAGCCCAGCCACTATCTTTATCTTTCCAGAGGCTGCCTTGACAGCATCAATGTGGTTGAAAGGGATCTGAGAGAGGGTTTTGTTTATTTTTAGTTTCTATTTTTTGAGATAAAATTCACATAACATAAATTTCACCATTTTAAATGGTACAACTTAGTGGCATTTAGTTCACTCACAGTGCTGTGCAACCACCACCTCTATCTAGTTCCAAAACCTTTTCATCACCCTTAAAGGGAGCCCCATCAGGTCATCACTCCCCATTGCCCCTTCTCCCCAGCTTCTCGAAACCACTAAGCTGCTTTCTGTCTCTACAGATTTACCTCTTCTGGATATTACATATAAATGGAGGCTCCTCCAGGAGATTTGTCATAGGCACATAGGTGATAGCTACTCATTTTATAGATAGGGGACCAATTCCCAAAGCATAGGCTGGAGATAATTCACCTTTTGATGCCTACCCTGACTTCCCCCTTTGCTATTGTGCTGCCTCTTGGCTATTCTTTCCTTGACAGGCCAATTTTCCGCCTATACCCACCTCACATCCACTTTAAACAAAACCTACTCAATCAATGAGCTAGGGAGTATGTCTTCTCCTGAGCAGATGATGAGGAAACCTCAGTGATTCAATGTTTATCCTCTTGGCTTGACAGAGTCAAGAGGGTCAAAAATGTGACTGATTTTGATTGGAGGTCAGCAGTCCAAAAAGCAACTTTTACCTGAGCACAGGGTCCTCAGTGGACAGGCGCATAATTGAACTATCTCCCCCATTGGCCTTCACCCTCAGCATCGGAGCTCTGAAATGTATACACCTTTATAATAAATTATCTCTTTTTTTGAAACTGATTCCGGTACTTTATGTAGTAGCCATGGCAATGAGTATTGAACCTGATTTATCATATTCCTATCTATGAATATTTTCCCTTATGCTTGGAGAAGGTAGGGGAAAATTTCAGAGCTGCTCAAAATGATATTGCAGGTGCAGAGTGGAAGAGGCAGCCACTTGACCACGGCTGCCTTGTTTGTGCAGAAGAAAGGGAAATGAATCTCACTTATTGGAGGCTTCTAGATTCAAGCACATTTTCGCTTTTATTTTATTTATTTTTTTTGAGACGGAGTTTCGCTCTGTCGCCCAGGCTGGAGTGCAGTGGCATGATCTCGGCTCACTTCAAGCTCTGCCTCCCAGGTTCACGCCATTCTCCTGCCTCAGCCTCTGGAGTAGCTAGGACTACAGGCGCCCACCACCACGCCTGGCTAAATTGTTGTATTTTTAGTAGAGACGGGGTTTCACCATGTTAGCCAGGATGGTCTCGATCTCCTGACCTCATGATCCACCCACCTCGGCCTCCCAAAGTGCTGGGATTACAGGCGTGAGCCACCGTGCCCAGCCTACATTTTCGCTTTTAATGCTTTCAGCAATTATATGGAGCAGCTGTGCTATGCTCCCACTTTGCAGATACAAAAAAACAAGGCTCAGCTGGTAAATAGATTCAGAACCAGGTATGAATCCCTCATGATTCCAAAGCCTGTTTCCTTTACAACCCAGTCACTTCCCTCTTCCTAGAGTTTACACTTCTTTTTTTTTTTTTTTCTTAGTCTCCCTCTGTCACCCAGGCTACAGTGCAATGGTGCAATCTCGGCTCGCTGCAACCTCTGTCTCCCGGATTCAAGCGATTATCCTGCCTCAGCCTCCCAAGTAGCTGGGATTACAGGTGTGTGCCACCATGCCCGGCTAAATTTTTGTATTTTTAGTAGAGATGGGGGTTTTGCCATGTTGGCCAGGCTGGTCTCCAACTCCTGACCTCAAGTGATCTGCCCATCTTGGCCTCCCAAAGTACTGGGATTACAGGCGTGAGCCACTGTGGCTAGCCATAGAGTTTACACTTCTATTGGTATCACAGCTACCAACTTCCATGAGCATGTACTCCTTTTATTTTTTTCATGGTGGAAGAGATAAGATTTTATTCTATTGAAGCCAATAACAAATAAGACTATCTTAGATCTAAAGTCTCAGACAGAATTGAGTGCTTAGGAAGAGTGCAGGAGGAAGTGGAGAAAGTGGTCCTCTTCAGCCTCGGTTCTTCTTCCTCTTGCTCCTGCCACAATGTCAGAATCAAGGGCTGGCTGAGTAATTCCCGCCATCTCTCAAAGCTGCCTTCCTCGTCACCTCCTGGCAGAGCAGTGAAGTGACACAGACCTAGATTCCAGTCCTGACTCTGTGTCTCCCTCATCTGCAAGATGAGGATGATGCTAGTACCTACTTATATCCATCCTTAATCCCACCACATCCCCCATATCCATTCTCCCCTGCTTCCTTTCAGTAATTAAAAACCCCCAAGCTGTAGTTGGACACATTGTCACCCAGCTAAAGACAACATTTCCCAAGCTTTCTTGCAGCTGGGTGTGTCCATGTGACCAGGTTCTGGCCAATTAGCATTACCAAATAAAATACAGGATGCAGGGTTAAATTTGAATTTCAGATAAACATCTAATAATGTTTTAGTACGAGTATGTCCCAAATTAAAAGTCCAATACTCTGTGTGTGTGTGTGTGTGTGTGTGTGTGTGTGTGAGAGAGAGAGAGAGAGAGAGAGAGAGACTGAGTCTTGCTCTGTCACCCAGGCTGGAGTGCAGTAGCATGATCTCGGCTCACTGCAAGCTCCGCCTCCTGGGTTCATGCCATTCTCCTGCCTCAGCCTCCCAAGTAGCTGGGATTACTGGCCCGTGCCACCACGCCCAGCCAATTTTTGTATTTTTAGTAGAGATGGGGTTTCACCATGTCAGCCAGGCTAGTCTCGAACTCCTGACCTCAAGTGATCCACCCACCTCGGCCTCCCAAAGTGCTGGGAGCCACCGTGCCTGGCCCAATAATTTTTTAGTATAAATATGCCCCATTTGGACAAAAAAGCATAGTTATTGAAATTCAAATTTAACTGGGTGTACTCCATTTTTATATGCCAAATCTGACAACCCTATGGCTAATGAAATATAAGAGAAAATAATGTCTATAACTCTGAGGCCACACCCTTAAGACTAGGGGGCATGCCCTCACTTCCCGTTGCTCTTCCTGCTGGCTGCAACACAATTATCAGGGTGGTGTGCATCATCTTTGACCCCATCCACTGCGGCAGCACTCTGGGACATACACAGTACAGCAGCTGAATACAAGGAGCCCAGGCTCTAGAATAACCTTGGGAAATATTGCTGCTCTGCTCTACAGAACCACCCACTAGCCCAAACTTGTATATCTGAGAGAAAAATTAACTTCTGCCTCATTAAAGCCTCTATTATTTTGTTCTATATTAAAGCAGCTAGACCAATATCCAAATGAATGCAAAATTATAAATGAATTATGGTAATTTGGGTGCCTGGTACATGAGAAAGCCTCAAGAAATGTTTATCTCCTCTTCTTTTTAACAGGGTTGTCCCCTCTTTACCAAATTTCACAGCCCTGTTTTAAAAGAATTCGACATCTTTTTTTTTTTTTTTTTTTTTTGAGACAGGGTCTCACTTTGTCGCCCAGGCTGGAGTACAATGGCACAATCGTAGCTGATTGCAGCCTCCACCTCCTGGGTTCAAACAATCCTCCCACCTCAGCCTCCTGAGTAGCTGGGACTACAAACGTGCACCACCACACCCAGCTAATTTTTTTAATTTTTTGTAAAGAAGGGGTCTTACTATGTTGTCCAGGCTGGTCTCCAACTTCTAGCCTCAAGCAATCCTCCTGCCTCAGCCTCCAAGCCAGCATCCCCATCCTTTATCAGCAGCTCCTGAAAGCTCCATTTGTTTCAAAGCACCAGAGTGAGGCTAGAGGATTTCAGTTGCAAGCTGAACTTCCTACTTGATATTTTATATCTACTTTGTTGCCTGCCTTCCCCAAGGAAAGGTAAGCTCCATGAGGGCAGGGAGTTTGTCTCTTTCGTTCAAGGCTGTGCTCCCAGGACCTCAAACAGGACCTAGCAATTAGAAGGGACTGGATAAATATTTTTGAATAAATAAATAGATATGGCTATGGAGATACACCAGGATCACCAACAAGCCAGAAAGACTTTACCAATGGCTTCCTCCATAGGGTGACAAGAAAAGTAACCAAATTGCTATGTGTATGATTATGCTGATTCCCTAGAGAAAACTCCAGGCTTTTGGTGTAAAGCCTGACTCCTTATTGAGATGGAAATCTCTACCAGGTAAGAAGTAACATTTCCACAGAATCTTAGAACTGAAGGGATCTGAAGTCCAAGCCCCAGAGTGGGAAACAGAAAGAGGATGGGGTCATGCCCACCATAGCGACTGATATCTGCAAAGGACATTTTATCTTACAAAGCATTTTCACATCCTTCTCAGTTGACCCTCACCATGATTCTGCCAGGCTAGCGGGGGTAATATTGGTACAGTTAAAATTATACTTAAATACAATTGTTAGCCTACTGAACTGGGAACTTAAAATTGGTGAAGATGATACATTTTAGCTTATAAGTATTTTACCACAATTAAAAATACAAATTACAAAAAATATATATATATATAATTATTAGCCACAACTTTGTTTTGCAGATAAACCAAGTAAAGCTCAGAGAGGCTTTGACTTTTAAATATCACACAGCTAGGGATTGGGGAAGCTAGCCTCAACATTGGGACTTTTTTTTTTTTTTTTTTTTTTGAGACAGAGTCTGGGTCTGTCACCCAGGCTGGAGTGCTGTGGTGCGATCACAGCTCACTGCAGCCTCAACCTCCCAGACTCAATTGATCCTTCCACCTCGGCCTCCAGGTAGCTGGGACTACAGGCACACACAACCACACCCAGCTAACTTTTGTATTTTTTGTAGAGCGGCATTTCACCATGTTGGCCAGGCTTACACTGGGACTTCTGAGTCACGCCTTGCACATCCTCCCCAAGGGAGAGGGAACCTTCACTGCACAAACAACTTTCACTCCACAACATGCCAAGAACCAACCTGAACCTAGAGGATCAGGACCCCAGGTTTTCCAAGGAGCCTTCCAATGTGCTTAATGCAGCACAGCTGCTCATCAAACTTGGGTATAGAGGTCAGCTTCTTCCATGAGACCATGCGGAGGGGTGGCTAATCCAACAGACAACAGTTCAATACAGACTGTGTGCTATTTATTATCATTTTGTAGCAATTAATTTGCTTGGGGACCAAGTGTGCTCAATGGTTACATTAACATCAAAAGTAAAATTAAACATTTATGCATCTTTTATCTCATTTCCAAAAGGATAAATCCTGCCAGTGTCTGCAAAAGATATTTTCATTGACGTTGTTTATCTCTTCCACTTGATTCAAGATTACACTTGAGAAACAAGAACTAACATAATAGTGTTTTTATATGGGAGTGGTGACTAAAGGGGGCCAGATATTAAAAAACATCTAGCCTCGGGCTGGGCACAGTGGCTCATGCCTGTGATCCCAGCACTTTGGGAGGCCAAGGCAGGCGGATCACCTAGGGTCGGGAGTTCGAGACCAGCCTGACCAACATGGAGAAACCCTATCTCTACTAAAAATACAAAATTAGCTGGGCATGCTGGTGCATGCCTGTAATCCCAACTACTCAGGAAGCTGAGGCAGGAGAATCGCTTGAACCTGGGAGACAGAAGTTGTGGTGAGACGAGATCATGCCACTGCACTGCAGCGTGGGCAACAAGAGCAAAACTCTGTCTCAAAAAAAAAATCTAGCCTCAAGATTCTGATGCCACATAAATGCAGCGTAATATGACATGAAGAATCAGACCTGGTCATTAGGAACTCCATAAAGGTTTTTCAGAAGAATCCCTCTGAGTTTCTTAAGTCTGTATTTAATACAAAGCTTGTGCTAGGAATGGCAGAAGGTTTCATCTCATGTGCCAGCTTTGTTCAAATGTCCAAATCACTGTGTTAAGAAAGTGTCTGAGGCCTAATTATAACAGTCACAGTTATAGCATGGAGCAAATGTATTACAATTGTCTGATTTTTTGTCCTCTGCCGGCTCTCCCACCTCACTTAGGTCATGTTTGTCTCTTTCATCTGGGCTGCCTCATCTTAACTTAGTATCAGGCTTCTAGGGATGTGCATAAAGGTTAACTCTGGAATCAAAGAGACCTGTGTTTGAATCTTAGCTCCATCATTTACCACCTGTATGACCTTGGAGAAGTTACCAAGCCTCTCTGGTCCTGTTTTCTCATCTCAAAAATAGGGGATAATAATATGCCTACCTCGTAGGATTGTTGTGTGAATTAAATAAGACAATATGTGCAAAGCACTGAGCACAGTGCCTGATATCACTAAGAGTTCAATCAGTGGGCTATTAATATATACGTCCCACAATGCCTAGCACTCTGTCACTCACATAGTATGGTCTCAATAACTGTTTCTTAGCAGTTATCTCAAGATCCCGAGAATGAGTGATCTCTTGTTTTTTGTTGTATTTTGTTCAATGCTAGTTAGTATTTATTGAGCACATGCTATGTTCTAGGCACTGTTCCAAGTGTTGTATGTGTATTAATTTATTTATTCCTCTACAATCCAATCGTTCCATTGGTGGAGAGAAAAGAAATGCTTATTCAGGCAGTCTGGCTCCCACACATCTGCCCTCTTGACCACTGTTTTCACTGTCTCTGCCAAGAAGCAGCTGTCACTTCTTTTGCAATAAGAAAGACAAAATGAAACAATTTTTTAAAATTAGCTGTGCATGTTGACATGCACTTTTAGTCCCAGCTGCTTGAGAGACTGAGACCGGAGGATCCCTTGAGCCCGAGAAGTCAAGATGAGGCCCCTGCACTCCAGCCTGGGTGATAAAGTGAGACCCTGTCTCTTAAAATTTTATTTAAAAGTCAGATTTTAAACATGTATTTGTTGAACAATGGTCAACTCCTATGTGAATCTCTAAGAACCTCAAGATTGAGAGATTGACATTCGCTTTCATTCAAAAATTTTTATGGAGAGCAGAAGTGTAAGGCATTGGGCAAGATGCTATCGGAAATATAAGAAACAGAGGAAATACTGTCTTCTCCTCAAGAGCCTATAGATGTGGAAGGTGAATTATTATTGTGAATAGCTGACAGTCATTTAGGGCTTATATGTTCCCAGTCACTGTGCTAAAAGCTTTACCTACATTATCTCATTTAATCCTCATAGCGAATGGATTAGAACAGTGCAATCGATATCCCCATTGTGTGAATGAGGAAACCAAAGCCTTCAAACGTTCATGACTTGCTTGGGATTCCAAGAAGGAACATTTGTATAGGCTAAATGGCACGTGGCTGCCACAGGCAACAATTCCATCCATCTTTCTTTTCCCCACTGTGTCTTGAAGAGCAGGGAACTTGAGAGGTATCTGAAATCCTCCTGGTGAAATGAATACCGACTTTGTAATATACTCCCCTCACTAAATATCAGTGCATTTATCAGACACTAAATTTTAAATGCAGGCACCTGCAGAGCTAGTGAGTTCTAAAGAATCCCACTCCCTAAGTTTCTGGGCTTCTTCTTACCTCTCTTCCACTAGCGTCTCTTTTTCCACCTTCAGCACTTGGACATACGGCTACATAGAGAGGAAACTGTCTCCCTGCTTTTGCTTGCTAGTTCCCAATTTCAAGATGTTGTATTACACCTGATTTATGGCCTGACAGGGCTCATTCTAGTCCACAACCCTGAGCTTGCAGAATGCACAGGGGAAAATTTACTAACGATTTCGTTCATCTTAATGCACTGTAGGGAATTTTTTAAGTGAAAAAGGCTCAATAAGCAGGGACATTTTAAACAGCCAATTATGAATAACAATCGCTTGTTGACTGAGTGCAGTAGATCTTCCAGCTCATTCGGTTTTCATCTAATTAAATCTTTCATTTCCACGGGCAGCCTGCCATACAAGCTTGTGTTTGCCTTTGTCAGCAGGAGATAATCAATAGGAGAAATGTAGATGCATTTCAGCATTTATTAGCAGCTCAATTGGAAATTGTTTTATTTTAATAATATCCTTCTCTTCGTTCTGTTCAGGGTAAATCGACAGCTTTGATGAATAATAGACAACAGAAAATTGGTTTATATTATCCCACTGAGAAGCAAAGAAATCAGAGAATGAAAGAAAGCTCAGAGAGAAATTGAAAAACACTTTAAAACTGAATTTTCTTTGTTACAAAAAAAGGAAAAACAAACAAAAATGCTTTCCATTCACTCTAAAAGATTATTAAAACTACTTGAATTCAGCTAGCTATACCTACCAAGAAAAAGACAATAAATTCTTACTTTCTGAAGCTTTTCACCACTTTTACTTGCATCTGACATTTAATTATTCTTCATTAATTTCCACAGGAGTGAGAACAACATGGATTAGAAAGACAAGAACCTGGTGCAAAATGCTATTTGTTCACCAGAAATGAACTCAAATACCCAAATGTTCACATCCTCAAATAGTGGACACACTGGTAGGAGTAGGAAGTCTTAAGAACAAACATGGGAGGTCCACTATGATGAGTTAGGTATTTATTTTTATTTTATTTTAGAGACAGGGTCTCACTCTGTCACCCAGGCTGGACTGCAGTGGTGCCATCTCAGCTCACTGTAGCCTCAACCTCCTGGACTCAAGCAATCCTCCCACCTCAGCCTCTTGAGTAGCTAGGACTACAGGCATATGCCACCATGCCTGGCTAATTTCTATATTTTTTGTAGAGATGATGATTTGCCATGCTGCCCAGGCTATCCTCAAACTCCTGGGCTCAAGTGATCTGTCAGCCTTAGCCTCCCAAAGTGTTGGGATTACAGGCATGAGCTGGCCATGATGAGTTATTCATAAGAGTTCTCTGCACACCTTCATTGATGGAATTCAAACTGACTAGAAGACTTTTCTTCTGAAATCCTGGCTGAAATATCCAACTGTGACTATCAGGCATCTCAAATTTAATATCTAAAAATGTTAATGTTTTATCACAATGAGGTACCACTTTACATGCGTTAGGATGATGATTAAAGAAAAACAAAATTCTAAGTGTTGGCAAGAAGGTGGAGAAAATAGAACACTTGTGCACTGCTAGTGGGAATATAAAATGGTACAACACTGTGGAAAATGGTGTGGTGATTCCTCAAAAAAGTAAATGTAGAGGCATAGATGGTCAAAGGGTACAAAGTTTCAGCTTGACAGGAAGAATAAGTTTTTGAGATCTATTGCACACCATGGTGACTATAGTTAATAATAATGCAATGCATATTTTTTAATTGCTAAGTGAGTGGGTTTTAAATGTTTATACCACACATACACACAAAAATAAGTATGTGAGATGATGGATGTGTAAATTAGCTTGATTTAATCATCCCATAAGGTACACATATAAGAAAACATCACGTTGTGCTGCATAAGTATATACAATTATTATCTGTCAATTTTTTTTTCTGAGACGCAGTCTTGCTCTGTCACCAGGCTGGAGTGCAGTGGCACGATCTCGACTCACTGCAACCTCCGCCTCTGAGGTTCAAGCGATTCTTATGCCTCAGCCTCCCGAGTAGCTGGGACTACAGGCGTGCACCACCACGCCCAGCTAACTTTTGTATTTTTAGTACAGACGAGGTTTCACCATGTTGGCCAGGATGGCCTGGATCTCTTGACCTTGTGATCTGCCCACCGTGGCCTCCCAAAGTGCTGGGATTACAGGCGTGAGCCACCATGCCCAGCCTATTTGTCAATTTTTTTAATTAAATTTTAAAATTAAGCATAGAATTACATATAATTCAGCAATCCTACTTCTGGGTAAATACCCAAAAGAAGTGGAAGCAGGGGATGGAACAGATGTTCGCACACCCGTATTCATAGCAGCATTATTCACAATAGCCAAGTGGTGGCAGCAATCGAAAGTCCATTTATGGATGAATAAATAAGAAAACTGTGATATGTACATGCAATGAAACATTACACAGCCTTTAAAAGGAAGGAAATCCTGTAATATACTACAACCAGGAATAACCTTGAGAACATTATGCTAAGTGAAATAAGCCAGTCATAAAATGACAAATAATGTATGATTCCACTTATAGGGAGCATCTAAAGCATCCAAGTTCATAGAAACAGGAAGTAGAATGTGGTTGCCAGGGGATAGGGAGAGAAGAGGAATAAGGAGTTATTTAATGGGTACAGAGTTTCAGTTGGGAAAGATGGTAAAGTTCTGGAGATGGACAGTTAATGATGGATGCACAACAAATGCAGTAGAACTGTACATTTAGAGATGGTTAAAATGGCAAGGCTCTTTTTTTCCTTTCCTTTTTTTTTTTTTTTTTTTTGGTAGATAAGGGGGTCTCACTATGTTACTCAGGCTGGTCTTGAACTCCTGGCTTAAGTGATCCTCCTGCCTCAGCCTCCCAAAGTGCTGGGATTACAGATGTAAGCCACTGCATCTGGCCTAAAATGGTAAATTTTGTGTTATGTTCATTTTACCACAGTAAATGAATCTGGGTATTTTAATATCCAGATCTAGTCATCCTCTGATGCTTCCCACCTCAGCATACTGCACATCCATTCACCCTGTGCTCAAGCCAGAGACCTGGGAACCTGCCCTGGAACCGCCACACTCCTGACCACCCCCAGTCAGTGCTGCTGCCTAAATGAATTTCCAGTCAGTCTACTTCCTGTCATTCCCTACCATCTCCCTGGTCCAAGGGACAGTCGTTTCTTACCTGAATTCTTTTTTTTTTGTTTTTTTTGAGACGGAGTTTCGCTCTTGTTGCCCAGGCTGGAGTGCAATGGTGCGATCTCGGCTCACCGCAATCTCTGCCTCCCAGGTTCAAGTGATTCTCCTGCCTAGCCTCCCGAGTAGCTGGGATTACAGGCGCCCGCCACCACACCCAGCTAATTTTTTGTATTTTTAGTAGAGACGGGGTTTCGCTACGCTGACCAGGCTGTGCTGGTCTCCAACGCCTGACCTCGTGATCCACCCGCATCCACCCGCCTTGGCCTCCCAAAGTGCTGGGATTACAGGCATGAGCCACCGTGCCCGGCCAACCTGAATTCTTAAATGACCTCCTACCTGGTTTCTGGCATCAGCTCAGGCCCCACTACCCAAGGCCATTGTCTACCAGAGACCAGACTGAGCTTTTACAGACATCAACCAGGCACTGCCACTCCCCAGCTTCAAAGATTCCCTTTATACTTACAGTGAAATCTGGACTCCTCTCCAAGACCACCTGTCCCGGAAGTCGGTTGACCTATTCGTACCTTGTGCCGCATCCTCCCCCACTCTGTGTTTCTGTGCTTCTCCATACACTCTGCTTTAGTTTCTCCAGTGAACTAGGTTCATCTTCATTTGGGGCCTTTGCCCATGGCACTGCCTTTGCCTGAACATTCTCCCCTACTCGATTTCCTGGCTAATCTCTCCTTGGACTTCAGGCCTCAGCAAAAATGGCACTTCCTCAAAGAGCCCATCACAGATGCCACATTGCTGAAAAGGTCCCCCTGCTATCCCCCAAGCACTCTCTTCTTTTCCTCCATGGTACTTTTTACATGTCTATATTTGTATATTCCTCCCTAGCCAGTGGACTGTCAGATTCCTGAGGTCGGCAACCATGTCTATGTTAATATTCCCAGCACCTAGAACAATATCTGGTGCATAGTAGCACTCAAACATTTGTTGGGTGAATGAACATGTAAAGAAATGCATGTTATTTTAGGTCACCCAAACAATAAAAACTGAAAGTCTTCCTCCTTTAACCAGGTAGCCTCCACCTTTTACTTTCTTAGATACACAGACAGGCCTCTGGACAGTTATCTGAAACTGGCTCCATGTACAGTATTCCATATGTCCTGTCATAACCACTTAATGTTGGTCATATACACTCAAAGGCCCTCTTGCAAAAGGGCCTCAATTTTCCTGAGATGGGGATAAGAGTGATGCTTGTCAAAGACAAGGTAATTGCTTGGGTTGTTTCCTGCAATGATATAAATCTGTTGGCGAGTGCCACACAGCTGTTCCTGTTCCTTGGTTTTTAATGGCATGCTGCCTTCTGTATTAGTGAACAAATTCCTTGAAACAACATGAGATTGGCAATATAGATGGAATATCAAATTAGGACTATGGTTGCCAAGCACTCTGGAGCGGTCCTGATTCCCTACCTAGCAGTAATAATAAACCCCAGCTCCTTCCACAGTTCTTCCACCCTTCTGCAAGCGATGTTCCCCTAGGTAACACTCCTACAAACAATACTTCGGTAATGACCAATGCTACAGTGATTATTATTGTTATTATGGACTCTATTTTATTTTCATTTAATTAGTAATTATTTTAAATTACAAGGCTGAAGAGCTGCTACAATGGGTGTTTCCTGGCAGTCAGTAGCTAATTCTCCATCAATGCAGAAATATGGGCTATTTTGAGTTCAGCCATTAGAGGCTATAGTGATGAACACCTCTCAGGGCCATATGGTGTAGTCTAAACCCAGTGTCTTTTCACAACAGTAGTTTTGCTTCTATTACCATTAAAGAGAAATATGTAAAAACTGTTTTCTCTCTAGACAGAGCTCCTATGCTGGCAGCCTCTTGAGTATCTGAGAGGAGGAAAACAAACAATTCTGCAACATAGATCAGTGTTCATTCCTTTCTGTGTTCCCCCTCATGAATGCTAAAGTTCACAGCTAATATTTAATTGCCTATAAAAATGCACACCTCTTCTGTTGGGGTTGATACCTAACAAACCTGGCAGCAATGCAGGGGTGAAATATCAAATCTGGGTGACTCGGTGGTAGCGTATGAACATGAAGCAGACTGGATAACACACTCTGTTTTTGCATTTTAAACATTTAGGCGTAGTCCTATTTCTACAAATAAATCTGCTCTCTTCAAATCATTGACTCCAGAGAATGAGTAAGATGAGCCTGGAACATCTTTTTAAGTCATAAAGTAAGGTGGTGCTCAATGATGGAGAAACATAAAAAGGACACAGGAACTAATTTGAAGTGGTGTCCCCTGGCCAAATATGGGAAATTCTGAGCATTAAAATAAATAATGACAGTAACAGATTACAATCCATTGAATAAAGCACCTATGAATCCATACTGATAAGAATAAATGAATACGTGAGAGGAGAAAGCTTTTCTTCATAGTAGAAAGACAACTAATAGATGAAGAAGGAATGATAACAGAAAATCAACATTTGGCAACATCATAGTAACAATTAATTCAGTCAAGAAAAATCAATGGATGCTAAAACTCCAGTCAGTGAAAGGTTGATGACGAAATAGATATCTACAGAGTCTCAAAGTCTCTCCTCACAAGATCCTTATTAATTACAGAGAGAGTAAAGAATAATTTTACAGTAGAGACACCTGGGAGATGCCAGCCTAATAAGTAATCGAGTGAAAAAAACAGCAACCAAATACACATCATGTGCTACCCAGTGGGTTGCAATGAAAAAAATACAGCTCTGTGACATTCTTGCCAAAATGCACACCCTAGGTCTAACTAGGAGGAAACAGGACAAGACCAAATAGAGGAAGATTCTACAAAATGACTGGTCTCTAATCTTCACCCATGTCTAGGCCATGAAAGCCAGGAAAAGGCTGAGGAACAATGCCAGGTTGGAAGAAACTACAGAAAAGGACAACTGGTTGCATTGCTGATGAAACTTTGGATAGGATCCTTTGCCATCAGGAGTGTTACTGGGACTATTAGCAAAACTTTAATGGCATCTCTAGATGAAGGGTATGCCAAAGTTCTATATACTGTTCCTACAACTTGCATATGAGTTTGAAATTGTTTCAAAAGAAATCTTTTTTTTTTTTTGAGATGGAGTCTCTCTCTGTCACCCAGGCTAGAGTGCAGTGGCACGGTCTCGGCTCACTGCAACCTCCACCCCCCCGGGTTCAAGCAATTCTCCCGCCTCAGCCTCCCAAGTAGCTGGGACTATAGGGGTGCACCACCACACCCGGCTAATTTTTGTATTTTTAGTAAAGACAGGGTTTTGCCATGTTGGCCAGTCTGATCTCCAACACCTGACCTCACATGATCCACCTGCCTTGGCCTCCCAAAGTGCTTGGATTACAGGCGTGAGCCACCACACCCAGCCTCAAAAGAAATCATTTTTATTTAAATGCGCTTTTTCAATTTCCTTGAAACAGGCAACTTTTTATTTTTCTCTTTGATAGTGGTATGGCTGTAGGAAATAGCTGTTTTCCATTATTATGAGAAAAGCTGCGTAAGTACAATAAAGAATGGCACCTGACACATGACCTCAGTCTTAGGGACACCAGGTGCTAGTGTGGGGTGGGAAATGGGTGCTACTACTTTTCTCTATCAATATGTTAGTAGTATCTGATTTTGTTAACTACATGTATTAGTCCATTTTCACACAGCTGACAAAGACATACCCAAGACTGGGGAAAAAAAGAGGTTTAATTGGACTTACAGTTCTACATGGCTGGGTAGGCCTCAGAATCATTGCAGGAGGTGAAAGGCACTTGTTACATGGCAGTGGTAAGAGAAAAATGAGGAAGATGCAAAGGTGGAAACCCCTGATAAGACCATCAGATCTCATAAGACTTATTCACTACCACAAGAACAGTATGGGGGGAACCACCCCCATGATTCAATTATCTCCCACTAGGTCCCTCCCACAACACGTGGGAATTAAGGGAGTACAATTCCAGATGAGATTTGGGTGGCGACACAGAGCCAAACCATATCACTAAGTACATTTATTACTTTGGTAAAAATTAAATTTCATTAATTTCCAAATAAGCAGAGGTTAGGAATTTAGGCTTTTTTTTTTTTTTTTTTTTTTTTTTTTGATACAGAATCTTGCTCTGTCACCAGGCTCGAGTGCAGTGGTGCAATCTCGGCTCACTGCAACCTCCACCTCCCTAACTCAAGCGATTCCCGTGCCTCAGCCTTCTGAGTAGCTGGGACTACAGGCGCCTGTCACCACGCCCAGCTAATTTTTTGTATTTTAGTAGAGACGGGGTTTCACCATGTTGGCCAGGATGGTCTCAATCTCCTGACCTCGTGATCCACCCCCCTCGGCCTCCTGAAGTGCTAGGATTACAGGCGTGAGCCACGACGCCCAGCCTAGGAATTTAGGCTTTCATGTGAAAAGATGCTCAACATCACTAATCACTAGGGAAACGCAAGTCAAAGCCACAGTGAAATACCACTTCACACCCTTTAGGATGGCTAGTATTAAAATATAAATAAATACAAAGCATTGTCGAGATTGTGGAGGAAATGGAACCTTAGTGAATTGCTAGTGGGAATATTAAATGGTGCAGCCACCATGAGAACAGTATGGAGTTTCCTCAAAAAAAATTAAACACAGAATTATCACATGACTCAGCAATTCCACTGCTGAGTAAATACTAAAAAGAAGTGAAAGCAGTGACTCAAAGAGGTATTTGCACACCCATGTTCATAGCAGCAATATGCACAACAGCCAAAAGGGAGAAGCAGCCCAGGTGTCCATTGGCAGATGAATTGATAATGTGGTATATAAATATAATGGAATATTATTCAGCTTTAAAAAAGAAATTCTGGGCTGGGTGCAGTAGCTCACACCTATAATCCCAGGACTTTGGGAGGCTGAGGCAGGCGGATCACTTGAGGTCAGGAGTTCAAAACCTGCCTGGCCAACATGGTGAAACCCCGTCTCTACTAAAAATACAAAAATTAGCTGGGCATGGTGTTGGGTACTTGTAATCCCAGCTACTCGCGAGGCTGAGGCAGGAGAATCGCTTGAACCCGGGAGGCGGAGGTTGCAGTGAGCCGAGATCATGCCACCGCACTCCAGCCTGGGTAACAGAGGGAGACTCTGCCTCAAAGAAAAGAAATTCTGACACATGCCACAATATGGATGAATCTTGAAGACATTACGCCAAATGAAATAAGCCAGTCACAAAAGGACAAATTCCATTTATAACAGGTGCCTACAGTAGTCAAATACACAGAGACAGAAGTAGAATGGTGGTGGCCAGGGGTTCTTGGGAGGGGATATGAGGAGTTATTGTTTGATGGATACAGAGTTTCAGATGGGGAAGATTTAAAAGTTCTGGAGATGGATGGTGGTGATGGCTGCACAACAATGTAAATGTACTTACTGCCATAGAATTATACACTTTAAAGTGGCTGACATGGTATATTTTATGTGATGTGTAGTTTACCATAATCTTTGAAAAAAAATTCAGACTTTGGAGTCAAACCTGGGTTTAAATTCTGGCTCTGCTGCTTATTAGCTGTGTGACCTTAGACAAATTATTTAATTTATTTGAACATTAGGTTTCTCATTTGTTAAATGGAAACAATATTCAAGTATTCAAGCCAACAAGAAAGAATTGTTATGAGGAGGAAGCGCATACGTTTAGCAGAGTGCTGGACACATAGTGAGAGGTGAAGCCAGCTGGACTTCCTGGGTCGAGTGGGGACTTGGAGAACTTTTTTGTCTAGCTAAAGGTTTGTAAACACACCAATCAGCACTCTGTATCTAGCTAAAGGTTTGTAAATGCATCAATCAGCACTGTGTAAAAATGCACCAATCAGTGCTCTGTGTCTAGCTAAAGGTTTGTAAACACACCAGTCAGCACTCTGTAAAAACACACCGATCAGCACTCTGTGTCTAACTAAAGGTTTGTAAACGCACCAGTCAGCACTCTGTAAAAACGCACCAATCAGTGCTCTGTGTTTAGCTAAAGGTTTGTAAACGCACCAATCAGCACTCTGTAAAATGGACCAATCAGCGCTCTGTAAAATAGACCAATCAGCAGGATGTGGGCAGGGCCAAATAAGAATAAAAGCAGGCCACCCGAGCCAGCCGCGAAAACCCACTTGGGTCCCCTTCCACGGTGTGGAAGGTTTGTTCTTTTGCTCTTCATAATAAATCTTGCTGCTGCTCTCTCTTTGGGTCCACACCACCTTTATGAGCTGTAACACTCACCGCTAATGTTTGTGGCTTCACTCCTGAAGTCAGCGAGACCACGAACCCACCAGGAGGAGCGAGCAACTCCCGTTGCGCCACCTTTAAGAGCTGTAACACTCACTGCAAAGGTCTGCTGCTTCACTCCTGAAGTCAGCAAGACCAAGGAAGAAACTCTGGACACATCTGAACATCTGAAGGAACAAACTCCGGACACACCATCTTTAAGAACGGTAACACTCACTGCTAGGGTCCACGGCTTCATTCTTGAAGTCAGCGAGACCAAGAACCCACCGGAAGGAACCAATTCCGGACACAATAGTAGGCATTTGGTAATATTAGCAAGACTGTAAATGCCCAGAGACATGAAATAAGAGGCCATAGGTATTTATAGGTCATTTGGTATGGTTGAAGTATGTGGTAATGAGCATTGATGCTATAATGAAAAGCAGGTATTTGTAAGACAAGAAGTTTAAACTTTATCCTGACACCTGTGGAAAGCCACTGGAGGGTTTTAACAGTGCAGAAAAATACTAGAAAAGAGGGCAGAGAGGGGAGTAAAAATCAAGCTAAGGTTTTAGGGATGTAGAGGTCTGTACTTTTCACTTAGTCATGGGCTTGCAAATCCTCTCCATTAACACAGACAATCAACACTGTTGGCTTATGAGAAAACAAGTCATTAAGAGAAAAGCCACATTTAACACTCTCACTTTGCACCATCTTATCAGAGCAGGGAACTTCGACATAAAGAAATAACTAGGCCGAGAGCAGTGGCTCATGCCTGTAATCCCAGCACTTTGGGAGGCTGAGGCGGGTGGATCACCTCAGGTCAGGAGTTTGAGACCAGCCTGGCCAAAAATTAGATGGGTGTGGTGGTGCGCTCCTGTAGTCCCAGCTACTTGGGAGGCTGAGGCAGGAGAATCACTTGAACCCGGGAGACGGAGGTTGCAGTGAGCCGAGATCACGCCACTGCACTCCAGCCTGAGTAACAGAGCGAGACGAGAGAGAGAGAGAGAGAAAAGAAGGGAAAGAAAAGAAACTAGCCACATAGCAAAGTAATAAAGTCAGGTGAGGCTTAAGCATAAACTCCAAGAGACTTCTCGTTCTTTCTCTCCCACTTGAAATCACTGGGTGGAGGGTATAAGGGCTTCTCTTGCTTCTGTGACTTTACCAAGACTTCCTATTGTGTTCTCTACACCCTGCCTGTGCCAAGCTTTCTTCAGACTCTTAATATCTGTGATGAGCAGGGATGGGTCAGAAGACAGTTCTGCTCAGGTCACAACCTGCACATCCAAGGATGGCCTGTGCCACAATTTCATCATATTTCAACATTCTAATGTGGTCACATTTTCACCAGCATCCACTTAATGCCACTTAATCAGGTGCTTTCCCCTGGTTTTTCTCTCCACCTATAAAACTTAAGGTTTTATGTGAAAACTCAAGGTAATGATAGCTGCTAAAAACACATATTTCTCCTGAGTTAGCTGCATTCTTCCATTCCTGCTTCTGCTCACAGTACTCAAAGTGATATTTATTTTTAATTTTACTATTTTTTCTAATTACCTAGGTAATATATATTTCACTTAGAAAACATCAAAAATATAGAAAAACACACAAAGTAAAATTAAAGGTTGCCTGTAATCTTATCATTCAGATATATCTCTTAATACTCCTAAGATGTTCATCTTTTTCTTTATGGCTTCTGCCTTTGCTTTATAAAAAGCTTTCTCCATCCCAAGTCAGATAAATTTCACCCGTATGTGTTCATTTTTTATTAAACATCTCATATCTGCAACTTAAGTTCTTTTAAACTGGCCTTGATTTTAAAAGTTCAGAGTCTATTAACTTATGCTAAATCATGTGGCTGCTTTAGATGCCAGAGCATTGGATAGGGAATGGAAAATTGAACTGGGAAATGGGAGTAATTGATCTTCACCAATGGACCCAGCCTCTCTGTGGCTAAATTCCCCTGTGTGTAAAAATGCAGGAAATTACATTTGGACCCCAAATTTACTTTTTCCCTACTTTAAAATACATCATATACACAGAAGGCAGCACAGTGTCATGAACAATAATAAAACAAATGCCCACTAATCCACACATGGATTTTGACAGCATGTAACAATTTCCCTGATTTCTAATCCACTTAAAAAGTGGTGGCCCCTCTTTTTGTGCTCTGACAGTTAAGACAGTTTGCATAGCTCATCTCTCCTTGGAGGAACTTGTCTCTCTTTTGAATTAGCTTACTTGGTTGCCTCAGAAGCTATTCTTTCTTACGGGCTCAACAAAAGTAATGATTTTGTCATTTACCTGTCATTTTCATTGTTAGGGTGAGAGTGATGAGCTTTGCAGCTATATCCTAAGCAGAAGTGTAAGTATATTTCAATTCCACCTTTATCCTATATCAAATCTATATACTTGAGCCTGTCTGGGAGGCTACATAAGAATCATGCTGCTTTAATAATAAACCTTTCTTCCTAGCAATGTAAGTCACCCCTCAATCTTCCAAAATTTCTTCATCCCTTTATTAAGCTTCCCAGGTGACTTTAGAATTATATTCTCTAGTTAAAAAAATGCTTTTGACATTTTTATTAGAATTGAAGTGGTTGAATTCTTGAGTTATGCCATTCAAGAATGGGTATGCCCTATCATTTATTCCAGTCTTCTTTCAAATCCCTCAATAAAGTTTTACAGTTCTATTTCTATGGGTCCTGCCTACTTATGTAAGTTTGTTCCTAGATATTTTATATTTTAGTTTCTATTTTTAATACTTTTTAAAAATTATCTTTTCTTTTGAGTTGTTGATTTTGAAAGATAAGCTTTAGCTGGGCACAGTGGCATGTGCCTGTAGTCCTAGCTACTTGGGAAGCTGAGGTGAAGGGTTTGAGCCCCAGAGCTTGAGCCTGGGCAACAGAAACAGTGAGACCCCTGTCTCTTAAATAAGTGTGTGTGTGTGTGTGTGTGTGTGTGTGTGTGTGTGTGTGTGTGTGTGTGTATGGCATATTGATTTTGTAACCAACTGCCTTATTGAACTCTACTTACTTCAAATATTTTTTCTGTTTACTTTATTAGATTGCTAGATAGGCAATTATATGTAAATAATAATTTGCCTCCTCCTTTCCAAAGATTTTTCTCTTATTTCATTTGTTTTACTGTTTTGGCTAAACTTTCAGAAAATATTAAATGATCATGGATAGTCGGCATACTTGTCTTATACCTGAACTTAGCAGGAAACACCAGAGCTTCACTTTAAGTATGGTGATACCTGTGGCAAAAACAATAAATCAGCTTATTCAACAATTCCCTTCTCTTGCATTTGAGAAAGAAAAGAAAAGAGCAGCCCTTGACATTCAGAAGCTGGCCAGGCACTCACAGCTAGGCCATGCTGCCCTCTGTTGGACATAAACCATGTCACAGAATATCAAAGCCAGACAAAGTTACTCTGGGATCATGATTCAATGAAATAAGGCGAGTCCACACCATCATTTTGCTGAAGCTCAGAAAAAAATAAGTTCACTGTGCCCCTCACAAAATACCAAACATTCCTCTCTTGTGGCCAAAATGAGTAACTGTTAACTCTTTACCACTTACCCCTTTTTTTCACTCATTTACCCTCCTTGATAAAACTTGAGATAATCATATAATTGCACCTGCTTTCTAACAGCATCCAATTTAGAAAAAAATACCTGCTTTCTTAGCCCCTCCACAAATCACCCAACCAATGCCCAAATCCTATAATAGGTTCTAACACCTCTTATTGAGACACCCCATAGCTCCCCATGGTGTGTTTTCCCTCGCTGCAACAAGTAATAAACCCAACTTGTTCAACTAGAGTTGTATTTGTGGTGGTCTCTGACTGGAGGACATTGGCATGCTTTAGAAACCAGAAAACTAAAAAGTACATTTCTGTACTTACAACTAAGGTTCATTCATATAATATATGCCAGTCATTTATGCCCACACTGATTCAGAGATGGAAGAGAACAATGTGAGGAGGTGGTCACAGAGTAGGAGATTACAGATTCTATTATACCCAGACAGTACACAGGCATCTGGCCCTTTAGGAGCAGCTATGATGGAATCCTAGTCTTTCCACTAGAACAGCCCTATTGTAAGGAGGTATGGTTTTCTTCCTATGTCATCTGATTGCATTGTTCCTGGCTATGTAGCTTTAAAATCTAGTTCTTGGGCCACTTAGAAATTATTTGAGTGATCCAATACTCTTTTAATAATTTATTTTTGCTTACATTAGTCTTACAAGATGATGGAATGGGATGCTTGCTGCTTTAGCATGGTGTCTCCGACTGAGTTACCACTACAATAGGTGTCAGGATGCCAAAATGATTGTGAGAGCATCACTTCCAACTCCCAGATCTTACTCATCTTTCAGCCAATTCTAACCCACAACCCTACAGAGAAGAGGATTCTGAGAAATGTACTTCCAGGTTGGCTACGATACAGCACATTCCTACAAAGGATTCTTTTTTTTTTTTTTTTAACTACATAGGATTCTCAATCTTCTCTGTATGCCCTTTTCCCACATTGAATTTTTTCATTTGTATTTGATTGAATTCATAGGTCACGTCCACTTTAATGATCCTTTTTCCCCCAAAGAACCAAGAGTTAGGAGTGTTCAATTATCAAGTAGCTTGAATTATATTTAAACTTTTTTTAAAAAGGAACAAATTTCTAGTTTTAAGGCAGTATGATTTTAAAAAGTTATTTATATAGTTTCTATTTGAAAGAATCTATTAAGGTTCCTTTATGATAACCCTAGAATCAATTTCATAAATTTTTACAGCCATTTAAAAAGAATAGGTATTTTCTGTAGGGTACAAAGTTTGAAATATTTATCACACCTATTACTGTGTAACAAACTACCTCAAATCTCAATGGCTTAAACAATAAGCAGTTACTATTGTTCATGACTCTGTAAGTCAGTTTATAGTGGGTTTTCTCATCTCAACTGGGCTCATTCATGCTTCTATAGTCAGTTTTTCATGGGGTAGGCAGCTCTGTTGATGTGGGCTGGGCTCACTCACATGTTTAGGAGTTGGCTGGCTGGCTCTCAGTGGGTGATTCATTGCTCTCTTCCATGTGGTCTCTAGTCCTGCAGCAGGTTAGCTTAGGTTTGTTGACATGGCAGAAGCAAAGGTCCAGGAAAAAAAGAGGAAGCAAACAAGACCTCTGAGGCCTAGACTGAAAACTGGAAAACTCTCACTTCTGCTACTTTCTGTTGGCCAAAGAAGTCACAAAGCCAGCCCAGATTCAAAGACTCCACCTCTTAATAAGAGGAGATACAAAGTCACATTGCAAAGAGCATCAATATATGAAAAGAGTAAAGAACTGTGACCATTTAGATAAACAGTCAAATAGAAAAACCATTTAAATCAGTATTTCTTATATTGGGGTCCACTGTGGACACATGCAATTTACAAATGCTCTTCAGAAGACTTGTACATTTTCTCAAATTGACTGCATGTGTAAACAACCTTTTTAGGGTCATTTAACTTCTTCCTTAAATTGCACTTTGAAATTAATATTGCCATTCCTTCCTTTCCAAAGTAGAATTTGTATGAGCCTCCTTGGGCCATATGTGAAAATAATCATTCAAGTCCCTATTGGATATTTTTAAAAATTTTATTTTAGTGCACAAGTATAATTCATCTACCAATATTTCCTTGCTTTCATTCAAAGTATTTGTAATAGGCTGGTGCAGTGGCTCACACCTATAATCCCGGCACTTTGGGAGGCCGAGGTGGGAGGATCACTTGAGCCCAGGAGTTTGAGACCAGCCAGGGCAACATGGCAAAACCCCATCTCTACAAAAATACAAAAACTAGCCATGTGTGGTGGTGCACACCTATTCTCCCAGCTACTTGGGAGACTGAGGTGGGAGGATCACCTGAGCCTGGGAGGCTGAGGCTAAACTGAGCCATGATCGTGTCACTGCACTCCAGCCTGGGCAACAGATCAAGACCCTGTCTCTAAAATAGTAAGAATAAAATAAAATCCCTTAAGTTGACATTTTGATATCATAGCTTTTTACTGAACCATGTATTTGTTTTTACCCTTTCTCCTGACTGTATCTCTTTAAGTAAACCCCCAAAGAAGCAGTAACTATTTTTCAGAGCCCCCTGTCCCTCTGAATCCACAATAAATACTTTCAATGATAGATGTACAGTTGTCTTTCCCATCAGTCAGCTCTTTCAGGCAGGGGCCATATTTACTATGTTCACTGCCTGTATCTTCAGTACCATGTATATAATAGTTGCCCAATAAATTAGAGTTGAAAAAACAAAAGCTGACCTTTTTTTTTTTTAATCTATCATGATTACTTTTTGAGAAGAGAGATGGGGTAGTGACCGGGGGTGCAGGTAGGGGCTTCAGGGTTGCTATTTATGTTCTATTTCTTGTCTTAATGGGGGTTATTTGTACATGTTCATCAGCTGATCATAATTTGTGCTGTATACTTGCAATTGGTGTACTTTCTGAATGTGCTACACTCAAATGATGAAAATTTGGGTCTACAGTAATTCTTTGGAAAAGAAGGAAAGTACAAGCATTCAGAGATTGCCATTAAAGAATAACAGATAATGGCTTCTGAATGTATTAGTCCATTTTCACACCACTATAAAGAATACCCAAGATTGGGTAATTTATAAAGAAAAGACATTTAATTGTGTCAAAGTTCTGCATGGCTGGGGAGGCCTCAGGAAACTTACAATCATGGCAGAGGGTGAAGTAGGCACATTTTACATGGCAGCAGGCAAGACAGCGAGTGAAGAGGGAACTTTCAAACACTTATAAAACCATCAGATCTCATGAGAACCCACTCACTATCACGAGAACAGCATGGGGTACACCACACCCATCATCAATCACCTCCCTCCGTCACTAGGTGGGGATTACAGGTCCCTCCCTGGACACATGGGGATTACAATTTGAGATAAGATTGGGTGGGAACACAGAGCCAAACCATATCACTGAACATGCAAAGTGAAACTTCAGGTGGGGACCACAATGTTCATGGATGTTAGAAAGTACACTCTTAGCCACGAAAACTAGCCGGATGTCACAATGGGAAAGATTCATTGAGATAATGTATATATAGTGCTTAAAATAGTACCAGATACAGTCAGTGACACAGGTTAGCTATTATTACTTTTTGTAACGTACTGGAAGCAGTTCCAAATGAAGGCTTAACCTGGGAAGGAAATTTTCTTCATTACAATCCTACTTTTTCCTTACCACTTTCAAAATAGCTTTTACAGCCTGACTGAAGCAGTGCCTTCACTTACATAATTTATATTTATGATGTCCATGGCACCACCTGGCTTTAGTCACACCCAAGGAAGTCACAACTCCAAGAGCAATCGTGGAGCATCCCCACCACATGAGAGCACAGTGACCTGGTGTGATAATTCTCCAACATGCAAATCACTGGGGCATTTATTAAAACTGCAGGTTCCATGGTCTCCCACACCAAAGCTTCTGATTCACTTAGTCTGAGAGTAGAGCCCAGGAATTTGCATTTTTAAACAAATTCTTCAAGTGATTCTAAAAAAGGTTTTCTACAGAGAACATTGAGTCTCTTGTTTCATAAATGAATGAAATGGAGGCCAGCAAGGGAAGAGACCTATCCAGTCTTCTTTCTGGCTAATGAGAATGCACAGACTAGAATGAAGGTTACCTTTTAATATTCCAGTGTTATTTCCCTGACTCCATGCTACAACAGCTTAGGACCCAGAATGAATCTGTCCTACACCTTGGTTTATTCCACTGACCCCTGATGTCTTTTTACCCATGCATTAGGTTAACTGGAGAGACACAAAAACCCAGCTGTATACTCAAAAGGTATGCAGAACCAGCTACTTTAGAAACCTTTCAATCATAGCCCCAATATTTACATGCTGTGTGACTTGTGATAGTTATTTGAATTCTGTGTGCTTCGGTTTATTCCTTTGTAAAGTGGTAAAACAAAAGCTACATTTTCAGGATGTTGTGAAGAATTATGTAAAATACTAGCACAGAGCTTGCAAATAACAAGTTCCCAGTAAACAGTAACTATTATTAATGCCATCTTAAAACATGGCAATAAAACTACATTTTTTCATTCTCCTAAAGCCGTATTCTCAAAGCGTAGTCCCCTACAACAGAATTACCTGGAAGTGTTTGTTTAAAACATAGATTTCTGAAACCAGCCCCCCATAAGACCTAGTGAATTGAATCATTGGGGTGGGGCCCAGAAGTCTGCATTAACAAGCAAGCATCCTCGATTCTTCTTTTGCATGCAAAAGTTGGACTAGGGCTGTAGACAAAGAGTACTTCTTCTTAATGAAGACGTGTATGAATGAGAGGGAAGCAGTGTTGAACACTCTAATTTGAAACTAACAATTTTCTGCTAATAAAAGGTTGAGTGCCACCTACTGCCCCATTTTAGAATGCAATGCTGAGATTGGTTCAATTCCTCTCTCAGTAATTGAATTTACCCTGAAAAATAAATCAATCCTAAACAAGATATCCAAACAATATAAAGCACTGTTGGAAGAAGAAATAAAAACAGGCTTTGCTTAACCAAAAGAAAATTTTCAAAGTTAAAGGTTTTTGGAGTTTTAGATTCGTATATCTAATAAACTCCTGTAGTTTCGAGTTACTGCTAAAACAGTAAAGGAAAATATAATTTTTGACTCACTGGCCTGTGCCAACAGTGAAAGGAAAAACGGTACCACTGAACACCCTAAAATACTGTAATGAAACAACATGCAGCCACTCTAACTTCCCATGGTCCCAAGAGAAAATTAAGTGAAATAAAAGCAATTTTCTTACCTCATAACACTGTATTCAAGTCCAGTATCAAAACAGCCACCTGCAGGACACTAGTTGGAAAGTTAACATTCCCTTTCAAAGTTACTCCAAAAGCCTTTTGAAATATAGTCTGTTACTATGTTTAAAGCTGATTTCCCCTTCCAAGTCGCAAATGCATACAAATATGCCCAGAGGCTCAAAAGAAATGGGCAAAGCCTTATAAATATTCATTTACAACTAGCAGTTATACACTGTTTCAATAATTCAATGAGAAATCATAAAAAGCATTTGCCTTCAATTTTTGTTTATTTTTAGAAAATAAATGGCAAAATATATACACTGTGGAGTCTGAATCTCCTCATCATAGAGTGTGAACGATGGTCCGGCTGCGAAGCTGCTGAATATACTCTTTGGCATGGGCAACTGCCGTCTTTGGTGGCTCAGGTGGAGGTGGGGGCCCTTCCACCAACTTCACAAAATAATGGCAATAAACCTTCTCCATGATCCCAAAGCGACCTCTGCCATGGTAGCGGATGCGTTTCAGGCACTGGCCTCGTCCTGAGGTGGACTCAGCTAAACAGGAAGAAAAAGAGAATTACAGGAAATGAGTGTTATCCACAAGCCTGATCAGCTGAGCAATTTCTGTCCTTTCCTTGACTGGATTCTGAGATTACATGGGCTCACTGGTTGGCTAGAGCAGGCTTGTCTCAAAACAACTATCTCCTGAATGCTAACTAAGGACCAGGCACTATTCTAGTGTTGGAGAAGTAAGAGTGCACAAGACTGGCAAGGCCCCTGCCTCCAAGCAGTTTACATTCTGGAGAAGAAAGACGTAAAATAAAATGATAATTTCAGCTAGTGACAAGTGCTGTGAATAAATCAGAATGAGATGACAGACAATGATGGGGTGTAAGGGACTTCAGACTGGGAGTGTCAAGAGGCATCCCTGAGAAAGAGACATTTGATCTAAGAGCAGAATGAATCATCTATTTGAATATCTAGGGACAGGGTATTCCAGGCAGAGGAAACAGCAAGTGCAAAGGCCCAATGGTGGGAATGCACTCGGCTTGTTTTAGGAAAAGAAAGAAGACTACCATGCTGAAGCATAGTAAGCAAGGGGAAGAGAAGCACAAACAAGGAAAAGAGATTAGAGATAAAGCTAGGGCAAGATTACACAAGGTCCTGTAGGCTCAGGCAAGGAGTTTTTTATTTTATTCTAATTGTGATGAGAAGCCACTGGAGTCAATGGCTCCCAAATGCTGGTTCTCTGACAAGCTACATCAGACTAACCTAGGGAATGTAATTAAAATGCAGATGCTGAGACCTCACCTCTGTGGATTCTAATTCAGTATATCTGGGGTGGGCCTTGGAAATTACATCCTGGGCAAACACCCGTACCCCAACTCTCCCCAGAAATTCTGACTGACAGCCAGTTTTAGGAACTCTGGCACAACGGCCCCTTCAGCTCCCCTCCCCCATTCTGTATATCAAAATTTGACCTTGAAAGTGTAAAGAAATCTTTTAAATAGCATGTAAGGGCCAGGCGCGGTGGCTCACACCTGTAATCTCAGCACTTTGGGAGGCCAAGGCGGGCGGATCACCACAAGGTCAGGAGTTTAACCTTGGCCAACATAGTGAAACCCCATCTCCATTAAAAATACAAAAAATTAGCCAGTTGTGGTGGTGGGCACCTGTAATCCTAGCTACTTGGGAGGCTGAGGCAAGAGAATCGCTTGAACCCGAGAGGCAGAGGTTGCAGCGAGCCAAGATCCACCACTGCACACCAGCCCGGGTGACAGTGCAAGACTCCATCTCAAAAAAAAAAAAAAAATAGTACATAAGAAGAACTGTTCACCTGTTCACCCACAATAAGTCAGAGTAGTAGCCATCTACCTTCTACTATTTTCTGAATGTATTTAGTCAGCTACTTGTTTAGTTAATAAGCCTTTTAAAAAGGTAAAATCTACAGAATACATATCAAATTATCCATTTCAACACTCATCATTCTTATACACTTACTGTGACATACTTTATAAATATAGGGACTATACCAAAGTATGCACTTGACAACTCTCTAACTACGATATCCTCTAGTGAAGTGGGTTTCAGCAGAAGCTTCCTAGCTTTGCCAAAGAGAAAGCCAAGAATGAAAGTGAAAACTGCCTAGGGTCTAAGTGAGATAGGGAAAGACCTACTGCCCTTTTATTAACTTCATTTAGTGGGCACTGAAAAAATGAGTTTACAAATTTCCAGAGAAAGCAGCATTACACAAATCACTTTATAAGGAAACCCCATCACGGCGCGTCCCCTGGATCAACCTGTCTAGAGGAAACCTACAAATAAGAACAGTGAGACCAGAAAACTTCTAAAAAGCATTTTACAAATGTGATAGCTGCTTCTATCCAAAATCATTTCTCTATCCAACTTGAGCACCAATTTCCAAATACTCAATGGATCACTAGATCACAATGATCAACCCCATCACGGTCTACGTCGGCTCCCATTTCCCTTCTATCTCCCCCAAAACACAAACTTACAGAGATCTGCACAAAAGCAGAAGCTCAATGCCTGCTAACTGTCAGTCATGATTTCATCTTAAAGCCATAAAAGATCATCTGCATATCTTAAAGCCATGATGCCATCATTTCTTTATGTCAAAACAAAAACATTAATTTTTCTGAAACATCCTAAGATTCTTTAATACACCGTAATGGGAATACCCAACACAGCCACCCTGAGGTGTAAATGAAATCAGGACTTAGAACATAGTTGCCAAACTGTTTCCTGGTTCCTCTCCTCCAATCTCTCCTCCACTAAGTCCATATTTAGGGGTTTCAAACTGCTTTTGTATATGGAATCATTTCAAGTAAAATGAAACAATATGTAGAAGCCTGATATATATAACACTGTAATGCTGATCTGCTCCTATTGAAACGTGGGTCAAGGAAGACCCAAAACTCTGCCATTCATTCACTCAACAAACATTTTTTAGTTCCTCCTGGGTACCAGGCTCTGTCCTGGGCTCCAAGGATATAGTGGTGACCAAGATATCAAGGGTCCCACTGCTAAACACCCCACAGAGCACAATTTCAAAACTACCGCTTATTGTTAATACTTTTAAAACACTATCTTAATAACATAAATCTCTTACCCAAACCTCTTTGATATAGTTTGAACCAAATACACAGCCTGCCATGTTCAGTTCTCTGGAATATAGGCCCAATCTACCCTTCCCATTTTATCTACTCGAGGTCAAACTTCTACTTCCTTCACACTGTTCTCCTCATTGTACTACACTATTACTGCTTATTCCAACCTATGTGCCTCTGCATGTATGGCCACCCCACTTTAAAAATCTGCTCTTCTCCTGGAAGAGCATTCCTCCAGACTCCCAAAAGCCTATCTTCACATGCCAATTTTTTCTAGAAAGTCTCCACGACTATTCTAACCCATATTGACCTTTTCTTCTCTACTCCAACAATACCATTTGTCTGTATTACTCTTTTTGGTCCCAAATCATATGCTGTCTTTATAAGCATCTGTGTTTCATCTGTAAAAGTCACCTCCTCAACCAAACTTATACCCTTTTTGTATTGCCCCAAAAGTTCATGATCCATAGAAACAGAAATAATTTTGAAATACATCATCTGCTACTTAATATCATTTTTTCAATACAGAGGTCTCTGGTAAATCTGCTCAAATTCTGAAATAAGTTTCAAAGTTTTTCAAGTACATATAATATTAATGGTATACACAGTATTATTATACTTCAGAAGAACAATGTATGCATTCTTCCAAAGAAATACTACTGTCAAAGAACTACAAGTGTTAAATGTTTTAAAATGACACAAAAGATATAACATCACCTATTTAATGTGGATAGTATGCACACAGAAAGTACTCAAATACTTTTTGAATGAAAGAATACATTAAGATATCTCAAAAATGAAGACAACCTGTGTTTTTCTATAGATAATACCCAATAGGTGTAATGAATTTAAAATATTGCCAATATTTTCAGGGCAGGCACAGTGGCTCACGCCTGTAATCCCAAAATCTTGGGAGGCCGAGGCAGGTGGATCACCTGAGGTCAGGAGTTCGAGACCAGCCTGGCCAACATAGTGAAACCTCATCTCTACTAAAAATACAAAAATTAGCTGGGTGTGGTGATGCATGCCTGTAGTCCCAGCTACTCGGGAGGCTGAGGCACAAGAATTGCTTCAACCCTGGAGGCAGAGGTTGCAGTGAGCTGAGATCGCACCACTACACTCTAGCCTGGGTGCAGAGTGAGACTCCGTCTCAAAATAAATAAATAAGTAAGTAAATATATATACACACAGCAAATATTTCCTATTAGTAGTATTTAGGTAAATACAAATCTTGAAATTGTAACATTAGAAGCCCTCCGCTCCCACCTTCATCACTCTCAGCCAATAAGATTGATGTACAAGGTCAGTTGATCACTTTCCCTAAAGTGATTCACTTTAGATGCCATGAATCACTAAGCAGAGACATTTTATTAGTCCCTGTCCACTTGTTAAGGCCTATTCACAGTATCATTAGTCATCACTATAAGTTTGAAAGGGAAGTGAACTTTCTAAATCTGTGGTCATGCAACACCAGGTATTAGCTTTACACCAATGACAGGCATTTGAAAGAGTTACCATATAATGAGAACATATGCTATCAAAAAAGCACTTCCTTTAAAATGCCTATACTTATTTCAGGGTACTGAAAGAACCATTGCTGAACCAAAATAGTAGCCAATAAGTAACTAGTTTTTCAAAACTCTAACAGAAGTCTATGGAATGAAATGTCTAGGCCTTTTCCAAGAACACAGTAAGATAAATCAGTTTCCCATATTTTATGGTTAAGAATCAATAGTTTATTAAACAACTGATTATTATTAACTTGTTTATTAAATAAACAGCTTCCTAGGCCTCTCCACTGGGGTTTCAAGTCCAGTGGGTCTGTGCCGAGGCCTGGGAATCTATATTTTAAATAACAACCTCAAGATGATTCTTAAGAAGCAGCTTGGCAAATACAGGGATAAAATGTCTGACACATCATACTCTTCCTGAGGGAACTCATCTCTTTTGATTATGGAATTAGGCATCAAAATACTTAGTGAATGAAAAATTTTAAAAATCATAATGTAAATCCAAATTTATTAGCCTTACTTAAGTCATCAACACAGAAGTAGATGAAAAGACAGTACAGGTAAGGCAGAGATTTTTCAGCAGAAATGTGCAAAAGAACTCTGGATTAAAGGGTCAGACAATGTGGCTTATGCCCGTAATCCTAACACTTTGGGAGGCTGAGGCAGTAGGACTGCTTGAAGCCAGGAGTTCAAGACCAGCATAGGCATCTAAGCGAGACCTCTGTCTCTACAAAAAATTTTAAAATTAGCTAAGTGTGCTCGTACGTGCCTCTAGTCCCAGCTACTCAGGAGGCTGGGGCAGGAAGATGACTTGAGACCAGGAGTTCAAAGCTGCAGTGAGCTGTGATCACACCACTGCACTCCAGCCTGAGTGACAGAGCAAGTCCTCATCTCCAAAAATAAAAAAAGATAAAATAAAGGGTCATTTATGTAGGATTGGTTAAGCATGTTTTTGCTTAATGGCAACAGTGGACCCTGCTCCTTCATTTGGAGCAACAGGATTAAGCTCTTTATCCTATCTCTCTTTACTATAATTATTGAAAAGGATTTAAAGACAGTTATTGAAAAAGGCTTAAAGACAAATCATATTTCATTTGTATCTGAAGTCCATTAGAAAGTCTATCAGCTACGAATCTCACATCCCTGTGAAACTGCATAAAATTAATTAAATTTGATTTGATATTCAGAGTCACAGAGCAGGAAGAATCACCAAGAGGTTTTAAGCAAATGGTCTTGCTCCTCATCCCTTCCAATGGTTCCAAGACCTCTCCAACATTATTTATTCATAATGCTCCCAGAAGAAAATGCTTATGATTAACTACCATGGCCCTGCATCTTGGGTTGCCATTTTGATTTCCCTTTGCATCTTTGCATGTATCAAAATAAAATTATACAAGATTCAGCTTTAAAATAAAGCATTTCAACTGAAAATCAACTAATTTGAATTTCAGGAGGTGTGGTGGCCAACATCAATGCCAGGTGAGTTGAACTGAGATTTTAACCTAATCAGCACAGAGGCTATGTGAAAAAGTAGAATTTAGATAATTTTTTTTTTACTCTAATTGTTGAAAAATTATAAAATACAACTAATTCCCCCTGTATTGATTCAGCCCTTTCTCCTCCATCTGGAGAGTAGATGTTCCCCATATCTTGAATTTAAAATAGCTTTAAGTAAAATAATCTTTATATGTTGGTATGGCAGATTGAGAAAACTTTGCTTCAACATCAACATCTTTGTTTGAATATAAAACTGCTGAGGTTAGGAGTAATTGCTGTAGTGAGAAAAAAATAATAACTCCAACCACTGCTCCACTTTCCCATGGTGTTGGGAGGAGGCAAGAGAGCTTTGTAATAAACATTAATCTCCTTCTCAGAAAATAACTGTGTGACGGTCTGCAGCAAAAAGATTCCTTACATTTGTACAGCACATCATGCTTCCCAAAGCATTTTAACTTATATTAATTTAATTTGATGTGGAACAAGCATGTAAAAGCAGAGCTAATGCTTCAGGATGTAGTAACAAAGTGGAACAAACACATCTGGGTCATCTGAGCCTTCCAAGGCCCCTTGGCTTTTACAATTCAACAGACCTTCCATTTTGATAACTGTAAGGTTAAATTACAGGACACCTTTATGGATTAGGCATCTGGCTTGGCACATTATAAATAAAAATTTTTTAAATGCACCTGTGATTATTTACCTCCTTCTGGTTGACAAACAACTTTAAAAATGTGTTAATACTATTTGTTATAATATTACAATTAAAGTACCACTCTATGTACCCCAGTCTTGGTATCTATTATTTAATAATTATTAGCAATTGGCTTTATGATCTCAGTCTCACTACAGAACAGGTAAAACAGTACAGTTATTGTCATTTACACTAAATTAAAATTGGCATGCATACAGCTGAAGAATAAGCCATTACTAGCAATTTTCACTGACAAACCAAGTCCTGAGGAGTTAGATATTAAAGACTGTTGTTAGATAAAAAACATGGCATTACTACTGAAGACATTTTCTAATGCTAAGAATATTAAAAATCTTACCTATATATAAATTGGACCTGAATTCCACGTTATGGTCTCTCACTGCCATATCTTGTGCTTCTAAGAGAACCTTAAATAAGAAAAAGAAAAGCATTTATACGGCTAAACCTGAAGTAAAATGGAATTAAGTTTCTCATCTCTCATTATCTCTGTACTATGACTGCTAATCACATGCTTCCATAGTCAATTTTAAAAAGACAATATCAAATGATAAGAGTACAAAGGAGAAGGGAGCTTTCCTGCCTTAGACCAAGAAGTGTAAATGCATAGAACACAGCCCATCCTACTAAGTTTTAAATGACATGTGTAAGCTATAAAGGAGATAGCGGTGCTTGTAAGCAGTACCCTTGGGAAGGAACATTATGTCTTTGAGTCAGAAACTTGTCAAAAAGTTCCCAAGGCCAGATGCAGTGGTTCACATGTCCATGGTCCCAGTACTTCGGGAGGCCAAGATGGGATGGGCAGACCACATGAGGCCAGGAGTTTGAGACCAGCCTGGCAAACATGTCAAAACCCCGCCTCTACTAAAAACACAAAAATCAGCCAGGTGTGGTAACACATACCTCTAATCCTAGCTATGTGGAAGGCTGAGGCTGGAGGATCACTTGAACCCAGGAGGTGGAGGCTGCAGTGAGCCAAGATTGTACCACTGCACTCCAGCCTGGGCAACAGAGACCCTATCTTAAAAAACAAACACGAAGTTCATGAAACTCAATAGCTTAATCTTACTGAAAAGTCTTAGCTGGGATGGTGGCTCATGCTTATAATCCCAGCACTTTGGGAGGCTGAGGCAGGAGGATCCCTTGAGGCCAGGAGTTCGAGACCAGCCCATCTCTACAAAAGTGAAAAATTTGCTGGACGTGGTGGCACACACCTGCAGTTCCAGCTATTTGGGAAGCTGAAGGACGAAAATCCCTTGAGCTCAGGAAGTTAAAGCTGCAGTGAGCTGTGATCATGCCACTATACTCCAGCCCTGGGCAATGGAGTGACACCCTGCCTCTAAAAAAACAAAAATCTAATTAAAAACTAGAATAAAATAAAAATTCTTAAACTTTGGATGCAAATAACCATTAACATCAGACAAGTAGAGAAAATCACACTTGATATAATAATTTCCTTGAAGAGGTTAATTATCAAATTTACTCTCCATAGATATTTTGAATTAACTTCCTCCAGAACACATTTTTGTAAAAATATGACAATTGGGCCAGGCATAGT
This sequence comes from Homo sapiens, assembly GCF_000001405.40. NCBI lineage: Eukaryota > Metazoa > Chordata > Mammalia > Primates > Hominidae > Homo > Homo sapiens. Next base: position 154,958,831 of record NC_000005.10, on the reverse strand, counting down.
GGCTCTCGCCTGTAATCCCAGCACTTTGGCAGGCCGAGGTGGGCAGATCATGAGGTCAAGAGATTGAGACCATCCTGGCCAACATGGTGAAATCCCATCTCTACTAAAAATACAAAAATATTAGCTGGACGTGGTGGCACACATCTGTAGTCCCAGCTACTCGGTAGGCTGAGGTAGTAGAATCGCTTGAACCCAGGAGGTGGAGTTTACAGTGAGCGGAGATGGCGCCACTGTACTCCAGCCTGGGCGACAGGGCGAGGCTCCATCTCAAAAAAAAAAAAAAAAAAAAAAAAGACAATTGTCAGAAATAACAGAAACCAAATCTTTCACGCCTTAAAAGATAAAGAATGTAGTACAAGGCTGGGTACACAACAAACACTTGTAAATGCATTCTGAATTGAATATAGCAAAATCAAAGCATTACAAAGGAACCCTTTAGAAGTCTGAATCTATCAATCTCAACTATTTACCTATTACTACTAAACTGAAAGGTATGAACTGACTTTTGGTGAGAATTAACTGAATATATAGAAAACAATGCTGATAGCCCCAGATGGTAACGGACAATAATCAATACAACTTTTTGAAAAAAGAATATTAAAAAAGAAAAATAGGCCAGGCGCGGTGGCTCACGCCTGTAATCCCAGCACTTTGGGAGGCTGAGGTGGGCGGATCGCCTGAGGTCAGGAGTTCAAGACCAGCCTGGCCAATATGGTGAAATCCCATCTCTACTAAAAATACAAAAATATTAGCCGCGTATGGTGGCGCGCAGCTGTAGTCCCAGCTACTCGGGAGGCTGAGGCAGAAGAATCGCTTGAACGCAGGAGGCGGAGACTGCAGTGAGCCAAGATGGCGCCACTGCACCCCAGCCTGTGCAACAGAGCTAGACTCCGTCTCAAAAAAAAAAAAAAAAAAAAGAAAAATATATGTAATAAAAAAAGAATATTCATGTTCCTAGAAAGAGTCACCACAATTACCATCAGCACATTTGTATCTAGTGAATTAGCTACATTTAGAGTTGGAAGGATCTTTAGGGGTCATCTAATCCAATTCCACATAGTTTAGGTGAGAAAAATAGAAACTGACTGGTTAAGTGTCTTGCCCACGGTCACAAGAAAAAGATCAGAGAAAGGACTAGAGTCCAAGTCTCTTGAGTTCCAGTCCAGGGCTCTTTCCATTTAGTTACAAAATTACTTAGTTATAAAAACTCTCCTTTATAGGAAAAAAAAAATCTTCAAAAAAATATACCTTGAAGTTCAGCCTTGCTCCAAGAAATAAATTATATACACAAACACACATACATACACACAAATACACACATATACGTACCAAGCCCCAAATCATTAAAAATAAGATTCATCACATCATAAGCAGTAAAAAACAGATAAATATTTGGTGGAAATAAAAGCACCTCAGGAAATAAACCCTAAAGCACACAACATTCCTAAAGTATACACATATTTAATAAACTGAGAACCCTAAATCTGTATTATATAAAGTATGCATTTACAACAGAAAATTTAGGGAATTCATGATTTAGGCTAAGCTTACTAATAATTGCAAGACAGCTGCATTCCCCAGTTCCCCATTCCCTACCACACCCAAACTTGTAAGTTTACCTCTTTAATTATTTTGGCCCCTTTTTTGTCATTGAATTCCAACTGAGCCAAAGCCTGGTCAATAGACATTCCTCGTATCTAGAATTAAAGGGTGAGAGACAAAAGAAAATAAATTAGTTTACAAAGTCAATGTTTCCTTTTCAATGAAAGTCTTACATAATTTGAGTAACTTCTAAAAACAGTGAATTGAACCCAAATAAAAGAGAAGAAAACAAGTTTGAGAGGAGACACTATTCTCTTTCAGTCAAAATGAAACAAACATTTTAACCATAAAACTGAGATTATAATAGTTTCAATAACATTAAAAGACAGCAAACATGACAGAGAGACCACAGGTTGGTAACAACCACACTAGGCATTCAAGGCATCTCCTTCTCCTATAGGATAAATGTATTACATGTATATTTGCTGCTTCAGTCTCCCCTCATCTATAAATTTCATTTCCTAGGGAAAAAAACTTAAAAGCAACAGTTTTAAAACAGGTTGAATCAAGTTTACAGATAAATAGGTGGGTTTCCTGGATTCTCTGGTTATAGCCAAACTCCTGATGCCTTTTAGTATCTATCTATCCAATGTGATTTAGTTTCTCAGAAAAAGGTGAAAATTAAGGAAAATCATACATCTCTGAACAATCATTCTTTTGACAACCTACCAATTATATCACATTCCTCACAAATCTTTTTTATTTTTCAAATCCTGGGGTGAGGGGTGGGGAGGGGAACTCATAGCTTCTTTCCTAAATTATTAATTATATGGTAATAGTCATTGCAGCTTACCAATTTTGCCAAATACCACATCTTGTCTTTGCTATATTTTATTTGTCTTCGACAGTGGTAGATTTCCTTACAAATTGGAAAAAAAAGGACAGAAAGAAAATGTTAGCAGGTTTACCACAAAATGACAATAACATATACTGTTATTTAAGTTTTTACTTTCTAGGCCTAAAGAAAATGCTGCCATAAGAAATAGAAACATTACTAAGAATTTAGAGATTATTTTCCCCTACACAAAGTTGTATTTTTCCAAAGTCTCACTATGTTAAAAGATTACTACGGGAGAAATAGAAACTATACAATGGCTGGTTTGTGTCAACACTTGCAACATTTCTATCCAAAGAAATCCTAAAAGATTTAAATGAAAGTATCTTTAAAACATTTAGCTGATTAAAAGAACAAAAGAAAAAGTACAAGAAAACGTTCATTATTAATGAGGAGAAAAATGGCAAAATGGACAAGTGTTTTCATGTGAAAAGCCAATATTCTAGGTGTTTGGCCAACAGCATAGGTTCTAGAATCAGACTGCCTGCCTGGATTTGAATCCTAACTCTGCCATTTACTAGCTACATAATCTTGAGCAAGCTACTTAACCTCTCTCTAATTTTCCTCTTCTGTAAAATAAATAAAACGATAATTAGAGGGAAATAAAGTAACCTATTTCAAGAAACCATTTTATAGTGCTTGGCACATGGTAACTTCTCAGTAAATGTTAGCTTTTATTATCTTCTATTTAAAGTTGTAGGTATGTCCTGTTTAATTACAATGTATAGTTCAAAAAGCACTTTTCACTCATTATTTCATTTAGTCTAACTCTATGAGTTGAGGGATGAAACATTTTACATATAAACTGAAAATCAGAGAAATCAAGTGACTTGTCTAAGACCAGAGGTTTGCAAGAGACAAAGTTGGAATTCAAAGAACAGAGAAGTATGATACACCTGATACAATGTCTAGCACATCTACTTTCAAAAGTTCCTCTATTGACTCTAAAACCCACTTTCTTTCCACTACTATACCAAACTGCCATTTAAAAAAAAATTAGAAAACATGTGTTATGGAAAACTATAGCAAGGAGGTCTCAAAACTTTCTAACATTCTGACTCCTGCTGGAAATTTTCAAATGCCTTAGAAAGAGCAGTTTTCTCAAGTGGCCATCTTTTAATATGTGGCAGATTTCAGTTGCAATAGAAGCAGACAGCCTGAAACTATAGCAATAGCCTAATTACATTTTCAGCAATAAAGTTTCTTGGGGAGACAGGGAGAGGAAAGAACTATCATGACTGATAATAATAATCTGCAAAAATTAATCCACTCAATGAAATCTTTCATATAGAAGAGACCCTTGGCCGGGAGCAGTGGCTCAGCCTGTAATCCCAGCACTTTGGGAGGCCGAGGCGGCCGGATCACAAGGTCAGGAGATCGAGACCATCCTGTGAATGGTGAAACCCCGTCTCTACTAAAAATACAAAAAAAAAAAATTAGCCGGGCATGGTGGCCGGCGCCTGTGGTCCCAGCTACCCGGGAGGCTGAGGCGGGAGAATGCCATGAACCCGGGAGGTGGAGCTTGTAGTGAGCTGAGATTGCGCCACTGCACTCCAGCCTGGGCGACAGAGCGAGACTCCGTCTCAAAAAAATAAAAATAAAAAAGAAGAGACCCTTTAATTTGTGCATTCTTGTGGTGGGATAATTTTAAACCTTAATTTTGTATGATTACCCTCAAATTTTACACATATAAACAATGGTAATCCTGACCAGAGGATGGCAAAAAGGAAGAAGTGTTTACAAGAAAGGCAAAAGTTAATCATCCTCTTCCAAAACTGAAAAAAAACCTCAGCATTTACTTTGGGCAGGTGAAATGTCTAAGGGCACTTTCTAAAGATAAACGAGACAAAGTCTCAGTACGTATCAAGCAAATAAAGTAACAAAGGTGGAGGTCAGAAGACCTAGTTATATATCTCTGCCATTAACTGACCTATACAGCAAATTAGATAAAGTGAGGATAGGATACGTAAAATAGTTATTCAAATGAAATAAATGTATGTCTAAATTATAAAATGTCTAAATCAATAACTTTTAAATAAATCAATTTATTTTTAAATGCATATAATAATTCAAATGAGGAAAAAGTGTTACCTAATAAAATTTCTGGCCAGGCGCTGTGGCTCATGCCTGTAATCCCAGCACTTTGGGAGGCCGAGGCAGGAAGATTGCTTGAGCCCCGGAGTTTGAGACCAGCCTGGGCAACATGACAAAAACTCGTCTCTACTAAAAATACAAAAATTAGCTGGGAGTGGTGGCACATACCTGTGGTCCCAGCTACTCAGGAGGCTGAGGTGGGAAGATCTCTTAAGCCCAGGAGGTCAAGGCTATAGTGAGCCATGACTGCACAACTGTGCTCTAGCCTGGGCAACAGAGTGAGACCCTGTCTCAAAAAAAAAAAAAAAAGTTTTAGGCCAGGTGCGGTGGCTCACATCTGTAATCCCAACACTTTGGGAGGCCAAGGTGGGTGGAACACTTGATGCCAGGAGTTGGAGACCAGCCCGGACCACACAGAGAAACCCCATCTCTACTAAAAATACAAAATTAGCCGGGCGTGGTGGCACACACCTGTAATCCCAGCTACTTGGGAGGCTGAGGCACAAGAATAGCTTGAGTCCAGGAGGTGGAGGCTGCAGTGAGCCGAGATCATGCTACTGCACTCCAGCCTGGGCAACAGAGCTAGACCCTGTCTCAAAAAAAAAAAAAAAAAAAAAAAGTTCTTACTAGAGCTTTATGAGATTCAGATTCACATTAAGGTATTATTATCAGTATGCTGACTAATCCATAAATTAAAAATACGTCTCATATAGAAACGGTTGTTGGGGGAGTGAAGAAAAAGAGGAAAAATAAGAAATGGTAGCTCAAAGAGTTTTGACCCAGTCTCATTACACTTTTCATTTATTTAACATAGCTTTTTTTCAAAGATACTGCAAAAGGAAACTGAAGCCCAAATTAACAAGGTGTGACTATCATAAAGAAAGCCATTTAATTTCTCTCTGGCTCATTTTCTTTTTTTTTTTTTTTTTTTTTTTTTTCTCCTGAGACGGAGTCTCGCTCTGTCACCCAGGCTGAAGTAGTGCAGTGGTGCGATCTCAGCTCACTGCAACCTCTGCCTCCCAGGTTCAAGTGATTCTCCTGCCTCAGCCTCCCAGTAGCTGGGACTACAGGTGTGCACCACCACACCCGGCTAATTTTTGTATTTTTAGTAGAAATGTGACTTCACCATATTGGCCAGCTGGGCTTGAACTCCTGACCTTGTGATATGCCCACCTCAGCCTCCCAAAGTGCTGGGATTACAGGCATGAACCACCACACCCAGCCTTCACTGTCTTCATATGAAGCCCCATATAAGATAAAATCTACATAAGAATCTATATTCTTTGGAAATTGGTGCTAGCTAAACTACGAAGTTAGTCTTAAAAATATGAGGAGTAGCCTAGAACAACTCTACATTGGTAACATTCATTTTTATTTACTGCTACGGGTTTTGCTCACTATCCCATCCACTGTTATTTATTGACTATATATTCTAATGCAGAAGATCAGAATTAGGTAGAATGGTAGATATTATCTGGCCCTCTTTTCAGCTAGAGATAAAACTAATTTTAATAATGGCTGCAGCTGGCAGATTGGAAATTCTAAGGGACATTGTATATTATAGCGCAGTATTATGAACTATATGGCCAGTGAATAAATTATTTCTGGTAAGTTAGGTATTTATGAAGGGTATCGGTATTCCCAGTCATAACAGGTACAACTGATGTACCAATATTAAATTACTAAATACTATTTAAAGTCAGAAAATGTTCATATTTCCCAGATGTCATAATTTGTCCCCCAAAGGATTACTGAAACAAAATCTGTGCAAAATAGAGAAATTAAGGTTTTCCAAAGTACCTATATCAAATCAAATTAAATGTCTTCCCACAGGCACTTGTATAAGAAGGATAAATGATACAAAAAAGTTAATCAAAATAGTTTCATTAAATATAACACACAACAAATTACTGTATTGATAGTGTTCATCATTTGCTAGAGTTAAGCAGATGACATACTACTAACTATTTGAATTTTGCCACTTGGGATATATCCTAAAGTACATTTTTTTAGTATCTAAAGATACTAAACAAAACAAACACATAACAAAATTGTGCTGTTATAGATTCTGGACTTGACAAATACTGTTGTAATTTATTTCCAATTAATACCTGATTTCAGGCCGGGCACGATGGCTCACGCCTGTAATCCCAGCACTTTGGGAGGCCGAGGCAGGCGGATCATGAGGTCAGGAGATCGAGACCATCCTGGCTAACACGATGAAACCCCGTCTCTACTAAAAATACAAAAAATTAGCCGGGATGGTGGCAGGCGCCTGTAGTCCCAGCTAGTCGGGAGGCTGAGACAGGAGAATGGCGTGAACCCGGGAGGCAGAGTTTGCAGTAAGCCAAGATTGCACCACTGCACTCCAGCCTGGGCGACAGAGGGAGACTCCATCTCAAAAAAAAAAAAAAAAAATACGTGATTTCAAAGAGCTCAGGTAAGAAGCAAAAAAAGTTCATTAGTTACAGAAAAATTTTTATTTATGATATTTGTGCAATTGTGTAACGTTTCATTTAGTCAATTTTGGTTAATTACAAAATGGAGACCAGCCTGGCCAACATGGTGAAACCCCATCTCTACTAAAAATACAAAAATTAGCTGGTCATCGTGGCGGGCACCTGTAATCCCAGCTACTCCGGAGGCTCAGGCAGAAGAATCCCTTGAACCCGGGAGGCGAAGGCTGCAGTGAGTCAAGATCGTGCCATTGCACTCCAGCTGGGTGACAGAGCAAGACTCTGTCTCAAAAATAATAATAATAATAAAATAAAATAAACAAAATGGAGTCAATACTTAATAGCCTATACTGACAAATCTTTCAAGTTGTGATGTCATGACAAAATATGAAAGTTGAAAAGTTATTTGTTTATTCTGTGCAGATAACGATAAGATAAATCTCCAGTAGGAACCCAATGATTAAGTTCAAACTTTAGGTTCAAATTGCAAAACAAACAAACAAACAAACAAACAAAAAACAGTGTGTCTATATTCAAATATATAACACTGGAAAATCATATACATAATTTAAACATTGGCCAATAGTTTAAGTCATTCTTGCCAACTCCACATGCTCCATCATTAAGAGCTCATCAGCAAGCCTCTCAGAGTCAAAAATCAGTATGTCTTAAACTATTAGCTTAGTTTTAGAGTTAAGGTCCCTATCCAGGAGGTTAAGTAAAGACAAATAAGTAAAGAATAACAATCTTTTTCAACTATTGAAGAGATAAATCTAGTACATCTTCTCTGTCAATTAGAGTGAATGGTTGTATAATTTTTTTAACACAGAATAATAAATCATTACTAATCACTTAAGAGTAAGAGCACTACCACAATTAAGAGATTAGTTCTACCCACGAACTTACTGCTGGTCTCCGAGGTTCTCCAGGCAGTTGTGGAGGATAAACAATTTTATTCTTCTTCTCCCATTTTCGAGAAATGTCAAGAGAAGCACTTGTGTGGATATATGATTGAGGTAAAACACTGTGAAATGAAAGAAGCCTATAAAACAACAGACACTTAGGGGACCTTTCTGTAGAGTTTACATATCTTTTGAACCACTTCAGCTCCATTTTGATGAAAACAATTTAAGGATCACAACTGGAAATATTCTAGAGGTATTCATTAATAGAGACTACTTTTAAACACAACAAAGAGACAGTTTATTAGAGGCTAACAGGAGAGAAAGTAAACGCACATAAGTCAAACCGTTAATAGATATTAACCCAAGATTTCTTGCCCTGACTGGCCAATAACACTGTCTTCTATAAGTCACCCACTCCTAAGAAAGATTTAGAGAAGACATAATGAGCTCTCTGATCTGACCTGTAAGATTGCCCAACTTTGTTGAGTAACTAAGACAAAAACACAAAACAATTAGAAGACAATATAAAACCACATAACTAAAATATGGGAAACAGCAGAGGATTTCAGAGGTGACTTCAGGTGAATCTTGAACTTCCTAATTGATATGGCTCGGCTCTGTGTCCCACCCAAATCTCATCTTCAATTGTAATCCATACATGTTGAGGGAGGGACCTGGTGGGAGGTGATTAGATCGCTGGGCAGTTTCCCCCATGCTGTTCTCGTGATAGTGAGGGAGTTCTCATGAGATCTGATGGTTTAAAAGTGGCAGTTTCCCTGCACTGTCTCTCTCTCCTGCTGCCTTGTGAAAAAGTTGCCTGCTTCCCCTTCACCTTCCCCTATGATTCTAAGTCTCCTGAGGCATCCCCAGCCACGCAGAACTGTGAGTCAATCAAACCTTGTTGGTTTATGAGTTACCCAGTCTCAGGTAGTATCTTTATAGCAGTGTGAAATGGACTAATACACTAATTATCAGAGGAATGGGGCAACGACATATATCATCTATGCAGAGGTACAGAGTTGAGAAATAAGGGGAGGTCTGACTGAGTCAGAGAATTTGTTAAGTATTGGAAAGGTCATTGAGGCTAGAGTGGTTGTCTTTGAATGCTAAACTAATAGGCTGAGACTTGATGATGAAGATCCCAAATTCACTATTCCTTGACCTCTTCCCCCACACTTTAACTGCTTTAATAATATACAACTAGTCATTCTCCCTCTCCCATTTTCCCCAGCATCCGCTACTCCCCTATATCACTAAATAAAATCACTCTTGAATGGTGTTCTAGAGTTTATCTTCAACTTCCCAATGATTTTCATCCTGCCAGAGCTAGTCACCAAATCTTACAGATAAAATAAAGATTCCCCTGAAATCGTTCTCAAATGCTTTACCTCTTCCCCATTCTAATTGCCACCATCCTATATAGCAATAGCCTCTAGATTGATTTCTCTTCCATCAACTTGCCCAATTCCAATCCATCTTTCTCTGCTTGAGTACCAAATGAGCTACCCTTCTATAATTCAGAGCTACTCATGTCATCCTCCAGCTTAAAAACGTCTATTGAAATAAGCAAATGAATAGTTATGTAATATTCTAATGCTATCCTTTTTTTTCAGTGTCACTGACTACTGGGATTCTTGGTATGGAAATAAGCAGAAAAGGTTCAGCCAAAATCCAATAAGTACTAGATCTCTCCACTGAAGAGGTGTAGAAGCAATGAACAATCTAGTAGCAATTAGTGCCCCTACTTCCCAGATTACGGTCTTGAAATACCATTTCCTATTGAAGAGAACCAAAACTTCTGAGAGAAATGGCTGATTGCAGATCTCAAGCAGATAACATACAAAATGAGCCCAGAACATCTTGTCATATCAGAAAGCAAAGAAGCCATCAAAGATTACCAAGGTCATGTCAAAGGCACTCAGGAGCCAACTTGTGGATGCCCAACAAGCCAAAGATGGGACAAGCCAAGCATTAATCAGGACAATAATTGTAGTGGGTTGAAACACATCAAATATGTTTAAAGCCATAAGTTCATAATAAAACCAGGAAAAATACAAATTAATTACCATTAGAAAATGCTAGTGAGCCAACTTGTTATTTTGAAAACTGGTGAATGAAGAGAAAGAATGAAGAAAAAGACAAGACTTATCCTGTCTTTCCTATACAAACTGTACCATTAAGTTTCCAAGTAGTAGATGAGGAAAAATTTGACTTGTATAAAGTTAGTAATGAAGGAATAGCAAATTATTATAGCATCATCTTATAATCCTTAATAAACTAATGGATAAAGGAGGCATTATGTGCCTCCTTATGGAAGAACACACCACCCACCATCCACAAAGTAGTCTTTCCTGCCCAAAATGAAACTGGGGGCTCAAGCCCCTAGATTCAAAATAGGAAACACAGAGAAAAGACAACATGTTACGTAATATCATGGGGATGCACTCGGTAAAATCCAAGGTATAGAAAACGCTACAAAACAACCAATTGTCTCCAACAAATAAATTACAAGAAAAAAAAGAGAGGGTTGAATAAAAAACCTACAGAGTAAGAGATTTAACAGAAATATCAATTAGTTTCAATGTGTGAACTATTATAAAGTATGACAGTTACGAAGCCATTGGAAGTTTAAATATCAAATGGATATTTAATGCTTTTTAATGAGATAATAGTAAAATATTTATGAAAATGATACAGTGGGGGGAGTGTTTCAAAATATGATGAGGGAGAGTACAGGTTATAAATAACATTGGCCATAAGTAGTAAGTGTTGAAGTTGGGTGACGGATACATGGAGGTTCATCAAACTGTCTACTTTTGTATATGTCTGGGCATATCCAAATAAAAAGTTAACACAGCAAACTTTGGTATTTCCCTACTGCCCACAATACGAAGTCCAGACTCTTTAGCGAGACATAGAAGGCCTTTCATAATCTAGACCCAATCTGCCCTTATAGCCTAGCCACATAGATGTTCATTGTTCCCTGAACAAGCCTTTATTCAAATTGTTTTCTCGTCTTATTATCTCCTGAATGAAATGCTTATCCTGTTTTAAGTTCTAGCTCAAATGTCACCTCAATGTGAAACATCACCTAATCCCTTATCTGATCATGATTCTCGCGTTGTCTTAATACTTTGTTCTTGCCAGCCATACAGCAATGACTTAGACCACTGTACTATCGTAAGTGGCTATAATAGAATGAGTTATTGTACTAAGTGTACAGATGTTGAGCATTTAAAGGGCAAGTCCGACTTTCTTTGTATTCTAGCACCAAGAACAATGTCTGGTACGTGGATACTGCGTAAACATTTAACTCAGACTTATATACTCAAAGTGGTTGTATATTGGCATATTCTCATACAAATATGCAACTTGGATGATTTACTTGGCAAACAAAACCTTTGTTTTTAGTCTTCAAGCCATTTAGACCAAAGACTCAAACAAATCTATTCTAGTGTATCATTTTTACCCCAAGTTCACTATCTCCTATCCTAATATCAAGATTAGTGCCATCAAAATACCTAACAAAATCAATACCTTTGCCATCCACATTTAGGTTCCAATGTCTTAACTGAAAAGCACAAAATTAGGATACATGATGTATGAAGGCCTATTTTGCTAAAATAAGCCGAGTGGTGACAGCTGAGGCTACAGAGTCGAGCAGACCTTGGTCTAAATCCTAACTCTAATTTACTAGGTGAATGGCCTTGGGGAAGTCATATAATTTTCTGGGTCTCAGTTTTCCCATCAGTAAATAGACTAATAATAATTACCTCATAGCCTTCTTAAGAAGCTCAAATGCAAGTAAAATACTTAACCTGACACTTAAAAGGGCTCAATAAATTTTAGATATTATTACTTGTAGAATGAGGAAAATAATACTTACTTAATACTGTTGATGGATTAATAATTTAGTGCATCCTACAATGTCTAGCCCATGATAAACACTGATGGCTAGTGTTATTTTTAAATTAGGCCCTTTGGCCAAGTATGGTGGCTCACGCCTGCAATACCAGCACTTTGGGAGGCCACGATAGGAGGACTGTTTGAGGCCAGGAGTTCAAGACCAGCCTGGGCAACATAGCAAGGCCTTGCCTCTGTTTTGTTTATTTTATTTTGAGACAGAGTTTCACTCTTGTCACCCAGGCTGGAATGCAATGGTGCGATCTCAGCTCACTGCAACCTCCGCCTCCTGGATTCAAACGATTCTCCTGCCTCAGCCTCCCAAGTAGCTGGGATTACAGGGACGCACCACCGCACCCCACACCTGGCTAATTTTTGTATTTTTAGTAGAGACGGGGTTTCACCATGTTGGCCAGGCTGGTCTTGAACTCCTGACCTCAGGTGATCCACCCATCTCAGCCTCCCAAAGTGCTAGGATTACAGGTGTGAGCCACCACACCCGTGTTTCTTTTTTTAAGGGCATAAAAAATAAAACAAAGTTAGGCCCTTTGAACAGTTAATCTCTCCTGTCCCCAGCCCCCAAATAAGTCCTGTGAACTGTAAGCTTTAAATACACAATTTCAAAGTTTTTTCTCAAGTTTATAATCATAAACGTTTATGGTTCTATGTAGTTGTAATTAGCGAGTAGGGTACACTATGTTTGTCACCTCTTTGGACCTTGGTTTCTTTGTCTGTGAAAAGAGGAATTAGACTACATCATCTATAAGGCCTCTCCTAACCTTAATTCTATCTCTAATCTCATCACCAACAGCATGACAGAAACATGAACCCCTTTGCTACAAACCAATCTGAAAGATTTCTTGAGTCAGGCCCATACCTGCTGTACCCGCCTAGCACAGTACCTTGCGCTCTTCAAATCTTCAATACATATTTGGTGAATTAAATATGTTGCTTCATAAATTAAACATACTATGAATTAATAATGTCAAAGCTTTCTGAATTCTTATAATACTTTCAGGACTCAAATAATTCATGAACTGAATTATCAAGCAAAGACCAAACTACTATAATCAAATTAAATTAAAGTATTATTCCAAATGGGGTTCTTAATTTAGAAGCACAGAATATCAAATCAAAAGTTCCTATGTGCCCTCTCCTGGCCAATTGCTGGAATAACACTCAATTAAAACAAAATGAAGCAACCTTAAAACAGAAAATACAGACAAATTCTAATTCTAATTATCAGTCCTCATCTGAGAGTGACCTAAGTATCTCTGGTCACTCACTCTTCCTTGAGACACTTTCTTTAATTGGGTTCCAGGACACTTGGGGTTTTCTTCTCCCCTCTCTGGCCACTCCCCCACAGTCTCCTTTGTTGTTTCCTTGTCTCCCTCCCTGGTCTGTAATATTGGCTGCCTTAGGCAGGAATCAATCCTCGGACTCTTTCTATCTACACTCACTCCCTTGGTGAAGTCAACCAGCTTTGCAGCTTTAAACATTATCCATGCATTGATGACTCCCAAATGTACATCCGTTCCCTGAACTCTATAAACTCATATACCCAATTGCCTACTCGTATCTCTACTTGGATGCTTACAACAGCTCAGATTTAACAAACCCAAAAGTGACCTACTAATATTCTCCCCAAACCTGCTCCTCTGGAAGTCTTCCTAGCTCAGTAAGTGGTTAACTCTACCCTTCCAGTTGCTCAGGTCATAAACTTTGGTGTCACCCTTCTTTCTCACACCTCCCATCCAATGCATCAACAAGATCTGTCAGGTGTGGTTAACATACTGCCAGAATCCAACCATTCACTTACCTTCACGGCCACCCTAATCCAAGCCACCATGATCTCATACCTGAAATAGCCAACGGTCTCTGCTTCCATCCTTGCTCCCCATCCCCACCCCAGTCTATTCTCAACACAGCAGCCAGAAAGAACCACTCATAAACATAAGTCAGATCATATAACTCCATGCTCAAAACCTTACAACAGTTTCCCATCTTGCTCAGAATAAAAGCCAAAGTATTTACAAAAAATAATAAGGCTCTATATGATTTATGACTGCCCCTTCCTCTCTGACCTCATCTCCTATCACTATCCCTCTCCTTTTTGTCATTGTTCCTGACACCAGATATGGTTCCTTGGAGCTGTTGCACTTACTATTCTATCTGCACAGAATGCTGTTTGTTCAGATGTTAGCACAGCATGCTTCCTCATTTCCTTCAAATCTTTACTCAAAGATTATCTTTTAGTGAGGCCTTCCCTATCTAAAACTACAAGTTCCTCTCTCAAACACACATACTTCTTATTCTCAATCTCTGCTTTATTTTCTCATAAGCAGATGTCACTATCTAATATACTCTATATTTTACTTATTTTGCTTATTTGCCCCCCTTACTATATTGTACACCCCACAATGGCAAGGGATTATTGTCTGTTCCTGTTCCCTGCAAAATCCTCAGTGCTAGAATAGTTCCCAGCTCAGAGCAGGCACTAAATACATATTTGTAGAATCAATGAAAGAATACAGAGACAGGTAAGGTAAGAGGACTGAGTGTAAATAACTATGCCAAAATTTTACACATGGTTGGAAACTGAGGAAAGCTTAAGAGGATATGCCCCCATCTAAAGGGTGGTACAGACAGGCTTGGTGGCTCACGTCTGTAATCCCAGAGACTCGGGAGCCTGAGGTGGGAAGATCACTTGAGCCCAAGAGTGCGAGACCAGCCTGTACAACATAGTGAGACTCTGTCTCCTAAAAAAAAATATTTTTTTGGCTGGGCGTGGTGGCTCATGCCTGTAATCCCAGCACTTTGGGAGGCCAAAGCGGGCGGATCGTTTGAGCCTAGGAGTTTGAGACCAGCTTGGCCAACATGGTGAAACCCCATCTCTACTAAAAATACAAAACTTAGCCAGGTATGGCGGCCTGCACCTGTAGTCCCAGAAAATATTTTGTTTAGATCCTCACTTTGACATTTAACTGTGTAACCTTCAGTAAGTCACAAAACTTCTCAAATGTATGCATCAGTAAAATAGGAGACTTGGAATTCAAAAACTGAAAACTGTCAGTCAGCTAACAAATATAGCCTACAGAGTAATCCCAGCACTTTGGGAGACTGAGGTGGGAGATTACTTAAGCCCAGGAGTTTCAGACCAGCCGGGCAATATAACAGGACTTTGTCTCTACTAAAACTCAAAAAAAAGTCAGGTGTAGTAGTGCACGCCTGTGATCCCAGCTGCTTGGGAGGCTGAGTTGGGAAGATGGCTTGAATCGAGGCTGCAGTGAGCTATGATCATGATACCGCACTCCAGCCTGGGTGACACAGCAAAACGCTGTCTTTAAAAAAAAAAAAATTTTAATATCTATATATATATGTGTGTGTATATACATGTATGTATGTGTATATATGTATATATATGTGTATATATGTATATATGTGCATATATGTGTGTATATATATATATATCCTGCAGAAATGTTTTATTTGGTCAGCAGCAGTTTTCTTAACCTAATTCAATGTTTTTAGATGAGGAATACACTCTACTGACCACCACAGGCCCTCCCACTCTCATTTTACATAGACAACTTCCCTTAGTTTATTTATTTCTAGTCTGGGGCCTATATGCAATTAAGTTTCCTGGCGGCTCATGCCTGTAATCCCTCCAGGCCAAGGCAGGAGGATCACTTGAGCCCAGGAGTTAGAGACCAGCCTGAGCAACACAGCAAGACCCTAAAAATTAGCCAGGTGTGATGGCATGCACCTGTAGTTCTAGCTACTTAGGAAGCTGAGGTGGGAGCCCGGGAGTTTGAGGCTGCAGTGAGCTATGATCACAGCACTGCACTTCAGCCTAGGCACAGAGCGAGACCGTGTCTCCAAAAAAAAAAGGAAAAAAAAGTTTCTCATCACTGAATCAGATTATATGCTAAAATTTTACATGGTTATCATGAACATTATTTATACCTTTCTACTTAGTTTTCTTATGGTCATTTTCCCCACTAGAAAATCCAAAATAAGGATTCACAAAATTATGTAATAACTTCAGAATTGCAAATAGCCTTAGAGATTATCTAGCAAAATCAAACACTCTTGTATCATGACATAGAGGAAAAGACTAAAGGCAAACTGCTTAAGTTTCTTGCTCAGAGCTTCTTAATACAAGTTGGTGCAAGACAATTCAAATCAACATCAAAATACTTGCCTGTGTAAGACCTTATGCTGGAGGTACAACAATAAATAAATGTCCCTACTTCTCCAAGATACACAAGCTAGTAAAGGGCACATACACATATACATGAAGTCATCATAGAAGGCACACATGCTAAAAGGAAGGAAAAACTAATTTCTTTCCGTTTTAGAGAAACCAGTGAAAACTTCCTGAAGGGAAAACATCTGAACAGAGGTTTGAATAATGGGTAGGACTGCTGTTATAGACAAGATGTGAGGGCATAGTAGGAAAAGCCAAGAAGCAAGTAAGTGCAAAGTATATTCAGAAAAAGTAAGTAAATCAGCATGGTTGGGGGAAGAGTGATAGAAGATTATCTAAGAAGAGTACAGACAAATCCTAAGAGCTACTACTTCCTATTTTCTTCTTTAGCCCACCTCTTTATCCCCCTCGGACCCAAAAACTTAGAAAAGGGTTAAATATAATTGGGAACTCAGTAATAATTTATAATAATAAAAACATTAATGGCAACTAGAATTCAGAGTGGGATTATCACATGCCATAAACATACTAAATACTTCATATGCATTATCTTGTTTGAATTTCCTTTTTAAAATCTACTAGAGCTACATAGATGGCATGTGCCTGTAATCCCAGTACTTCAGGAGGCTGAGGCAAGAGAATTGTTTCAGCCCTTAAGTTTGAGACCAGCATGGGCAACATAGCAACACTTCATCTAAAAAAATAAATAAATAAAAATTAAAAAATTTTTTAAATCCTAAGAGATAGGTACTAACATAACGCTCATATCATAAAAGTGATAACTGAAGCTTATTAAGAATAAGTAACTTTTCCAAGATCACAGTTAAAAAATGGATTCATATACAACTCATCTGTCTGCAAAGCCTATGAACTAAACCAAAATCAATGCTAACAAATGGACAGACCAGAAAATTTACAATCAGATTATCAATTTTCAAATACCGATTTTTTATTTTGGGGAGAAATACAGCGACTACTTACCCTAACCTTTAATGAATGCTTTTGTCCTAAGGCTACAGAATGCTCTGGTATAAAGCTTCAAAATTTCCTACAACTGAGTGGCCTTAGGCAAGTTATTTTACGTTTGGGGACTTCAATTTCCTTGTCTGAAAAACGGGTATAGCAGAACCTACTCGTAGAATGTTATGAGAGTGAGTTAAAGCATATAAACCGCTAAACACAATGTCAGGTACGACGTAAAGCAGAGTTGTCCACAACACGGTCCCTGCCCATGTAAGCAAGTAATCAGAGAGGTAACTTGAAAAGTTGGACGCTTCCATATGGAGATGGAATAGTCTAACCTTGTCCAGAAAGATCACAGTAGACGTTCGGAAATCGCATTTACAATCGCCCTTGGGTTATGGGTAATCCTGATCCCTGTACAGTTTATGCAATAAGGTGGAGAAAAAATAGAGTGACAAAGCAGAGACTCGGGCTGTCTCATTCGCCTCAGTAACCCCAGAGCCTAAAACACAGTTAGGCACGGAGGCGCTCAGTTACCAACTGGCAGAATACTAAAGATGCCTTGGGCCCTTCCGAAACTCCGAAGCGAGAGACTCACCCCAAGGCCAGCTTCCCCCGGCTCCTCAGGTTATGTATCCATAACGCACCTGCAACATCAACACAAGCCGTCAACTCAGATTCCATCTCGACTCCCTTCTGTCGCTTAACCACTAAGAAATCCTTACCCAACTGTCCCAGTACTGCCGCCGCCATCTTTCGCCCTCCCGCTACGGAAGCCGCCGAGTTCAAGCGCCTTCTGGACAGCACGCATGCGCAATACTCTGGATTTCCTGTGGGGCTCTCCCACAAGCAGTACTTACACCCCAGGTGCCGTCACGAAGATCGCAAGCACTGGGCCGGCGCTCGAGGTGTGGTCAGGCGAACCTGGCTTGGGAATGAATTAATTAATAAAGGCCGAAAGCACGTGGGCTTCCGAAAATTCACCTGGATTCAGAAAAACTAAAGTCCCAACTCACAAACTAGAAAGGAGTAGGGGAACAGAATCCGTGAACAAGCCACCTAATCCGGTGGTCCTCAGTTTTCTTATCAGAAATGACTAACCTTAGGGCACAAGCTTGTTGTAAAGATCAGTTGAAATAGTGTGAAAGCTATTTTATTTCATTTTATTGAAACAGGGTCTCTCTCTCGCTTAGGCTGGAGTGTGGTAGCAATGACCTAGTCTCACTGCAGCCTCGACCCCGGGCTCAAGCCACCCTCTTACCTCAGCCTCCCAAGTAGCTGTGACTACAGGCGCACATCACCACGCCCGGCTAATTTTTGTATTTTTTATAGATAAGGAGTTTCCCCAAATTGCCCAGGCTGATCTCGAATTCCTGGGCTCAAGCAATCTGCCCTCCTCGGCCTCCCAAAGTGCTAGGATTAGAGGTATGAGCCACGAAACCTAGCCTAAAATCTCTTTTAAAGAGCAAATAGTTCAAATATGATGTATGCTGTCCTAATCCCTACTAATCTGGTTGACCTTCAAGAATGAGTTTATATTCATCTGGCATTTACTGCCTTATGTCAGGCAGGTATTTCACTAAATCTCATTTATTCCTCACAGCAATCCAACAAGGCATGGATTATCATTTTCCTTCTTCAAATGAGGAAACATATTTAGGATATGTTAAAGTCTCTCAACTAACAACTGGCAAACCAGTGATCAATCTACGACTAGGTGCCTCCAAATTTGTGCCCCTAGACGCCTTCAAATATATGTATTTGACCCCTCTGTATTAGAATAACAGGTAGTTCAGATTGCGGTTTGCTACCTATGCAGGAATGTCAGATACCCAATGCAAACAAGCAACACACGAGTAGTGCAGAATCTGAGCATTTTAGCATTTTTGAGTTGAAAGGAAACTTTCTTCCACACCATTTACCACATACAGCTTCCTTCACACAGCTGGCCCTCAATCAAGCAAATCAAGAGTCACTCCATTTGCTTCTCCTTCATCTTTGAGTACCCAGAACCCAGAGCCAGAATTTCCACCCAGTTGCAGAAACTGTTCTTTCCCTTTTTAATTCCAGATTCGTACTTTCATATTTTTGTTTGTTTTGTTTTTTTGAGACAGGGTCTCACTCTATTGCCCAGGCTTGAGTGCAGTGGCTCGATCACAGCTCACACCAGCCTGTCTCCCGGACTCCATATTGTAATGCCCAACCTTGTTTTTACTAACCCTGTTTTTAGACTCTCCCTTTTTCCTCTGATCACCTAGCCTTGTTTCCACTTGAATTGACTCTTGCTTAGCTAAGAGAGCCAGACAGACTCCATCTTGGCTCTTTCACTGGCAGCCCCTTCCTCAAGAACTTAACTTGTGCAAGCTGACTCCCAGCACATCCAAGATGCAATTAACTGATAAGATACTGTGGCGAGCAATATCCGCAATTCCCAGGAATTCGTCTGATTGATAGCACCCAAAGCCCCCAGTCTATCACCTTGTAATAAATAGTCTTAAAGCCCCTGCACCTGGAACTGTTTACTTTCCTGTAACCATTTATCCTTTTAACTTTTTGCCTACTTTATTTCTGTAAAATTGTTTTAACTAGACTCCCCTCCCCTTTCTAAACCAAAGTATAAAAGAAAATCTAGCCTCTTCTTCCGGCTGAGAGAACTTTGAGCGTTAGCCATCTCTTGGCCACCGGCTAAACAAATGGACTCTTAATTCGTCTCAAAGTGTGGCGTTTTCTCTAACTCACTCAGGTACAACAATATTTTTGTTAAGTGGCCTCTTGTGCATATCTTTTTTTGTTTTGTTTTGTTTTTATTTGAGATGGAGTCTCGCAATGTCGCCCAGGCTGGAGTGCAGTGGCGCAATCTCTGCTCACTGCAACTTCCGCCTCCCAGGTTCAAGCGATTCTCCTGCCTCAGCCTCCCTAGTATTTGTTGTCTAGGGATTGTTGCATTTTACTTTTTTTTTTTTTTTGAGATGGAGTCTCGCTGTGTGGCCAGGCTAGAGTGCAGTGGCGTGATCTCCGCTCACAGCAACTTCCGCCTCCCGGGTTCAAGCGATTCTCCTGCCTCAGCCTCCCGAGCAGCTGGGATTACAGGCGCCTGCCACCACACCCGGCTTATTTTATTATTTTATTTTATTTTTGTTTTTTAATAGAGACGAGGTTTCACTATGCTGACCAGGCCGGTCTTTTAACTCCTGACCTCGTGATCCTCCCGCCTCGGCCTCCCAAAGTGCTGGGATTACAGGCGTGAGCCACCGCACCCGGCCTCTTGTGCATATCTTTAAAACACCTCCACAACTAGCAAAGTGCCCTGGCACATAGCGCTCAAAAAACGTTGGACGGGATAGTGGTTGAACAGCTCCAAATAATAAACTGGTAGCCTGGGGCGGTGGTTCCACTAGTCTAATCCTCTAATTTTGTGCCTTTCTGTGGGAAGTGAGAATGCTTAACCTCGGGGCTGTGCTCAGGCAGCACCTGACCCTAGCCAGGGTTGGGGCGGACCTCCTACCGCGGGCTAGGTACTGAGGGCCAGTGCAGCACGCGTGGTCCCGCCCTTCCCAGCCCGGCGGTAGCGGGAACGCAACGCGCGGTGCTGGCTGGGCCTCGACGCGCACCGTAGCGACTGCCCGAGAAGGCGGGGCTCGGAGTTCACCCCGCCCCGCTCCCTACCTAAGGCGTGAGGCTACGAGCGGTCGGCTGTGGCAGCTTCTCTTGTCTCTGACGGCTTGTAGTTATGGGGCAGGAGCCGCGGACGCTGCCGCCCTCCCCCAACTGGTACTGCGCCCGCTGCAGCGATGCCGTGCCCGGGGGCCTCTTTGGCTTCGCCGCGCGGACCTCCGTCTTCCTTGTCCGCGTGGGCCCGGGCGCAGGCGAGAGTCCAGGGACACCCCCGTTTCGAGGTAACTCACCACCCTTGGGCCCGAGACTTACTGCCCTTTGTACGCTCCCCAGGGGCGCCGAGTGGACGACTCCACCCCGTTTTCTACAGCTAGGGAAACTGAGGCCCAGGCTGGGAGGAGAGGCAGCCCACAGTCACTAAGCTGAGTTGCTTCTGGTCTCCTAATGAGCTACACCATGCTGTGGCCGAGCGGTCCCGCCTCCTGGAGCTTCCACGTGGGGCCGCTTGCTTACTGAAAAGTTAGCCTTGTATAGTCTCGGCCATTTATATGGCTCCCCTGCCCAGCCTGGTGCGCGCCAGCCCCCCGGGAGCCTTCCTGGGGTTGGGGGCTAACCACAGCTGCAGGCCCTAAGCAAGATCCTGCAACGTGTGGCATTCCTTACTGTAAGATGAATGGGTTGAACCAGATGCTTTCAGGCTCCAAACTAGGCTTTGATTGTGCCTTAGGATATGACATGCCAGGTGATTTATTCTGGCCACATCTAAATAAGAGTCACTTTCACATTATTTGAGCTGCTTTCCAGTCTGTGAACTAAGCAGAGCAAGGTATATCAACATTCATTTCACAGTTGAGAAGCTGAGGCTCAGAGACTTGTTCGAAGTCACGTGGCACAGCCAATATCAGCACTTGGGAATTCTGAGTGTAAGTCCGTCGGTGTTTCAGTTATACCATGGGTTAAGTAACTCCAAAGCATCTGCTCACTTGTCATCCAACAACAGTATGATTCTGCCAGGAACCTTGGATAGCACTTCGATTAACCTAGCGTCTGGTTTTGCTTAAAGTCATAGGAGAGTTGGTGGGACACACCGAAAGGGTCTCTGGCTTCACATTTTCTCATCACCCTGGTCAGTACAACCTCTGTGCCACCAGCTCCGACGATGGGACTGTGAAAATATGGGATGTAGAGACAAAAACAGTTGTGACAGAACATGCACTCCATCAGGTACCATGGCTTACTGGTTTCTCAAACCGTTTTTATCTATCTGTGCTGAGGGTTCTTCTGTTGCAAGCTAGTTTTGCTAGCTCATCTGTGCAAAGTAACTTGTAATTGTGTTCATTAATTAGATAAGAAACTATATTGTAAGATGTCTCAACTTTTTTTGAAAGGAGATATATACAAACCAGAGGTTGGCAAACTGCTCTGTGCCTGTTTTTGCAAATAGGTTTTATTAGAATACAACCACACTAATTCATTTAAGTATTGTCTATGACTGCTTTCATGCTACAAGAGTTGAGTAGTTGCAACAGGCATGGTATGGCCCACAAGGTCTAAAACAATTACCCTCTGGTTATTGATACAAATGGACTCCTGATATAGACTGTAAATGCGTGAATGAAACTCATTTCTAAGCTAGATAGTTACTTGATGTACCTGCCTTTTGAGAGAACAAAGGAAAAGACCTACTTAATAAGAACTTTGCATTAAGCTATTTAAAAAATTTTTAATGATTATTTGATCCCCAGTAGTCTAAATCTTCCCACCATTTTGTTAATATCGTGTTGCTATAGAAGTACTACTAATAAGTATTAATTACTTTTTTTTTTTTTTTTGAGACGGAGTCTGGCTCTGTCGCCCAGGCTGGAGTGCAATGGCGGGATCTTGGCTCACTGCAAGCTCCGCCTCCTGGGTTGACGCCATTCTCCTGCCTCAGCCTCTCGAGTAGCTGGAACTACAGGAGCCCACCACCACGCCCGGCTAATTTTTTTATGTTTTTAGCAGAGATGGGGTTTCACCATGTTAGCCAGGATGGTCTCGATCTCCTTACCTGGTGATCCACCCGCCTCGGCCTCCCAAAGTGCTGGGATTACAGGCGTGAGCCACCGCGCCCGGCCGTATTAATTACTTTTAATGTGTATATGTAGCATTATGCTGGTTTGTGATACAAGTTAAAAATTAAGTAGAACTTCAGCATTGACAATAACAAATTTTTGTTTTGTTTTAAAGCATACGATATCAACATTACATTGGTCTCCTCGAGTAAAGGACTTAATAGTATCTGGGGATGAAAAAGGAGTAGTTTTCTGTTACTGGTTTAACAGAAATGACAGCCAGCACCTCTTTATAGAACCCAGGACAATTTTCTGTCTTACTTGTTCACCTCATCATGAAGATTTAGTAGCCATTGGGTAAGTACTATGCCATCTGTATTGATGATTTTTGTTTGTTTATGATCGTGTTTTGCATTTTCTTTACCTTCTCTGTCCTTTTATTCCTCAAAGGAAACCATCTACAGATGTTAACCACTCCCCCTGAGCCCCTGGCATCATTTATTCCTCCAGGTCTTTACTGTCTCTGCCACTCCGTTTTTGTTTCCTTGGTTTCCATGGTACTGTACTTTCTTCGTTTTTCGGATCTAACTCCTCCAATCAACCTTTACGTGTAGGAAATGTCCTCTTTCACCTTTTTCGCTTTCTCTACTGCCCGTTGATACAACATGAACTCCCAGGTGTCAGATGACTTTGCTGGGTCTCTCTAGTTCTGAGCGCTCCCTTTAGATTGGGAAAGTGATGCGGCATTGGGATCTGTTTCCTTGTTGATCACCAAGGTTGTTTCACATGAGCTGCCTGAATATACATCCCCGTTTCTTTCACCATTTCATGTACTTCTCACTGAAAGATGTCTATTTTCTCTAATTTGAAGACTTAAGCAATTTCCCTAGAATGTTGAAGGAGAAATTCTGATTGGAGTGGATTTGAAAGACTGGGGGCTAAGGCAATAGAGATACACAAAGAGACAACAACTCTTTCACAAAGTTTGTTGTAAAAATGTGCATATACATGAAGCCAGAGGGGATAGATGGGGTCAAGGGAGTATTAAATGGAAAATACCAGGGACCTGTTTTTATGCTGATGAAAGTAAGGCTTGAAAAGAGGAAGAGCTTGTTGCAGGAGTAAACTATGATAAATGCAGGGGTATTGCTGAAAAGTCAAGAGGGGATTGGATTCAGATGACAAGAAGAAAGAACAGCTGGGAATATAGAAATAGGTGCAGGTAGATTTGTAGATGTGCTTGGAAGAAAAAGGTGTTCTATTCTGGTATTTCTGATTTTCTCATTGAGGCATAAGTCAGAGTGGTAGAGTCAAGTTCATCATGGGGTTGAAACTGGATATGCAAAGAAGGTATGAAAATGGTCAAAGAGAATAGGAAAACGAATGTACTAAGGAAAATTATAGGCCCAGTGTTCACTGTTGAGTGGCAAACAAAGAATCGTGGCCATAAATTTAAAGTAAACCCAAACTGTTTGAGAAAGGAGATGGTTGGATTCAGCCAGGTTTGGGGCTTTGTGGAGTAAGTACTCTTGAGGGAGAGGGAGAAGGAGACGGGGCGTACGGGTATTTTTAAAAGTTGATGATAAGGCTGGGCGCAGTGGCTCACACCTGTAATCCCAACACTTTGGGAGGCCGAGGCGGGTGGATCACCTGAGGTCAGGAGTTCAAGACCAGCCCGGCCAACATGGTGAAGCCCCATCTCTACTAAAAATAAAAAATCAGGCCAGGTGCAGTGGTGCACGCCTGTAATCCCAGCACTTTGAGAGGCCGAGGTGGGCAAATCACCTGTGGTTGGGAGTTCAAGACCAGCATGGAGAAACCCCGTCTCTATTAAAAACACAAAATTAGCCAGGCATGGTGGCGCATGCCTGTAATCCCAGCTACTAGGGAGGCTGAGGCAGGAGGATCACTTGAACCCAGGAGGTAGAGGTTGTGGTGAGCCAGGATTGAGCCATTGCACCCCAGCCTGGGCAACAAGAGCGAAACTCTGTCTCAAAAAAACAAACAAACAAAAATTAGCCAGACTTGGTGGCGCACACCTGTAAGCCCAGCTACTCAGGAGGGTGAGGCAGGAGAATCGCTTGAACCTGGGCAGTGGAGGTTGCAGTGAGATGAGATTGCACCACTGCACTCCAGCCTGAGCGACAGAGCAAGACTCTATCTCAAAAAAAAAAGTCAATGATAGTGATGGATCATGAAATCTGTGCTGCATTGGGTAGGGGGATGTATGGAAAGACAGGTGTGGGTGAGTGATAGTGAAAATGGAAGGGGACTGGATCGGCAGTCTCTTGAAGTGGGAGCAGTGTTGTAGTAGGGTTGATAGAGAGGATGAACAGAAAGGTGGTAGGCAGGAGTCAGGGGAGGATCTTCAGAATAGTATTATTCCCAGAAAGCTTGATTCAGATTTCTAAATAGCTTGATCTGTTGGTGATTAGGTTGCATAACTTGGCAGTTTTCAAAGTCCGGGTCTTCAAAGGTTGACATACTCTAGTGTTTCTTTTAAAAAAAAAAAATAAATAAAGCTGTGCTGGTGTTCTTCCCTGTCGAATGCTGTAATGTGTAGGAAGTGTGAATAGGTACAGCCACTTTGTATAATGCAGTTTTGTACTTTCTAATAAAAATGCATATATCTTAACATCCTGGCAGTTCCATTACTAGTCATCAAACCTGAAATTGTCTTAGATGTGTACATGAACATTAATAGCATTTTTTTGTTGTAAAAAAGTGGAAGCCCTTCAAAAGGAAAATGAATAAACTTTGAAATATTCACACAGTGCAGTACTAATACAATAGTGTAATGACTGGCCAGGAACTAGAGTTACGTGTATCAACATGGATGAATTACAAACAGAATGAGTGAAAAAAACAAGCTGCAGGAAAATAGATGATAGCATTTATGTGCAGTTTTAAAATATGCAAAATCTATATCTTATTTAGGAATATATACAAAGAAAGGCTAGGAATGATATAACACAATTCACAAATAGAGTTTGACCTCTGGGTAGAGGAAGAAAAGGAGAAGAGATCTGGCAAGGAGAGAGGTTTGATTGAAGTGGAATGTACAGAGGACTTCAGCTCTATTGGTAATTATTTTTCTTAGGCAGGGTAGTAGATTACTTTTTTTATGTATCTGAAGTCATTCATTTTTAAAAAGCTATTAGAATTTCTCAGTTTCTTTTGAATTCATAAAATGACAGCCTTGGAATATGCAGGTCTAGAGTGTAGAATTCTGCAACTTTTGTTAAGTTCACAGTTTAAAAAGTAGTATCACTTATAAAGAAAGAGATTATTTTCCAGTGCACTAGGACAAAATTATCTCTAGTTAGAAGAGTTGGCCGGGTGTGGTGGCTGATGCCTATAATCCCATCACTTTAGGAGGCCAACGCAGGTAGATTGCTTGAGCCCAGGAGTTTGAGACCAGCCATGAGCAACATGGTGAAACCTCATCTCTACAAAAAAATACAAAAATTAGCTGGGCATGGCATGTACCTTTAGTCCCAGCTACTCAGTCCCAGGCTGAGGTGGGAGGATTGCTTGAGCCTGGGAAGTCAAGGCTGCAGTAAGTGGTGATTGTGCCACTGCACTCCAGCCTGGGCAACAGAGAAGGAAAAAAGAAGAGTTGCTGCACCCTTGCAAAAACTATGAAAATTCCCTTAGAACAAAATCATGGTCCACTGTGAGTTTTGTACCAGGCAACATACATAGTATTACCTAGTGCCAAGAGTTTGATCATAGAGAGAAGGGTTTTAACAAAACCAGGAGGCATAAGGTGAGCACTTTAAAAAAAGGAAAAAGCAAAATTATTTTTTGTCCTCTTCCCTCCTCCGCCACCCCAAATGCACCTAACTTTAAGGAATGCGCCAATGGTAACTCCAAGCCAAAATGTTTACTAGAGACTCTGTTCTGTCTTCATTTTTTTAGTAATATTTCTAACTCTTGTTTTTTAGCTACAAGGATGGCATAGTGGTGATAATTGACATCAGTAAGAAAGGAGAAGTTATTCATAGGCTTCGAGGCCATGATGATGAAATCCACTCCATAGCCTGGTGTCCCCTGCCTGGTGAAGATTGTTTATCTATAAACCAAGAGGAAACTTCAGGTAGAGATGGTTTAAGGGAAAGTTAAGTCCACTTGAGACCTGAAGAACAGAACGGGTACAATTATATCATTTTTTATTTATTATTTATTTTTGGAGACGGAGTTTTGCTTTTGTTGCCTAGGCTGGAGCGTGATCTCGGCTCACCGCAACCTCCGCCTCCCGGGTTCAAGCGATTCTCCTGCCTCAGCCTCCCGAGTAGCCGGGATTACAGGCATGCGCCACCACGCCCAGCTAATTTTGTATTTTTAGTAGAGACAGGTTTCTCCATGTTGGTCAGGCTGGTCTTGAACTCCCGACCTCAGGTGATCCACCTGCCTCAGCCTCCCAAAATGCTGGGATTACAGGCGTGAGCCACTGCACCAGGCCGAATTATATCATTTTAATTATACCTAAAACTTCAAATTTTATAGTTCAGACCTATGAAAGAGATAGCTAAGTTTTGGAAACTCTTGCAAACTAATTTTTTTATATTAGTGCGTGTTTAATGTAAATTAAAAACAAAATTGCCACCTATCTCATAGAAGAAGCTGAAATTACCAACGGGAATGCTGTAGCACAAGCTCCAGTAACAAAAGGTTGCTACTTAGCCACTGGAAGCAAAGATCAAACCATTCGAATCTGGAGCTGTTCTAGAGGCCGAGGTAAGATTGATCTTTCTTTTGTGATGTAACCTATGTTGATCTGGTGGAAGTAGAGGGTTTTCTGTTCTTATTGTCCTGAGGGTGTGTCATCTATTTGAGAGCAGTTCTTCACTTTTTGGTCTAGAATTCTGCTTCCTCATTTGAGCCTGGCCTAGACTCTCTATTCTCTCAACATCTGGCCTTAGAGATTAGTATTTCCCATGCATTCCAGGAGAAGACAAGGATCTCTTGCTTTATAGAAGGGTCAGTGTTTGGCATGGAGAGCAGAATATTTGTAATAAAAACAGGAATATTAGAACATGATATGGCCTAAGCCAGGAGAATGGAAAATATCTTAAGAGTTAGAGCTTTTAATGCACAAATGCAGAATAAATTACATACACCCAGCATAGAATTATGTGTAAAAGCTCATTTTATCCAAATTATAGAGCCCCTCAATCATTTAGCTTTCCCAAATGTCTCTTTGAACAGAACTTTTATCTTTAAGTTTAAAAATTGAGAGAAACTCTAGGCATAATGAATATTTATAGTATATCATAGAATATAACCTTTATAGTAAAAATCTTGTTTTTCTCTTTCTAGCGGGCTTCTCTTCTTTCTTCATTTTATTTTATTTTTTTTGGCAGTTTTTTAAGCTGTGGTGGAAAATATAACATTTGCCATCTTTATCACTTTTAAGTGTACATTTAAGTGGTATGAAGTACACTCTAAAGTTGTGCAACTGTCACAGCCACCCATCTCCAGAATTCTACTCTCCATTTCCCCCTCCCCCAGGCCCTGGCAACCATCATTCTGCTTTCAGCTCTATGATTTTGACTACTCTGAGTATTTCCTTTGAGTGAAGTTATACATATGATATGTCTTTTTGTGATTGGCTTATTTCACTTAGCATATATCCCCGAGGTTCATTGATGTTGGTACCGTATGTCAGCATATCCTTCCTTTCTAAGGCTGAATAATATTCCATTGTGTGTATGTCCCACATTTTACTTACCCACTCATCCACTTGTTATAAATAAAATTTCGGTGTGGCAAAAGAAATAGCACTCAAATATAAAACTTTCTTTTTAATTCTCAGCAAGGCAATGTACTTCTATAGAAGGGTGCGCCCTTACAGATGGAGCAATGGTGAGCGCACACTTGGACAACGGAGGGGAGGGGTTCTTATCCCTGACGCATGTGGCCCCTGCTGCTGTGTCGTTCCCCTATCAGCTAGGGTTAGACCGCACAGGCTAAACTAATTCTGATTCGCTGATTTAAAGAGAGTGCCGGGGTAAGTGGTTTGATGGGAGAAAATGGTTATGGCAGGAAAAATGGTTATGGCAGAGCAGGAAATCAGAATGAGTCAGGGTGGAGCAGGTAATCGGAATGAGTCAGGATGGAGCAGGTAATCGAAAAAGGTTGCTTTTACGAGGAAGTTAAGTTTAAAAACAGAAGCCAAATAATTGAACATACTGACATATTGATTCTTTGAAGAGAAATTTAGAACTCATATCTCACACACTGATGGACATTTGGGTTGCTTCCATGTTTTACTATTCTAAATAATATGCTATGAGCATGGATGTACTTTCTACTTTATTTGAAACCATGATAGTTTTATCATATTTGCCCAAATGCATGTAAAGCAAGTAGCACAGCACTTGGAATGTCATCCAGGCTTCATCAGTGGTAGGTAACTAATAGTATAATTTGGGAAGACAGAACTTTTTTAAGGTTTACAGGCTACTTCTTGGCATACTGCAGCTAAAACTCCAAGTGGGAACATAAGGCTGAGGATCCCTCCAGGAGGGTAACCTCTAGACTTAGAGGTGTCTGGTAAAATGGCCTTCAATTGTGGTTGTGCAGCAGAATCAGCTGGAGAGTCTTTGGAAAAATGTAGGTTCTTGTACCCCACCTCAGATCTACTGAGTCCGAATCTCTAGGAGTTAGGCCCTGGCGTATGTATTTTTTAAAGTTCCACCTGTGGTTCCGATGCACAATACAGCTTAAAAAACGGTGATTAGAAGCATGTCGGGTGGAGGTACTCCCCACCCACAGCACGTTCACTGCCAAATTTTTCTTTGTTGGATTTCTTGCCGACTAGAAATAGTAATCCCAACCTCTGTCCTTTTCACTTTGGAGTTATGTCACTGCAATACTTTTGGGTACACAACTCAGCTGTGTTACTAGCTGGGTTCTCAGTTTTACTTGGGAACTCATTTTCCCAGACGAAAAAATACTCTTTTTCTTTTGAGGCAGAGTCTCTCTCTGTCGCCCAGGCTGGAGTGCAGTGGCACGATCTCAGCTCACTGCAAGCTCCACCTCCTGGGTTCATGCCATTCTCCTGCCTCAGCCTCCCGAGTAGCTGGGACTACAGGTGCCTGCCACCACGCCCGGCTAATTTTTTTGTATTTTTAGTAGAGACAGGGTTTCACCATGTTAGCCAGGATGGTCTCGATCTCCTGACCTCGTGATCCTCCCGCCTCGGCCTCTCAAAGTGCTGGGATTACAGGCATGAGCCACCGCGCCCGGCCAAAAAAAAAAAATACTCTTAATACGTTGAGGTTGTCAAGATAGCCTGTCGAAGCTTGTTTGACCTAAATGTAGCTAGACTAGTATTAACCAGTATTTATAGTGATTAAAATTATAACCATAATAATGGTTAAAATTGTAACCATTGGAAAATGAGATCTGAATTCTAAGTAGCCAAACTAACAAGCTTTTACAGCGCAGACTGTGTGTTATGAACCACCGGTGACTTCATGCATGTAGTTTCACTGTCTTGAGTGCCCACTGGCCTTCTTTTTAATCTGCAGGGGTGATGATTTTGAAATTGCCCTTTCTGAAGAGAAGAGGAGGGGGTATAGACCCAACTGTTAAAGAGCGCCTTTGGTTGACACTCCATTGGCCCAGCAATCAACCAACACAGCTGGTATCTAGCTGTTTTGGGTAAGTCTTTTTTGGTCATGCTTTCTCAGATATATTTTGTTTTTCTATTTGGCCTCAAGTCCTCCTAGGATGGAGAAAGTAATGGCCAAGGCTTGTATTATGATGGGCCATTTGAAATGGAAAAATTATGAGACTAATGCCTGTGCTATCTACTAACAGAGCTGTAAAAAGATCACATAAGTATAGTCCGGCAGTTAGGAATATGGACTCTGAAGTCAGAACTAAATTTCAGAATCACTTTGTCACTTACTGCCTTGTATTCCTGAGCAAGACCCTTTACTTTTCTGAGCTTCAGTCACTTCAAGTGTAGAAAGGGGAGATGGTTATAATATTTTCTCTTAGGTTGGATGGCTATGCCCATTCAGTAAACAAAGTTCATTGACTACCTACTTCTAGTGGCTGGAGATAAATCTGTTTAAAGGGTAGTCCAATATACTCACATGGTTCAAGAAGAACGAAAGTATATAATAAACTGTCTTTCTGTCTTCCCTAGCTACTTGGTTCCCCTTTCTGTGATTAAATTTTTTTTTTTTTTTGAAACAGGGTCTTGCTCTGTCACCCAGGCTGGAGTGCAGTGGTGCAAACACAGCTCACTGCAGCCTCAACCTCCTGGGCTCAAGCAATTCTCCCACCTCAGCCTCCCAAGTAACTGGGACCATAGATGTGCACCACCATGCCCAACTAATTTTTTTAATTGTTTGTAGGGACGGTCTCACTTTGTTGCCCAGGCTGGTCTTGAGATCGGGGCTTCAAGCAATCCTCCTGCCTTGGCCTCCTAGAATGCTGAGATTACAGATGTGAACTACTGCACCCAGCCTTCCCAGAGATATTTTGTGCATATTTTCAGCATATGCAATTTTTCTCTCCTTAAACGACAACAAATCATTTTGCAGCTATGAGCCCAGACTCTGTCTCAACAGTCACTTGTTTTCAGATCGTTTGTAAAAGAACTAATGCTTATGTTTTTCCTTCACAGAGGTGAACTGTTGCAATGGGATCTCACTCAATCTTGGAGACGGAAATACACCCTCTTCAGTGCCTCATCAGAAGGGCAAAATCATTCAAGAATTGTGTTTAATTTATGTCCTTTACAAACAGAGGATGACAAACAGCTATTACTTTCTACATCAATGGATAGAGATGTAAGAATGCTTATTTTCACTCAGCATTGTAGAGCAGCAGTTTACAACTTGGGTGGGATGAGAGGGCTTTTTCAAAGCACCTGTCAAGTCGTAATACTCCACCCCTGACTCCAATTTCAGAGTTACTGCTACAGATCAGCACTGAATATATCAATAGCTCACATGTAAGGAGAATGTGAAGACCCACCAAAATAGTTTTTTGTTAAAGCAGACATAATAAAGAAGGGTAGTTTTGCCCAGGGAAGGATGTATTAGGTCAAGCTTGTCCAACCCACAGCTCAGGATGGTTTTAAGTTCATCAGCTGTTGTTAGTGTTAGTGTTTTTTTTTTTTCTGAGACAGAGTCTTGCTCTGTCTCCCAGGCTGGAGTGCAGTGGTGTGATCTTGGCTCACTGCAAGCTCCACCTCCCCAGTTTTACGCCATTCTCCTGCCTCAGCCTCTCGAGTAGCTAGGACTACAGGCGTGTATCACCTACGCCCAGCTAATTTTTTGTGTGTGTTTTTAGTAGAGATGGAGTTTCACTGTGTTGGCCAGGATGGCCTCGATCTCCTGACCTCGTGATCTGCCTGCCTCAGCCTCCCAAAGTGCTGGGATTACAGGCGTGAGCCACGGCGCCTGGCCTAGTGTTAGTGTACTTTTTGTGTGGCCCAAGACAATTCTGCTTCCAGTGTGGCCCCAGAAAGCCAAAAGATTGGACACCCCTGTGTTAGGTCCTCATGCTATGGTTTATCCTGGTTTGTAGTGTATGTAGCAGAATAGAAATCTTTCAGAGAGAATTGACTTTATTTGAAAGCCTATTACCTTACTGTTTTGCAGTTAAGCTAGGCTTATTTGGTAGACTTCATTTTCTCCCAAGCCTGTCTCTTAAACAAGTGATGATTAAAAATTTACCACTCCTCCTTCCCTGGGTATGATAAGGTGTTTTGCCTTTTGAGAGAGCAGTTCTTTGATTTTTCCACTGTGCTGAGGCCATCTTCTTCCTTAGAGTTTGCCAAATGAGGGGGTTACCAGTGCTATAATAGGACAGAAAGACCACCGAACTTGGAGACAGGAGGCGTGGGTTCTGGTTTATTAATTGTGTAACCCTGAATTCACGTGACATCTTTGGGAATAAATATATTTTAAGATCCCTTTAAGCAACATAATTTATTACTATTTTTTTTTTCTTAGCAGTGCTTTCTTCAATTCCTGCTGGAAGACATGCATTATCCTTACCCAGTCTTTGAGCCTATCCCATTTGACATATCAGGTTTTTTTTCCTATTTCTCTGTTCTTTTTTATGTTTAGGCCCTTACCGTTAATCTTTGCAGGTAAAATGTTGGGACATAGCCACCTTGGAGTGCAGCTGGACCCTTCCTTCCCTTGGTGGGTTTGCATACAGCCTGGCTTTCTCTTCTGTGGACATAGGCTCTTTGGCCATAGGTGTTGGGGATGGCATGATCCGTGTATGGAATACACTCTCCATAAAGAACAACTATGATGTGAAAAATTTTTGGCAAGGCGTGAAGTCCAAGGTTACAGCGGTAAGGATTCTTTTTTTGAGCTTGTTTTGAACTTTTTTTTTTCCAAATAATTCTCTTTTATGCCTGTTCATTTAAATGCGCTCTGTTGAGAATCAAAAGTTTTAAAGTATTTTCAATGAAGTTTGAAACTAGGAAAGCAGAATGATCCTGTAACCAAACCCATTATCCTCCAGAGTTTAAATTTATTAAGGCTCTGTTCATCTCAGCATTTTTTCTAATAGTAAGAAGTTAGAAATAGCCTGACTGTATATTCATAGAAAATGCGTTAAGTTATAAGATAACCAAATGTTGGAATGGCATCAAATTATTGAAAATGATAATGTAGATTCCTTCTTCCTTGATGTGGAAAGGTATATAAATGATTTATGAAAAATGTCAATTATAAAACATGGAAAGCAGGTTATAAAACAGTATGTGTAATTTTTTTGGTTTTCTCTAAAATGATACCTTTCTTTTGGCTATTGAATCTAAAGGTAATAAATTTTTATGGTTTAAAAAGAAAATCAAACAACACAAAAATAGAGAAAGGAAACATTTTTTTCCTACCCTACCCTCCACTCCAGTCCCCCACTTGAATAATCCAGAGAACCACTGTGGACAGTTTATGATCTATCTTTTCAAATTTTGTAAACTATTTAATATTAATAGAACTGTATTTTCTAAATTCTTCCAGAATCTCTTATTCCGACTCGACAGTGTATAATGCATATCATTTACGTATTTGAACTCATTTGTTTTTTTCAATTGTGTATAAGTTTATTCACAAAAATATCTGGAAAGAGAGATACAACATCTGCAGTCGGTTTTTTGAATGAAAGATTACAGATGACATTGACTTTGTTTTTTTTGTTGTTTTGTTTTGTTTTGTTTTTTGAGACAGAGTCTCACTCTGTCGCCCAGGCTGGAGTGCAGTGGCACAATCTCGGCTCACTGCAAGCTCCGCCTCCCGGGTTCACGCCTTTCTCCTGCCTCAGCCTCCCGAGTAGCTGGGACTACAGGCGCCCGCCACCACGCCTGGCTAATTTTTTGTATTTTTAGTAGAGGCAGGGTTTCACTGTGTTAGCCAGGATGGTCTCGATCTCCTGACCTCGTGATCCGCCCGCCTCTGCCTCCCAAAGTGCTGGGATTACAGGCGTGAGCCACTGCGCCCGGCCGACTTTGTTTTTAATACCCTTTTTCTCCTTTAAATAATGAAGAAATCAGAGCAAGACAGTTTTCCCTTTGGATGCTTAAAGGGTAATGTAAGGATTCCTTTAACTATATGCCCCACTTCTTATATTCTCACTTGGAAACTCTTTTTTTTGTAGCTGTGCTGGCACCCAACCAAGGAAGGTTGCTTAGCTTTTGGAACTGATGATGGAAAAGTGGGATTGTATGACACCTACTCCAACAAGTAAGAAATGGGTGATTCTTCTTCCATTGTGGCCCGGGGAGCCAAAAGGTTGGCCACCCCTGCTCTAGAATAATCCCTCACTTTCCTTTTCATAACGTTGCCTTTTCAATTTGAAGACCACAAATCAGTTGTTTGGTAGACTCTTCCACATTTTGGACTTGTCAGTTATCTCCTTGTGGTAGCTTCTAACTCATTTCCCTGTTCCCTATGTTTCGTATGAACTAGAAGTTATGTCTAGAACTACATTCTCCACTACAGTAGTCATTAACCACAGGTGATTACTGATCACTTGAAAGGTGCCAAGTCCGAACTGAGATGTGCTGTAAGTGTAAAATACACACCAGAGTTCCGAGTCTTAATATTTAAAGAAAATTAAAAATCTCAATAATTATTTTATTTTGATTACATTTTAAATAATACTTTCAGTGGGCTGAGTTAAATAAAATACATTACTAAAATTTTACTTTTTTCTTTTGCTTTTTTAAAATATGGCTACTAGAAAACTTTAGGTTACATATACAGTTCATCTTTGTGGCTTACATTGTTTATTTTTGTACACCGCTGCTCTAGAGGCTTGATTAGAATCCAGACCTGTGTTGTTCAGTCTGGTAGCCACATGTGGCTATTTATACTTAAAGTAATTAAAATGAAATAGAAATTCAGTTCCTCAGTCACACTAGCCCTATTTTAAATGCACAAGAGGCATCCGTGACTAATGGCTACCTTATTGAACAACACTGTTCTAGACCAGGCGTTGGTGAACCATGGTCCATGAATTAAGAATGGTTTTGCTTTTTAAGTGGCTGGAGAAAAATCAAAAGAATGTTTTATGACATATGAAGATTAAATAAAATTCAGATTTCAGTGTCTGTAAGTGAAATTTTATTGGGACATGGCTGCACTCCTTTGTTTACATTCTGTCTGGCTGCTTTCATACTACCACAGCAGAGTGGAGTAGTTGTGGCAGGGACCACATGGCTCACAAAGCCTGAAATATTTACAGAAAAGGTTGGCCAGCCTCTGTCTTAGATCATTCATTTCTGAGTGAAAATCATTTATGATACTGCAGAGCTGTCCTTTTTTTTTTGGAGACAGAGTTTCGCTCTTCTTGCCCAGGCTGGAGTGCAGTGGTACGATCTCAGCTCACCAAAACCTTCGCCTTCTGGGTTCAAGCGATTCTCCTGCCTCAGCCTCCTGAGTAGCTGGGATTACAGGCATGTGCCACCACACCTGGCTAATTTTGTATCTTTAGTAGAGACAGACAGGGTTTCTCCGTGTTGGTCAGGCTGGTCTTGAACTCCTAACCTCAGGTGATCCACCCTCAGCCTCCCAAAGTGCTGGGATTACAGATGTTAGCTACCGTGCCCGGCCAGAGCTGTCCTTTGTATATGCAGTTCTTGAAGTATTCATGTAGAACCTACATGCAGTTGACTATTCTCCTTTTTTAACTCTCAAAAAAGAACACTATTTTAAGGCCTGGCACGGTGGCTCACGCCTGTAATCCCAACACTTTGGGAGGCTGAGGCGGGCGGATCCTGAGGTCAGGAGATTGAGACCATCCTGGCTAACACGGTGAAAGCCCGTCTCTACTAAAAATACAAAAAATTAGCTGGATGTGGTAGTGGGCGCCTGTATTCTCAGCTACTCGGGAGGCTGAGGTAGGAGAATTGCTTGAACCCAGGAGGCGGAGGTTGCGGTGAGCCGAGATCGTGCCACTGTGCTCCAGCCTGGGCAACAGAGCAAGACTCCATCTCAAAAAAAAAAAAAAAAACTGTTTTAAAGATTTATTTAAAGTACACTGTTTTTAATCAAATAAAACTTAAATAGTTCTATATCACCATGAAATTGCTAATTCTATTAAATTATTATATCCTGGTTATTATAAGCTGAATATTCAGACTAACAGTACAAAAGCCATGTAATAGCCAGAGAGTGGTGGGTATTGCCCTAGAGCTATTGTTAGGCATTTTGCCAGAACTGCTTATTCTATTTCTTTTAGATATAGGCTAAAGTAGGCCGGGCACAGTGGCTGCCAGCACTTTGGGAGGCCGACGCGGGCAGATCACGAGGTCAGGAGATCGAGACCATCCTGGCTAACACTGTGAAACCCCATCTCTACTAAAAGTACAAAAAATTAGCCGGGCTTGGTGGCAGGTGCCTGTAGTCCCAGCTACTCCAGAGGCTGAGGCAGGAGAATGGTGTGAACCCAGGAGGCGGAGCTTGCAGTGAGCGGAGATTGCACCACTGCACTCCAGCCTGGGTGACAGAGCGAGACTCCGTCTCTAAAACAGAAAAAAAGAAAATAAATAGGCTAAAGTATAAATTAGCCTGTTTATAAAATATAAATTTCTTTTAGAAATTTTGATTTATTCTCTAGATTGATCACTATAAATTTGTCAGATAAATGGAAGTAAGTCAGCTGCTAATTATTCATAGGCTCTGGAATTCTACAATCATACAAAGAATGTATGATAATTTATGGTAAAAGAAATAACAATGCTGCCTGGTTTTTTCTACAAAGTTAAGCATTCTTTACTGACACATCACATATCATTACCACAACAACCTTCAAAAATGCTCTTAGGAGTACGCCTTCTTTAAAAGACAATCACAAACTGAAAATCTCTCTACCCTGAAATCTTGTCTCAATTTAGGAAATGTGATGTTAATGGCACAGAGTAAGTCTAAAATGACTTCTCATCTTTTACATGACCGTAAAGTGAATACATTTGGGTGGTGATAATATATGTTCTGGCTAGATGGGTAAGAGTAACATTTTTTGGGGGGTAAAATATGTTTGGGACTTAATCGTTTTGGTAGTAAATGTCATTATTTGATATTTAAATATAATTTAAATGTAAATATTATATGATAATTAACTGCTTTACAGTCAACTATTTGGAGCAAGATATTGTTGAATTATTTTTCTCCAATTATTAGTAGTTATGTTTATAATGGGGACCTTTTAGAAAAAGATGGTCTGTTTTTCATTATGCCTTTTTGTTTAAATCTCCATTTGTTCTCTCTCCCTGCTCTTCTAAAGGCCTCCACAGATTTCTAGCACATATCATAAGAAGACTGTATATACTTTAGCCTGGGGGCCACCAGTACCCCCCATGTCACTTGGTAAGTATCTGAACAATTCCATAACAAATATGAGAGTATTCTTCCTTCAGTTTAATCCTAAAATATTAAAGATGGAAAGAGTCATAAATGGTCTAGTGCACTGACTGCTTATGTGGGCTACTTATGTCCCCAGGGGTTCATGAAGACAGTAGTGGCAGATGATAAATCACAGTTCCTGGGAGAAACCATTTACCCATAATAAGCTTCCCCAAACTCACTAAAGCATTGTTCTTCTATTTGATCTGAAATTTTTCATTGTATGTATAGTTATCATGCTGGGTCCTGATACCCAGTCTAATATTCTTCACTAAAACTTGCTGTCTCTTTTTAATTTTATCAGAATTAGAATGATACTTCAGTATATTAATGGAATAATATCTATTTTCACCCACAGGAAAAGCAAACTTAGAGTTTCTGAAATGATCTCTTGCCTTTGATTCAGCATTCTGCTCCTTTCCCTCTTCTAGCCCCTCAGCCTTGTCTTTCTTTTTCTTATTCCTAAAGTAATGAGTCTTTTCTATTAGCTTTTTACATAAGTGTATTCATCAAAAGTCTCTGATAAACTTTTCTTAACCATCTATGATGAAACATCTGTAAATTTCTATAGGAATTGCATTACATAGAGAGGATAAGTAGATTTATCAGAACTCAAGTAGCATTGGAATTTGTAGTTCATTTATGCAACAAATGTTTACTGGGTATTTGATTTGTGATCTACCAGTGGTAAAAGTAAAACTTGCTCTTATAGAAACCCACCAGAATTACTGTTTGCTTCTTAAAAATTAACAAGAAGATTGCTGTGATACTAAGGAAATCACTGCTTTGATGACATCTCTTTGTTATAAGACATAGAAAGTCCTACTGTGCTATGTAATTCCCAAAGAGTACTCATTTCTGGAAGAAAAAGCAAATTCTCAGAAGCTTTTGAGAACATATATGTTTGTTTTCTGATCCCAGCTTTTGGACCCCTATTATTATGAATACCAGAAGACTGTTTAAAGCAAATATGTTACATCACATAAATTAACCTAGAATTATAGTAGTATAGTTTTTTTACTTCTGCTCCCAACAACTGTGTTCAGGTGGAAAGAACAGTGATTTTATTCCAATGTATTAGAATGTTTCAAATATATAGTTCTTTTAAAACAACTATGTAGTATGGTATGGTCATACTATAGCAACAAATAGTTAAGCTGATGAAGTACAAAACTGATAAGTTTCTTTTCTTATTTCATACAGGAGGAGAAGGAGACAGACCTTCCCTTGCTTTATACAGCTGTGGAGGAGAAGGGATTGTCTTACAGCATAATCCCTGGAAGCTTAGTGGAGAAGCCTTTGACATCAACAAACTCATCAGGGACACCAATTCAATCAAAGTGAGTTCTTGTGGTCCTGAAGTATTTTCTTTTTACATCACAGATCCCTCTGTGTTTCCCATCTTGCAAAATAAATGCTGTTATTGGAGATTACCATCATCATACTAAGTCAGATTTCTTAAATGTTCTTATAAGGCTGTGCATGAATTTGTGAGTTATATATCTTAGGAGTCTTTATCCTCGAATAAAACAAAGAGGTACTTCTCAGACAGTGAGTATGAGGCAAAAAAATAAAAAAGCCAAAAAAGAACTACTGAAAAAAAGGTCTGTCTCAATTGCAACAATGATTTATTATAAACTTTCAGGTGTTATGTATAAAGCATCCTTTTCAGGCCAACCACTTTCACCAAAGTGATGCTGTGGTAAAAATAACAATAATATAGTATCCAAATGCAACTGCATGGTGTTTTACTCAAGACAAAATTGTCATTTTGTTTTTAATTTTCTAGTAAAATGATTCTAGATTTACACGAAGCTACAAAAATAATACACATAATTTGCTTATATCCTTTACCCAGATTCCCACATTTAATTACATTTGTGTTCTCATGCTATCAGTATGTGCCAGAACTGTCTTTTTAAAGTCATACCTTAAATGTTGAGATTTCCTTATTTCCTTACCCTTTTTTGTGTGTGTGACAGAGTCTCACTCTGTCACTCAGGCTGGAGTGCAGTGGCGTGATCTTGGCTTACTGCAACCTCCGGCCTCCTAGGTTCATGAGATTCTCCTGCCTCAGCCTCCCAAGTATCTGGGACTGCAGGCATGGGCCACCATGCCCAGCTAATTTTTGTATTTTTTAAGTAGAGATGGGGTTTCACCATGTTGGCCAGGCTGGTTTTGAACTTCTGAGCTCAAGTGATCCACCTGCTTTGGCCTCCTTACCCTTTCAAATGAGTATTTTTATTTATTTACTTATTTATTTTTTGAGACAGAGCCTTGTTCTGTCGCCCAGGCTGGAGTGCGGTGGTGCGATCTCAGCTCACTGCAGCCTCCACCTCCTGGAATCAAGTGATTCTCATGTCTCAGCCACCTGAGTAGCTGGGATTACAGGCACGTGCCAAGACTGGCTAATTTTTGTGTCTTTAGTAGAGACAGGGTTTCACCATGTTGGCCAGGCTGTGATCTCGGACTCCTGGCCTCAAGTGATCCACCCCACTTGGCCTCCCAAAGTACTGATTATAGGCATGAGCCACCATGCCCAGCCCAAATGAGCATTTTTATATTATTGCTCATTACTTTTATGGCTAGTATAAAAGTAACATTTAGTTATAAATTGGGTTATATTGTTGATTATATTCCCTCATTGTCTTTAATTTTATCTAAACATTAACATTCAGCAATGAATAAGAGACAAAATTCGTGTTCCTAAGTCTCTTCTAATTTATTGGCACTTGAATGTGTGGATCAGAGGTTCATGCTAGGAGTCTGAGCTGGATATAGAAATTTTGAATCCCTTCACAATAAAGATAGTTGAAGAAGCTGTGGACATGTATGAGGTGGGTTAAAGAGACAATTAACAAGAGAAGAGGGCCCAGGCAGCCTTGGGGAATACCAGCATATAGATATGGGAGGGAAATGATTCAGGGAAAGAAGCTTTGAAGGGATAGAAAACAAGGAGAGTGTATATAGTTTTCTTTAAGGCCTCATGGTCCCCACATTGTCCAAGCTGATGGGCACAGATCAGTTTAATTAAGTATATATTTCACAAGGTTAAGCACTGTAAACATTTAGTACTTATTGGCCTTGGGGGTTTTTTTGTTTTGTTTTTTTGGCCCAGTTAGGAAATGAGAATTAGAATGCATGTTCTTAGTAATCCTTTTACTAATTATGTAGATTATTTACAAGAATAGCTGTTGTATAATTAAAACGTTTTTAAACTCTAGGGATTTTTTTTTCTCATGCTGTCATTGCTGATTTGTGAGATATGTATATAGTCAAGATTGGTTTGTTTTGCTTTCTAGTACAAATTGCCTGTACACACAGAGATAAGTTGGAAAGCAGATGGCAAAATCATGGCTCTTGGCAATGAAGATGGGTATGTATTTGCTTCTTTAAGATAAAAAATTTGCAATCGCACATATATTTGATCACAAGCTGACTAATGCCATCTGTAATGTTAGCTGGGGCGGCCCAGTTGTATTTGGTATTTTGATTTATTCTTGATATCCTCCGCTGATCCAGTAGTGCCTTGTGTCTTTGAGAACTACAGAATTATTTAGATATTTTCAGCCCATTGAGAGTATTTGGCTACACTGTATTTTGGCTGTCTTGTCCCTCACAAAATGGTCACCTCCTATGTTGAACTGCATAAATCTCCATTTTTTTAAAGTAAGCCTAGTCAGAAATGCTTTTTAGGTCTGTATCCTGACCAGTGTTAATCATAGTAACACAGTCATAATTCAGCCATTGATCTGTTAATTATTTTAGCTTCTCCCTATCATCATTTGTCATTAATGCCTGATGAACACAATTTTATCAAGCATTGTTAGAATGCTAGGAGATTGTTACACTGAGGTAGTGTGGAAAGTTAAAATTTCTAAAAATTAATTTTTTTAAGAAAAGAATTGTTAGGATATTGCTAGAATTTTTAAAAGCTAAATATACTTTTTGGAGAATAACTTTTTATACTTGATTTTTTATGAGAGAATGACCTTTGCAGTGATAGAAAGGGTTATCCTTTTCCACCTCATCTTTCCTTGACTGACGGAATGAGGGAGCTACTATTTGCATTGTAACTTGTAATTTGATCATCCATCTTTCTTGTTTTGATGTGTTTCTTATTCCAGATCAATAGAAATATTTCAGATTCCCAACCTGAAACTGATCTGTACTATCCAACAGCATCACAAGCTTGTGAATACCATTAGCTGGCATCATGAGCATGGCAGCCAGCCAGAATTGAGCTATCTGATGGCCTCTGGCTCCAACAATGCAGTCATTTACGTGCACAACCTGAAGACTGTCATAGGTAACTTTGGTTTCTTTCATACTGGGGATGATATCGTTTGTTCAGCTACTTTCCATTCTAATCTTTGTTACTTTTTACTTTATTTTTGACATTATAATAAAATAAGTATTATTCTTACTACTTTTTCTGTTTCAAAAGTGATAGATTCATCTTATTTTAAAATTCTTTCAAACATGACAAAAATGGTAACAGAAAATGAAGTTGGCCAGGCACAGTTGCTCACACCTGTAATCCTGGCACTTTAGGAGGCCACAACGAGAAGATTATTTGTGGCCAGGATTTTGAGACCAGCCTGTTAAATAGTGAGGCTCCGTCTCTACAAAAAATTGAAAATAAAAAACAAATTTGCCGGGTTAGAGGTGCATGCCTTTAGTCCCAGCTACTTGGGAGGCTGAGCTGAGAGGATCATCTGATTCTAGGAGTTTGAGGCTGCAGTGAGCTATATTTGCACCACTGCACCCTAGCCTGGGTTACAGAGCACACCCTATCTCAAAAAAGAAAGAAAAAAAAATGAAGTTTTCCCCTAAAATTTCATCATTCAATAACCAGTGTTATTGGCTTGCTATATATTTTCTCTAGATTTTATAAAGTCATAGCCTACATATGTATACATGTTAGTATATATTAATAGGTTTGCACTTCTGTGTACTTGTGTGAAAGAATAATCTTCTGTTCCTAGCTAAAAATAAATTGCTATATATAATATATAGTGCTTGCAGTTTTTTTCTCTAAATTTACAATATTTATCATGGACATCTTTTTATGTCAGTACACAAGGATCTATCTTGCTGTTATTAACAAATATCTGTCAGCCAGGCGCAGTGGCTCATACCTGTAATCCTAGCACTTTGGGAGGCCATAGTGGAAGGATAGCTTGAGACCAGGAGTTTGAAACCAGCCTGGGCAATGTAGGGAGACCCCACCTATACAAAAAATAAAAATTAAAAAAAAAACAGTTACCTGTTCATTCCATTATATGGGCTTACCATAATGTATCCATTCCACAATTAAATGACATTCAAATTATTTATTTTTTTTTACAATTTAAGTAGTATTACAATAAACTGCCTTATACATAGATCTTCGTGAACATGAATGAATAATTTTTGTATAGAAAATTCTAGAAGTGGAATTGCTAGGTAAAAAGATGTAGTTTTTTATACTTACTGCTAAGCGGCTCTCCAAAAACATTATGCCATTTAATACTTCCGCCAGCAGTTTTTGAGTGTTACACACAAACAGAGGACACATACCTCATTCCCGTGTTTGATTGCATCTGATTCTCACAATCCTGTGAGGGTGATAGGTAACGTTATCCTCATTTTCCCAATGATTACACTGAGGCCCAGAAAGGTTAGCTAACTTATTCAAGCAAGTAGCATCGCTAATACATGATAGGGCCTAGATTCAACCTTAGAGTGTCTAATTGCAGTGTCTGTATGTGTTCTAGCAAGTACTATTCCATGCTTAATGAGTTAACTTTCATATGGGTATAATTTATTCCATAAGAAATCTTAAATTTCACTGAGGCCCCTTCGGCACCTGGAAAACCATAGTAGGTGGTCAGAAGAGCCAGTTTTAAATATGAGTGAAGTGGGATTACTTTTTTTCCTAATATGAAGAAATTATAATCTGACACTAAATTGTTTTCAGAGTGCTATAAAACATGTGCTCTCAGCCATAGTGAAAATAGTTACATTTTTCATTTCTCTAGAATTTACTTCAGTAGTTTTCTAAGAATCCTATGTGTAACAAGAAAAAATATTTTTGGTTCTAGTAGTGACTCCTGAGTTAAAAGCAATATGGAAAAAGTATTAAAATGTAGATGTGTTTTCCTAGTAATAAATAGTAGACAGTGTATAACTAATGAACATAAGTTAGAAAGCTGATTCTGGTCCTTATGATTATTATTGGGATTCTAAATTAATCATCCACTTTATATCATATCTACTAAATAATAGAGAAAGGAAGAAAACTGCCAGAATCCATTTTAATTTTTACCTTCTTATTTTGAAATATTTGAGACACAGAGGAAAGTTATAAGAATTGTACAAAGAAATCGCATATACTTTTTCCTATTAATAGATTCAACAATTTTTAATGTGTTGTCATATTGGCTTTATTCTGTGTGCGTGTATGTATGTAGTTTTTCCTACCAATTATCAGTTTGTTAGTTTAACTTAATATATAATAGTTTAATCTTTCCCTTAAAATATACACAACTATTATTTGTCAATTTAAACAAATAGTTTAGGCTACGTGTGGTGGCTCATGCCTATAATCCCAACACTTGAGGAGACCATGGCAGGAAGATCACTTGATTAGCTGGACATGATGGGTACCTATAGGCCCAGTTACTCACAGGCTGAGGTGGGAGGATCCCTTGAGCCCAGGAGTTGGAGGCTACAGTTAGCTATATGACTGTCACTGTACTCCACCCTTGGCCACAGGGTAAGACCTAGTCTCTTTAAAAAAAAAAAAAAAAAAAGTAAAATAGTGTAATCAGCCACCCATATTCTAGTTGTGTCAGTTGATCCAATGATGTTCTTAATAGTGATTTTTTTTTTCTCCAGTGCAGATTCCAATGCAGGATCACCTATTTGCATTTTGTTGTCATGTCTCTTTAGTCTCCTTTCATCTATAATAATTTCTCAGTCTTTTAAAAATTATTTATTTAGGCCGGGCGTGGTGGCTCACGCCTATAATCCCGGCACTTTGGGAGGCCAAGGTGGGCGGATCGCCTGAGGTCCGGAGTTCGAAACCAGCCTGGCCAACATGGTGAAACCCTGTCTCTACTAAAAATACAAAAATTAGCTGGGCTTGGTGGTGCATGCCTATAATCCCAGCTACTCAGGAGGCTGAGGCAGGAGAATGGTTTGAACCTGGGAGGCAGAGGTTGCATTGAGCCGAGATCGTGCCATTGCACTCCAGCCTGGGAGATGAGTGAAACTCCATCTCAAAAAAAAAAAAATTATGTGTGTATTTATTTATTTTTTAGAAACTGGGTCTCACTGTATTGTTCAGGGTGGAGTGTAGTGGTGCAGTTATAGCTCATGACAGTCTCCAATTCCTGGACTCAAGCCGTCCTCCCACCTCAGTCTCCTGAGTAGTTGGGACTACAGGCACATACCACCATGCCCAGCTAGGTTG
This sequence comes from Homo sapiens, assembly GCF_000001405.40. Classification (NCBI taxonomy): domain Eukaryota; kingdom Metazoa; phylum Chordata; class Mammalia; order Primates; family Hominidae; genus Homo; species Homo sapiens. Next base: position 154,913,847 of record NC_000005.10, on the reverse strand, counting down.
GTTTTTGTTTTTTGTGTTTTCCTTTTTTTTTGAGACAGGGTCTCACTCTGTCACCCAGGCTGTAGTACAGTGGCACGATCTCAGCTCACTACAACCTCTGCCTCCCAGGCTCAAGCAGTCCACCCATCTCAGCCTCCTATGTAGCTGGGACTATAGGTGTGCACCAACACACCCGGTTAATTTTTGTATTTTTTTTTTAGAGTCAGGGTTTCCACAGGCCGGTCTTGAACTCCTGAACTCAAGCAATTTGCCCACCTTGGCCTCCCAAAGTGCTGGGATTATAGGCGTGAGCCGACACGCCTGGCCAAGCCAGACTTTTTAAAATCTTATGTGACACTTTTGAGGAAGATAGGGCACTCGTTTTGTAGATGCTTTCTCATTTTGCATTTGTCTGGTATTTTCTCATGACTATATTCAAATTATACATTTTAGCTAGAATATCCTATAAGTTATAATGAGACCTAACACTTCTTGTGGTAATCTATATGCTAAGCACTGTGGATGTGTCCACACTCTTAATAACTAACAATGTTGCCTGCTAAAAATCACCTAGACTTGGGAGGCTGAGGCAGGAGAATCGCTTGAACCCAGGAGGCGGAGGTTGCAGTGAGCCGAGATTGCGCCATTGCATTGCGCCATTGCACTCCAGCCTGAGCAACAAGAGCGAAACTCCATCTCAAAAAAAAAATAACCTAGAAAGTGTATGGCAAAATCTTGATTCTTGTCATGTGAATGCCTTCCTGGATGTACTTTGTTTTGTTTTTTGTTATTAGTAGTAGCAGCAGTGATGTCTTTCCTTTGCCTTTTAGAGAGCAGCCCTGAGTCTCCAGTGACCATTACAGAGCCCTACCGGACCCTCTCAGGGCATACGGCCAAGATTACCAGTGTGGCGTGGAGCCCACATCATGATGGAAGGCTGGTATCTGCTTCCTATGATGGTACAGCCCAGGTACTATTGTGTCCTTGTCCCTGTGGGTCCTTCACTGTGTACTCTAACAAATTCTTTCTTCTTTTCCCCCAGTTGTGAACAGGTTCCCCCTCCCCCATTATCATCATCTACTGAAGGAGATTTTCTGGGCTCTAGGAGGCATTTTAGTTTCATTCCACATAGGGCCTAGGCTAAGACTGGGTTTTTTTTTTTGTTACTTAGATGAAGGGGAAAGTATTGATAGGAGCTAGCTAACTCTAACATTTTTACAGATTTCATTCTGACTCACTATCAGTATGGTGGACTAATATGATATGCAAAGTACTCTCTTCTGTTCAGACACTGAAATGTTGGCTAAAAATCACAAAACAATTTTTTAATAATAAATTGGTAAGTCAGAAATCTCCAAGTTCTAAATAAATAAAGATGAAATGCCAAGCCAGATCTATGAGGGAGGACTTGTGGATATCAGAACTAGAGCTGGGGACTTAACATCTGTGATGTATCTCGCTTAGTGTTGAGTTGTAATTGAGATGTCTGCACAAAGCTGGGAGCCGCAAAGGGCTGCCTTCTGTGAAACTGAGTTCAGAATAATTCAAGAAATAGAAAGGAAATTGGCCAATTACTCAAGGAGTTGGAGACAAAAGATTCACCTATGAGAAATTAGAAGTCTAATTTCTGTGCTAGATGTGGGCTATTTTCTTCGTGATACCAGAATCTCAAGCCCAAAAGTTAACATACAGTATTGGTTCGAGACAGTGAAATCCATGGGACACCAGTAGAAGCTCATTCAAAATCATCCCCGTAGAAATGTCTATGCATCTCCAAGCACAGAAGTCTCTCACAGGAAATAGCACTCTTCTGAAATTGAACTTCTAAGAGAAAACTCTAAATCACCTGAGGAAATAAGAGGCCGCAGATTGTTTTTGTTTTTTGTTTTTTGTTTTTAATTAGAAAACATACTGCCCAAACAATAGAATAACCAGAAAATGTCTTTTCGGCCATGTGCTTTTGGGTTTAGGTGTGGGATGCTCTCCGGGAAGAGCCCCTGTGCAATTTCCGAGGACATCGAGGTCGACTGCTTTGTGTGGCATGGTCTCCTTTGGATCCAGACTGCATCTATTCAGGGGCAGATGACTTTTGTGTGCACAAGTGGCTCACTTCCATGCAAGATCATTCCCGGCCTCCTCAAGGTCAGTCAGAACCTAGAGCTTATCTAATTCTTTTTCTCCCTTTCTTAATAATTGAGTTGATCAGGATTGAGCAAGGAAGACATTCGTGTAGGGCATTAGTGTCAGTAGGGCAGGGGTCTGAGCCTAAGCAAGAAAGCAGCCACAAGGGCTTGAGAACAACACCACCCACAATAGGAAAGAGCATACCTAGCACTCAGATCTTGGTTTCTTTTTTGAGACAGAGTCTCGCTCTGTTGCCCAGACTGGAATGTAGTGGCGTGATCTTGGCTCGCTGCAGCCTCCACCTCCTGGGTTAAAGCAATTCTCGCACCTTGACCTCCCTAGTAGCTGGGACTACAGGTGCGCACTACCATGCTGGCTAATTTTTTTGTGTTTTTAGTAGAGACGGGATCTAGCCATGTTGGCCAGGCTGGTCTCAAACTCCTGGCCTCAAGTGATCTGCCTATCAACCTCCCAAAGTGCTAGGATTACAGGCATGAGCCACCGTGCCCAGCCCAGATCTTGGTTTCTAAATGACATTCTCCACTAAAAATGTCCATGGCTTCTTGGAGAAATGGCTGGTTCCAGTCTGGGACAGGTAGAGAACAAACTGAACCTGGAACATTCTTATGCCAGAAAGGAAGGCAGTACTCAAAGAATTCAGGAGACATGTCAAAAGGACAAAAGAAACAGCTTGAAGAGGTTCCCACTGACCAAATCTGGGACAACTGTTAAACATAAGTAAGAGGAGGCCAGGTGCGATGGCTCACACCTGTAATCCCAGCACTTTGGGAGGCCGAGATGGGCGGATCACAAGGTCGGGAGATCCGAGACCATCCTGACTAACAGGTGAAACCCTGTCTCTACTAAAAATACAAAAAATTACCCGGGCGTGTTGGCGGGTGCCTGTAGTCCCAGCTACTCGGGAGGCTGAGGCAGGAGAATGGCGTGAAGCCAGGAGGCGGAGCTTGCAGTGAGCCGAGATTGCGCCACTGTACTCCAGCCTGGGTGACACAGCGAGACTCCGTCTCAAAACAAAAAAAAGAGAAAGTAAGAGGAAAATTCCATTCCTGGCTAAGAAAGATTAATTGGTATCAGACTTGCCATAAGCAACTAGAAAGCTAGACAAAATATATTAAGCAACTGCTGGGCACAGTGGCTCATGTCTGTATTCCCAGCACTTTGGGAAGCCAAGGCTAGAGGATCACTTGAGGCCAGGAGTTTGAGACCAGCCTGGCAACAGAGCGAGATCCCATTTCTACCAAGAACTGCAAAATAAAAGCAAATAGGAAAAATTGGCCAAGCATGCTGGCTCACTCCTATAATCCCAACACTTTGGGATGCCGAGGCAGGAGGATGGCTTGAGCCCAGGAGTTCAGGACTAACCTGGACAACATAGGGGGACACTGTCTCTGTGAAATAAGTTTTTTTTTTATTTTAAATGAAAGAATATATTAAACAACTAGAAATTTACACCCAAAGAAATGAAATGATGTGTCCACATAAAGACTTGTAAAAGAATGCTCATAGTAGCTTTATCTGTGATCACCAAAAACTGGTAACAATCCAAATGTCCATCATCAGATAAATGAATTAATTGTGGTATATCCTTACAGTAGGCTTCTATTCCACAATAAAAAGAAGGTAACAACTGATAAAGAACAAAATGGATGAATCTAGAAAAACATTATGCCAAGCAGAAGCAGCCAGGCACAAAAGACTACATACTGTCTAATTCTGTTTATGTGAAATTCTTTTTTTTTTTTCTTGAAACGGAGTCTTACTCTGTCACCCAGGCCAGAGTGCAGTGGTGCACTCTCGGCTCACTACAACCTCTGCCCCACAGGTTCAAACAATTCTCCTGCCTCAGCCTTTTGAGTAGCTGTGACTATAGGTGCGTGCCTCACACCCAGCTAATTGTTTGTGTTTTTAGTAGAGACAGGGATTCACCATGTTGGCTAGGCTGGTATTGAACTCTTGACCTCAGATGATCTGCCCGCCTCAGCCTCCCAAAGTGCTGGGATTATAGGCATGAGCCACTGCGCCCGGTGTATGTGAAATTCTTCAACAGGCAAAACTAAACCACAGTGAGAGCAAATTAGTGATTGCCTAGGGCTCAAGCAGGGGGTATATCTTACTACAAAGAGGCTTGGTGGAAATATTAGATTAGTACAAAAGTAATTGTGGTGGTGGTAGGTACTTTGTACCAAAGTATTTAAAAATTGGTGTATTTTATTATATTACCCCTCAGTAAAGATGATTTTAAAGTAAGCAAAGGATAAAAACCTTAAAATGTAAATATAGAAACCTTAAAAATGTAAATGTAACAGTAATGGAAGAATTCATGAGTCCAGACCGATATAATAAATAAATGGGGAGAAGCACAAGCTCTTCCTTGTGGTAGGATGCCAACTAGATGCCAAGCTCTTCCTTGTGGTAGAATGTAGAGTGAAATCCTGGAATTAGAAGTTCACCTTGTGGGCCAGGCACAGTAGCTCACGCCTGTAATCCCAGTACTTTGGGAGGCGAGCTGATCACTTGAGCCCAGGTGTTTGATACCAGCCTGGCCAACATGACAAAACCCCATCTCTACAAAAAAAAAAAAAAAAAAAAATACAAAAATTACCCAGGCATGGTGTCGCACACCTGTAGTCCCAGCTATTCAAGAGGCTGAGGCAGGAGGATTGCTTGAGCCTGGAAGGTCAAGTAAGGCTGCCGTGAACGGAGATTCTGCCACCGCACTCCAGCCCAGACAACAGAGCAAGAACCTGTCTCAAAAAAGAGAAAAAAAGAAAAAACAAACTCACCATTTGGCAGTCATCATAGTAACAATTTTTAATCAAGAAACATCAGTGAATACAAAAACTAGTAGATGCAAATACTTAGTAGTTAAACAGGGGAAATACCCTTTTAGGGAGTAACTTGCAAGACACACCCTTAATCAGGTGATCAAAGTAAACCAAATGGGACGAATAAAAATTAGCTGCTACCTCATAGATTGCCCTGCATGAACACAGCAGCACTAATGTGCATTCCAGCTAAAGATGCATACCCTAAATCTAGTCATGAAAAACATCTGGCAGACCTAAATTGAGGGAAATTGGACAAAATAACTGTCTTGTAATCTTCAGAAGTTTCAGATTATGAAAGTCAAAGGAAAACCATGCAACTAACTGTTCCAGGCTGAAGGGAACCAGAAAGGCATGGCAACCAAATGTACCATGTGATCCTGGATTGATTCCTTTTGCTATAAAAGACATCTGGGTAGGCCGGGCGTGGTGGCTCATGCCTGTAATCCCAGCACTTTGGGAGGCCGAGGCAGGCAGATCACCTGAGGTCAGGAGTTTGAGACCAGCCTGACCAACATGGTGAAACCCCGTCTCTACTGAAAATACAAAAATTAGCTGGGCGTGGTTGTGCGTGCCTGTAATCCCAGCTACTCAGGAGGCTGAAGCAGGAGAATCGCTTGAACCTGGGAGGCAGAAGTTGCGGTGAGCTGAGATCTCGCCATTGCACTCCCGCCGGGGCAAGAAGAGCGAAACCATCTCCAAAAAAAAAAAAAAAAAAAAAAAAAAGGACATCTGGGTAAAATTGGCAGAACTTAAATAGAGAGTATGGAGTAGGTGGCAGTAGTGAATCGTGTTAATTTCCTGATTTCCATGGTTGTACTATGGTGACGTCGGAGCATGTCCTGTTCATAAGACACACACTAAAATATTTGGGTGTTATTGGGCATCATGTTTATGATTTAATGAAATTTCAAAAGGGTTTGGTTAATATTGTGATAATATAATTCTAAAAGTTCATTGAGAAGAAAGGGAATGGGTAAAAATGCTATTAAAGAGGAATGAGATATTGGAGTTTACCACCTAGAGTGCTTTTAACCAAGAATGTATACTTTAGTCAGTCCTTTATTGTGATTCTTGTAGGCAAAAAAAGTATTGAATTGGAGAAAAAACGGCTCTCTCAACCTAAGGCAAAGCCCAAAAAGAAGAAAAAGCCCACCTTGAGAACTCCTGTAAAGCTGGAATCGATTGATGGAAATGAAGAAGAAAGCATGAAGGAGAACTCAGGACCTGTTGAGAATGGTGTGTCAGACCAAGAAGGGGAGGAGCAAGCACGGGAGCCGGAATTACCCTGTGGCCTTGCTCCAGCGGGTATGTGGCAGAATCCTGTGTATCACTAGGATTTCATGGTCGTGTCTGGGAAACTAAGCTAGGTCCTTACTCAGTTTGAAACTTCGCTGTTCCCATTTTTCCAACTCTTGGAAACAGCATTAGTTTTTTTTGTTAAGCTTTATTCAAGTCTCTAAAATAAACATCTTTGAAGTTTTAAAGGGGTTCTAGTGGATGTTTGTGGTGGAAATAGTAAAGTTCTACAGAGAAAACTTCTTATTCAACTTGGGCAAGGTAAAACCGTGGGACGAAGCGAAGCTGGGTCAGTTGTGTACATAGGAACTTACATGGGAAAAGTTTTAACAGTATGACATCAGTAGCCACATTTGGTGAAAGAAACTACTGTCCCTTACAAATGTCTGACCTAGAAGCTACCACCACTGTGGGAACTTGCAAGCTCTCACCCCCTTACGTGGAGTTTGTACGCGGCTTTCTGTCTTCTCACAGAAAAAAAATGTGTGAATGGTTATTAGGTTTTTCTAGTGAGTTAAGCTGTAGTGATGGCTCTCAGATGTCTCACAAAACAGTGTTCTATCACTAACAAAAAAACTGTTAGGTAAAAATTTTAGCACTCTTTTTATTTTGTACATTTACTCGGGACCTGTTGAGAATGGTTTGTCAGACCAAGTGATAAATATCTGGTCCCTGGTAAAATAAACGATTAAATAGCAAACAGTGTAAGTAGAAGCAGTAACTCATACTTAATTCTAAAACAGAATCCATTGATGTGACAGTATTGAAATGGCTAGAATATAGGATACAAGGCATTCCTGATGCTCTCCATCCCAAGGGATAGCTGTTAGACACATAGTTGGGGTAAATAAAGAGCAAAAAGCCTAATGGATTTATTATTTTGGCTCATCAGAATGCTTTTCTAGTCGGGTACAGAGACACATACCTCTAGTCCCAGATCCTCAGGAGGCTGAGGCAGGAGAACCGCTTGAGGCCAGCCTGGGCAACACAGCAAGACCCCCCATCTCTTTATTTTTCTTTTTTTTAAAAAGTCTTTCTTTCACAAAATGGCTATACAAAACATGGATCAACAAGTTGTTTTTAAAAAGTTCCTGTGCTCAGGATTGTGACACCATATTGCATACACCTAGTATTCTCTATTATTAAAGTTACTCCTGTTAGTGTAATTAAATATGCAATTAGTACTTTATGACCTAGAAATGTAAAAAGTGCTTTGTCACCTGAGCAAAGTATAGGAACTCCTTGGCTTATGGTATAAAGTTGTGGAGGGCTGGAAGCTTTTTCCTTAGTCAAAGTTCAAAGTAAGGCGGGCATGGTGGTTCATGCCTGTAATCCCAGCACTATGGGAGGCCAAGGAAAGAGACTTGCTTCAACCCAGGAGCTTGAGACTAGCCTAAGCAACATAGGGAACCCCCATCTTTGCAAAAAATATAAAAATTACCAAGATAATGGCTTGTGCCTATAGTCCTAGCCACTCTGGGAGGCTGAGGAGGGGAGGATCACCTGAGCCCAGGAGGTTAAGGCCTCAGTGACTGTGATTGCACCCACTGCACTCCAGCCTGGGCAACAGTTATATCTTATCTCTAACCAAAAGAAAAAAAAAAAAGTAAGCCAGGAGCGGTGGCTCACGCCTGTAATCCCAGCAGTTTGGGAGGCTGAGGCAGGTGGATCACCTGAGGTCAGGAGTTTGAGATCACCCTGGCCAACATGGCGAAACCCTGTCTCTACTAAAAATACAAAAATTAGCCAGGCATGGTGGCTTGTGCCAGCTACTGGCGAGGCTCAGGCAGGAGAATTGCTTGGACCTAGGAGGCAGAGGTTGCAGTAAGCCAAGATTGCGCCACTGAATTTCCAGCCTGGGCGACAGAGTGAGACTTCGTCTCAAAAAAAAAAAAAAAACCAAAGTAATAGACTTACAGATTCCTGAAAACAGCTAGTTTGGGAGGTGGGAAAGGGGAAACTACTCCTACTTCTTTTCCAGTGCATTTTATCTCAAAAGTTTTGGTAATAGATGAATTGATTATATTGCTAAGCTTGGAATGGCTCTTAATTTTTACAAAGAACTGAAATTCTGTATTATTGTTATCCTTAACTTTTTTTTTCCTTTTTCCCCCATGATGTAGTTTCTAGAGAACCAGTTATCTGCACTCCAGTTTCCTCAGGCTTTGAAAAGTCAAAAGTCACCATTAATAACAAAGTCATTTTACTGAAAAAGGAGCCACCAAAAGAGAAGCCAGGTTGGTATCTAGTAATTAAAATACAGTATTTTGTTAAAGCAGCCTAAAATATTACATATATTACACGCAACTGTCAAAAAACAGTGTGGTTTCTTGTTTGTTTTTATAGGTTCAAAATATTTGTAGGTTTTCTGATTATGGGTTTTTTGTTTGTTTTTTGTTTGTTTTGAGACAGATTTTCACTCCAGTCACCCAGGCTGGAGTGCAGTGGCACACTCTTGGCTCACTACAAACTCCACTTCCCGGGCTCAAGCGATCCTCCTGCCTCAGCCTCCCGAGTAGCTGGGATTACAGGCGCCCGCCACCATGCCCAGCTAACTTTTGTTATTTTTAGTAGAGACGGGGATTCACCATGTTGGCCAGGCTGGTCTCGAACTGCTGGCCTCCAGTGATCCGCCCGCCTCAGCCTCCCAAAGTGCTGGGATTACAGGCGTGAGCCATTGTGCCCAGACTTCCACTTCCATTTTGGGTCATGCTTTTGAATTTTTTTTAGCACTTGATGAAATGTTTTGCAGTTGTTGACACTACATCATAAATGTTAGCAAGAGCGTTTTTGTGTGTATTGTGAACAATGCCCCCAGCAAATTTATTTTGAAAGCCTCTTTATTAGGAGGAGGAGCTTTCTCTGCCTGTGGTGTCGTCCTGCCAGTAGGTTACATTCACACAATAGGCATTCCGTTTTATGTTTCTGATCAGTTCTCCTTCAGATAGTATGTACTTTATTAAATTTCAGAAACCTTAATCAAGAAGAGAAAAGCTCGTTCCTTGCTTCCCCTGAGTACAAGCCTGGACCACAGATCCAAAGAGGAGCTTCATCAGGACTGTTTGGTACTAGCAACTGCAAAGCACTCCAGAGGTACAAAAATGTACTTCCTTGGCCCATCCATAGTCTTCCGGGACTGGTATATAAGGGATGTTTACTTATTTATTAAATGAATGCCCAAAGAAATGTCTAAATTGTTTTCTGTATTTTTATGTTCTCCAGCTCTCCCTTCCCTCCACATCCCTATACCCCTACACCTTGCTGCCAAACTCCCCATTGTGACCCACCGTCAGCACTGCCATGGCTTTGAAATGTAGCGCTCTGCTTTTATTCTAAATCTAATTCCTCCCAGCCATCTGTGTGCCAGAATTGGTATGTTGGCCTAAGTATCTCAGCATGAATAAACTCCTTCAACTCTTTTCCCCATTGAACAGTATCCTATGGAGAAAAAAATCTTTTTTTCTTATTGGAAATATGCTCATAATATGGCATTTTTTTAGAAAAAAATTTGATGGAAGCTTTTGCTTTGTAAGTTTTGTTTTGAAGGGTTGTTTTATTTTTGTTTTTCAAAGTCTTCATTTAATGTCCACTATTTTGATATTTTAATAACTTTATTTTTTAAATTTGAAGTTTACATGTGGAAAAGGGATGCACATAATAAATAAAATTGATGCTTAAGGGGCTGAAGCAGAAGGATCACTTGAGCTCACTTTAAGGCCAGCCTGGGCAACATAGTGAGACCCTCTCTCTATTTAAAAAAAAAAATTTTTTTTTAATTTTTTTTTCAAAGTAAATCTTCCTCCCAGTCCTCTGTTTCTCCTCCCCAGGAATGGAGGACCATCCTCCCTCCCGGTTACTGTCTCCCACTACCCTAACAAGGGTAGTCACTATCCTGGGCTTCCATTTGTTTCTTTCTTTTGAATTTTTGAACTGTTTTGTCTGTATTGCATAATCAAACTATTATCAGTTTCTTGTGTCTTGATGGAGATGTTTTATGCTTTTATTATATACATAGCCTTTTTGGAGCTTTGTGATGACTTCCTATAACTTACATAGTTAACCTAGTTTCACATTATTTTCCTTACTGGAAAATTACTCAGTTGACTTTTTTTTTGAAGCAAAGGATGAATATTGAATCCCCTTGTGGTAAGTCCCAGTGAATATTAAGGACTTTCTTTTGCTTATTAATATTGTTTTGCTTGTTTTTTACTGCACTTAAATATGTTCTGATTTGGGGTTCACTTTTAACATTTTAAGTGTTTTTGTGTTTTGCTCCCTTTGTAACTGCAGGAGTCTCTGTTAGAGCTCTGATTCTCTCAGTGTCTGAAGTGGGTGTTCCAAACATATATTCGGAAGTTATTGGAGAGAAAACTGTAATCAATGTAATGACTTCATCTGATTTTTTTGCCTTTTTAAATTAACAGAGCTGAATGAAGATGTGTCTGCTGATGTTGAGGAAAGATTTCATCTGGGGCTTTTCACAGACAGGGCTACCCTGTATAGAATGATTGATATTGAAGGTGAGACAAATCCAGTCAACATAATCTCATCCATCTTTATACTTTCCCAACATTTTGTGTGCACCTCTTTGATGGCTGTCATCCTGTGATATTATAATGGTTAGTTTTACGTGTCAGCTAACTAGGTTTTGAGCTCCCTGATTTACATATTGATACAACCCTTGCATCATCATAGGATCCTAAACATACAGCATTCACTCTGAGTACATGTGAAGGTGTGGGAGTGTACAGTGACCAAGTGGGCTTCAGATCTTACTGTAATCACTCTGGTAGGTGACACCCATCAGAGAATGACTGCATATTTTAGGAGCTCACTTTCTCTTCTATCTTGCCTTTCTTTTCCTACAAGTCAGTAACAGATGTTTCTGAAACACCTTCCAAACATTATCTCTCTTTCAAACAGGAAAAGGTCACTTAGAAAATGGCCACCCTGAGTTATTTCACCAGCTTATGCTTTGGAAAGGAGATCTCAAAGGTGTTCTCCAGACTGCAGCAGAAAGAGGGGAGCTGACAGACAACCTTGTGGCTATGGCACCAGCAGGTATGGTTTTTGTTTGTTTGTTCTTTTCAACAAAAGCTCTATCATCTCTAGGATACGTCCACTAAAGATGGCTCTTAGCACAGTCTTAAGCTTGAAATCACTTACAAATAGATACAAAGCAATAGACAGCAATAGACAAACTAATAAATCCAACCCAACCCCTTTGAAAAAAAGCAGGTCACTGACACTTTAATTGGCAAAAGCATAATTGGTGAGAACTTCTTGAAGGACAATTTGGCCATGTCTAGTAAATTTTAAAAGATATAATGGCACAAGTCTGTAGTCCCCAGCTGCTCAGGAGGCTGAGGCAGGAGGATTGCTTAAGGCTAGGCGTTCAGACCTATAGCGCTCTGTTAATTGTGCCTGTGAATAGCCAGTGTATTCTAGTCTGGGCAACATCATGAGACCTTGTCTCTTTAAAAAAAAAAAAGGCTGGGTGTGGTGATTCCTGATTCATGCCTGTAATACCAGCATTTCGGGAGGCCGAGGTGGGCAGGTCACTTGATCCCAGGAGTTTGAGACCAGCCTAGGCAACATGGCAAAAGCCCATCTCTACAAAAAAATTAAAAAATTATCTGGGCATGGTGACATGTACCTGTAGTCCCCGCTACTCGGGAGGCTGTGGTGGGAGGATCACCTGAGCCCGGGGAGGTTAAGGCTGCAGTGAGCCATTATTGTGCTACTGCGCTCCAGCCTGAGCCACAGAGTGAGACCCTGTCTCAAAAAACAATAAAAGGAAAGGGAAAAAAAAAAAGCACGTAGTCATGTTACCTTTGGCTCATCAGTTATGATTATAGGAATTTAACTGTGCTCACACATTCCTTTCTGTATCTTTTCAACTTTGTACTGTTTTGTTTGTGTTACATAATCAAACAATTGATGCTTCAGAATGTGTAGATGAAGCAGATGATCCATAATGGCAGCTGAATTGGTATCTAAATGTTCTGCTGAATGCATTGACGAAAACAAGGCTTTTTCAACCCAAATGTACTGGGTATTGTTTTTACTTTTTCTTCAACTGTTTTTTTAACCACCATCTTTTATTTTTTCAGCTGGCTACCATGTGTGGCTATGGGCTGTGGAAGCTTTTGCCAAACAGCTGTGTTTTCAGGATCAGTATGTCAAGGCTGCTTCTCACCTACTTTCCATCCACAAAGTGTATGAAGCGGTGGAGCTGCTCAAGTCAAACCATTTTTACAGGTCTGTGTGGTCCTAGAGTTGGGATAATACTTGGACATAATGTGAAAATAACCTAAACTTCTCTATTGTTAAAGTAACATAAATAGAAGAAACAGTCCTCCTGCTTCAGCCCCCTGAGTAACTGGGACTACTCAGGAGGTGCATGCCACCACATCCAACTAATTTTTTAGTTTTTTGTAGAGACGGAGTCTTGCTGTGTTGTCCAAGCTGATTGCCAACTCCTGGGCTCAAGCGATCCTCGTGCCTCAGCCTCCCAAAGTGCTGGGATTACAGGCATGAGCCACCATGCTTGGCCAAGATTTTCTTTTTGTTCTACCCTGCTTTGGTTTTGTTATCTTCCTTTAGAGAGTGTTAAACTTTGTTTTGGTAAGTAGTAAAGTTGTGTATCAGCTTGATCTTTTCATGGCTTGTTTTTAAACTTCGTTAGGGCAAGTTTATCATATTCTAGAATTACCTCCTACATTTTGATATCTTTCTTGAATGCCTTATGCATTCAACAAATCAAAACTCAGATGTCTCCAAGTCCTGAGTAAGCTCTGGGAATTGTTCAGCTTACAGTTACCTAGTCATTCTTTGTTTAGACTTAAGGAGTTTCCTTTACATACGTGGCTTTTAATTTAGCCAAAGACTCAATGGGATCTCCAGGCAGAGTTGTGGATGTCTTTCTCTGGACAGCTTCCTCCTTCCTAGTATCCTGCCCCTCAGATTTCCATTGTTTCCTCTTCTCAACTCAGAGACTGCTGAGGTTTTGCTCAGGTTTTCCTTAGGAAAATGGCTTTGGGCAGAAAGCCAGTGCCAAGATAGGGCTCCCATCATTTGTTTCTGTTCTCTTAGGGCTGACCATCCTATGCTGCCTGTTACCTGGTATCTAAAAACAGTTGTTTCAGCCATTTTGTCCAGTTTTTTAGTTTTATGGCAGAAAGGTAAGTCTGGTCCCAGTTACTCCATCATGGCTGGAAGTAGAAGTCCCAAAATACTTTCAAAATATTGCTCTCTCTAGATCACTTTAATCTAATAAAACACTTTTTTCCCAGCTACAACTTTATGTTGGCTACAACTCAGCAGTTGTATGTCATTTGAAAAATATTTGTTTACTGAGTTGTTCAGATCTTCCAAATGTTAACATATCTTATTATAAAATACCCAAAAATACCACATTCCTTACTATCACCATCAGTCTCATCAGAAAATTCTAACTTATGGGAAACTCAGGCACACAAGTGGTAGGTACAAGTTTTCTAAAATTCTAATTTTTGCTAGAAAACTCGCATTTTATCATTAGTAACAAATACTGTTGGTTGTTTTTAATGAAGTGATAGGCCTACTTTGTTCATTTTTGAGAAAAACATCTGCCAAATACCCAACACTGAATAACTGTTATTTATGTTAGTCATTTTTTTTTTTTTTAGAAGAAAGAAGGTTCTATGAAAAAGCAGCCAGTTTAGCTTGTAATTTGTTCATACAGGTGTTACCTAGAGACAACCATTCTACTTTGGAATGCAGCAGAGAACACAAAATGTTCTTCCCATTTGTCACACAGAATATTAAAGTGTTTTGGACTTGACGGATTTAGTAAAATTTGTAATTTTTACTGCTTCATTAAGGGCATTCTTCCTTTTTTTCCACTGTAAGAGCCACCGCCTTCCTTCTTAGATGCCAGGTTTCCCAATCACTGCTTTGGCACAATCAGTGCAAATGTCAACACATTTTTTTTTTTTTAATAAAAAAGCACATAACTGACTCTTAGCATTGTTACGAAAATAGTTTTAACCTCATGAACCCTCTGAAAGGTTCTTGAGGACCCCCTAGGAATCCACAGACCACAATTTAAGAACTGCTGATCTAAGTGAAGAAACGAATGCAGCATATGTTTCTAATTTGTCTATATAATGCAAGTGCAGTTTTTAAAGGAAGTTGGAACAATAAGACAACACAAAAGGGACAGTTTGTCCTGTCTTACAGCCCCTCCTAGGACCATACACAGAGGAGCCTTTTCAGATTGGCTAAAGGGTCTGTTCTTGCCTTTAGGGAAGCTATTGCGATTGCCAAGGCCCGGCTGCGCCCGGAGGACCCAGTCCTGAAGGACTTGTACCTCAGCTGGGGAACCGTCCTAGAAAGAGATGGCCACTATGCTGTAGCTGCCAAATGGTAAGCCTGAGGAGTGGAGGGATGCTTCCAACATAGGAGAGCTTCTGCCAGGAAGGGGAGGACAAGAATACAAGTAATAAGTTTAGAGGTGGAGGTAAAGCAGCAAGGAATTATTTAAAAGATATGTATATTCAACTTAGTTTCATAAGACTCATCAGGAACTACTTCCTGATTTATTTATATAAATCACTATAACTATTCAAGAAAAACCTCAGCAGCAGATTAAGAAATTATGCATTTTTCTAATGGTCTCTTATAACATCAAATAAAGGAACCTCAACCCATGCTGGATTGAACCCAACAGAGGAGTCATTCCCTCTCATTTTCCTTATGTCCTTAACCTATATGATATTGTTTCTCATACACTCTGCTGAGTTGTGTTGGCCTCAGCCTTCACAGGAACAACCGGGGCAGTGACATACCTGGGACCACAGGAAGGCACATGCAGCAAAGTAGATAGAAAGAAATGATTCCATCCTCTAGGAATGGGAATAAAAATCTGTTTGTGACATTTTCTTCACATTTTTATTCATATTATAGCTATTTAGGGGCCACTTGTGCTTATGATGCAGCCAAAGTTTTGGCCAAAAAGGGGGATGCGGCATCACTTAGAACGGCTGCAGAGTTGGCTGCCATCGTAGGAGAGGATGAGTTGTCTGCTTCCCTGGCTCTCAGATGTGCCCAAGAGCTGCTTCTGGCCAACAACTGGGTGGGAGCCCAGGAAGCCCTGCAGCTGCATGAAAGTCTACAGGTCAGTCTGTTATTTCATCTCCTAGTATACAAGAGGGAAGTGTCCCAAATCCTTTTCTAGTCAAATCCAAGTTAATAACCCAGTTGCACAAGCTGTGCCAATTTGGCAGGCCCAGCAAGCCCTGGCCATGCTATCCCACTGAAGTACTATGACTTGTTAGTTGCCGTATTCAGAGTAAGAGATAATATGGTCATTCACAGTAATTCCCATTGCTTATCTGTTTGTACAAAACACCTGTGAGCCGGGCACAGTGGCTCATGCCTGTAATCCCAGCACTTTGGGAGGCCGAGGCAGGCAGATCACTTGAGGTCAGGAGTTTGAGACAAGCCTGGACAACATGGTGAAACCCCGTTTCAACTAAAAATACAAAAATTAGCCGAGCGTGGTGGCACGCTTCTGTAATCCTAGCTTACTTGGGAGGCTGAGGCAGGAGAATCACTTGAACCCGGAAGGCGGAGGTTGCAGCGAGCCAAGATCCAGCCTGGGCAACATAGTGGGACTCTGTCTCAAAAAAAAAAAAAAAAACACAAAAAAAAACACCTTAGTCAGCCCAGGCCTTGGGTTGGCAGTCTAGGGTTTCTTCATTGATGTTATCAGCACTGTCTTCCTTGAAGAGAGAATGGTTGGCCTCTAACAGAAATCATGGAACTCTACCTGTAAATGCCCCTCTTAACTGTAAGCTATGGAAAAAAAACTGGGCCAGATGCAGCAGATCGCTTGAGATTAGGAGTTCAAGACCAGCCTGGCCAACATGGCGAAATCTTGTCTCTACTAAAAATAAAAAAATTAGCCAGGCATGGTGGCACACATCTGTAATTTGGCTACTTGAGAGGCTAAGGCAGGAGAATTGCTTGAACCCAGGAGGCAGAGGTTGCAATGAACCAAGATTGTGTCACTGCACTGCAGCCTACGTGACAGAGTGAGACTCTTCAGAAAAAAAAGAGAAAAGTGTGGGAAAATGGAAATCTCTTTATTTCTTAAATTTTTTTGTTCCCATCTGATTAAAAATCAGTAACATACCACTGCCTTTTTGACACATCAAAACAGATTAAAGCATTGGCACACTTACCTAGTTTCTGAAACATGTAAACATTTGATTCACTTTAGATAACTTTGTGAGATACTAACAAGAGGTTTTTTAAGTTCTTCATTCTCTAACAGAGTACAGGGCCTACAGATGGTTTTTAGCTGAATATTTAGAGCCCAAGGAACGTGGTACATGGGGAGGTAGCTTTCTAGGAACAGCAGAATAAAAATGGAGGTGAAAATAGGACACCCTAAAAGATAATGCCACTGGGCATTATTTATAAAATGACCAAGTCTAGAAAGATTTTAATTTATCCACCATCAAAAAAAGTTTCCAGAATGACTGTTTAGCATTTTATTTTTCTCTTAAACAGCATCCTTAACAAAGCAAAAAAACCTAATAAGCATATGCTAAATATTCTGATAAGGGCTATTTTGGTTTTGTGCAACAGAGACTCTTGCAAGCTTAACTGAGAAGATATTGTTATAGGAGTACACAAGGAATCTCATGGCAACTAAAAATCTAGTGAAAGTAGATTTTCTAGGCCTTCTCTGTGCTTCTGTTTTCTTCTCTCCCAGCCAGCTTCCTCTATTAAACCTATTTGGACATGGCTCCTAATGCCTGTCCCAGCTCTTGGATCTGCAAAGCTTGTCTATTCCAGCACCTTTGGCCCATTATGCTTTTATTCCTGAGTCCAAAGTTTGGTCAGGGAGAAAGAACCTGATGAGCCCAGCCCTTCTTTTCCTCAAACTAGGCTACAAGGCTTAAGTGGCTGGTCTGTGTGTGGCTTAAATCATTGTGGGTAGTGCTACAGTTGGGATTCTGTGTTATAAAAATGGTTTCTTGAGCTCTAAGGATAGATTTCCCCCAAAAGGGACCTGGGAAGTGTCTGTCAGATCGCCCCTTTTGTCTCTTTTCATGCATGACTCATATGGGGCAGGTAGCTCACTAATGTGCTTTGGTTGCTGCAGATACAAAGGGAAATACTTTGAAGGACACGGGAGAGCTCTCGAGATCATCCAGTGCTTTCCCTGTATAACAGTTCCTCTTCCTTGTTGTCGTGTTCCAGGGTCAGAGATTGGTGTTTTGCCTTCTGGAGCTACTGTCCAGGCATCTGGAGGAAAAGCAGCTTTCAGAGGGCAAAAGCTCCTCCTCTTACCACACTTGGAACACGGGCACCGAAGGGCCTTTCGTGGAGAGGGTGACTGCAGTGTGGAAGAGCATCTTCAGCCTTGACACCCCTGAGCAGTATCAGGAAGCCTTTCAGAAGCTGCAGAACATCAAGTACCCATCTGCTACAAATAACACACCTGCCAAACAGGTAAGCCATCTGTACCAGCATTTGACATTAATCACTCAGTGGTAAGACTTCCTTAATCCATGTCTATTGTAACGGGGAAACAAGCAGAATACTGGACTGTGTTTCAGAAAAGGCTAAGGCATGGCCACGCCACCTGGAAAGATCCCTTTAGACTAATCAAAGCCCTTTAACTTTAAAGTTAGTATTAGATCAGTATTCCCTTTTTTGTTTTGTTTTTTTTAGTTGTTTGAAGCTGGAGTGCAGTGGCATGATCTTGGCTCACTGCAGCCGCCACCTCCCAGATTCAAGTGATTCTCCCGCCTCAGACTCCTAAGAGCTGTGATTACAGGCGTGCGCCACCACGCCCAGCCACTATTTCCTTTTCTAAAAAAGTAAAATAAAAAGTCTAGAAAATATAGAAAAGCAGAATAATGTAATAACCCATCAACCAGAATTAACAGATGTTCACATTTTGTCATTTTTACTTTGTAGGGTTTTCTGGTTTCATTTTGTATTTTGATTTGAGGACTTTATAAAATAAAAACAGTAGGGCAAAGTTGAAGTCCTTCTTGTTCCTTTCCTCAGCCCTTCACTCCTTCCCTAGCTCGCCACAGGCACCTCCTGTGTCAGTGCCACATGTATTGTTTTGCTGTTTGCTTATTTCAGAGGCCATTGTTTGTAAAATCTATCCATGTTGATAAAAAGAGATCAGTTGATTTATTTTAACTGCTATGTCTGCCTTGTGAATATACCTACTTCTTTTTTTTTTTTTTTTTCCTTTCTGGAGACTGGGTCTCACTGTTACCCAGGCTGGTCTCGAATTCCTCAAGTGATCCTCCCGCCTCAGCCTCCCAAAGTACTGGGATTACAGGCATGAGCCACTGTGCCTGGCGTAGTTCTTTCCCTCATTTCAAAATGAGGGAACATTATGATATTTATGAGGAACAAGGCTTCTCAAATGGTATATACTTTGAAAAACAATTGGACAGTTTCTTTTTTTCTTTTCTTTTTTCCTTTTCTTTTCTTTCTTTTTGAGGCGGAATTTCACTCTTGTTGCTCAGGCTGGAGTACAGTGGCATGATATCTGCTCACTGCAACCTCCGCCTCCCAGGTTCAAGCAATTCTCCTGCCTCAGCCTTCCAAGTAGCTGGGATTACAGGCATGTGCCACCACGCCCAGCTAATATTTTTACTTTTTTTTTTTTTTTAGATGGAGTCTCACTCTGTCACCCGGGCTGGAGTACAGTGGCATGATCTTGGCTCACTGCAATCTCCGCCTCCCAGGTTCAAGCAATTCTCTTGCCTCAGCCTCCCGGGTAGCTGGGATTACAGGCACCTGCCACCATGCCCGGCTAATTTTTTGTATTTTTAGTAGAGACAGGGGTTTCACCATGTTGGCCAGGCTGGTCTCGAACTCCTGACCTCGTGATTTGCCCACTTCGGCCTCCCAAAGTGCTGGGATTATAGGCATGAGCCACTGCAGCCAGCCTATTTTTCAGATTTTTAGTAGAGACAGGGTTTCACCATGTTGGCCAGGCTGGTCTTGAACTTCTGACCTCATGTGATCCACCTGCCTCGGCCTCCCAAAGTGCTGTGATTACAAGTGTGAGCCATCACGCCTGGCCAGGCAGTTTCTTATAAAGTTAAACATGCACATGCCCCATGTCTCAGCAGTTCTGCTACCTAGATATTCCACTAAAACAATGAAATCAGATGGCCACACAAAGACTTGTACACAAATGTTTACAGCAGCTTAGTGCACAGTAGCCAAAAACTAGAAACAACCCAAATGTCCATCAACTGATGAATGGATATGCAAACTGTGTTGTGTCTATGCAGTGAAATACTATACTGTTTAACAATAAAAAGGGCCAGTCTTGGTGGCTCACACCTGTAATCCCAGCACTTTGGGAGGCCAACGCGGGTGGATCGCTTGAGCTCAGGAGTTTGAGACCAGCCTGGGCAACATGGCAAAAACCTGTCTCTAGTAAAAATACAAAAATTAGCCGGGTGTGGTAGCACAAGCCTGTAATCCCAGGTACTAGGGTGGCTAAGGCAGGAGAATCATTCAAATCTGGGAGACGGAGGCTGCAGTGAGCCAAGATGGAACCACTGCACTACAGCCTGGGTAAGAGAATGAGACCCTGTCTCAAAAAAAGAAAGTAAAAAGGAACAAATTACTGCCACACAAATAATATCGGTGTTAGCCGCGCGTGGTGGCGGGCTCCTGTAGTCCCAGCCACTCTGGAGGCTGAGGCAAGAGAATGGTGTGAACCCAGGAGGCCAAGCTTACAGTGAGCCGAGATCGTGCCACTGCACTCCAGCCTGGGCGACAGAGCAAGACTCCATCTCAAAAAAACAAAGAAGAAGAAGAAGAATATCGGTGAATCTCAAAAGCTTTAAAGACACAAAAGACTATATACTCTGTGGTTCCATTTATATGAATTCTAGAAAAGAAAAAATTAAAGTGACAACCAGTTCAGTGGTTGCCAGTGGGGTGGGGCCAGGAGATCGCCTGCAGAGGAGCCGGAGGGCATATCTTCAGTTGATGAAAATGTTCTGTCTTGATTTTGCTGGTAGTGTTGTAACTATATATGTTTCTCAAACTACATACTTAAAATTGAGCACATTTTTCTTAGTTGTACTCCAAGCTTTGTTTTGTTTTGTTTTTGGTGGGTTTTGATTTTTTTTTTTTGAGACAGCGTCTCACTCTGTCACCCAGGCTCGGGTGTAGTGGCTTACTGCAACCTCCGCCTCTCGGGTTCAAGCAATTCTTCCGCCTCAGCCTCCCAAGTAGCTGGGATTACAGGCGTGCACCACCAAGCCCGGCTAATTTTTTTTTTTTTTTTTTTTTTTTTAGAGACGGGCTTTCACCTCGGGTGATCCGCCCGCCTCAGCCTCCCAAAGTGATGGGGTTATAGGTGTGAGCAACTGCACCCAGCCTTTATTTTGTTTTTAATTACAGCTTTTAGTTCCAGAAACTCACTTTTTGTTTTTGTTGTTTGTTTGTTTGTTTTGAGAGGGAGTCTCACTCTCATGCTCAGACTGGAGTGCAGTGGCGCAATCTCAGCTCACCACAACCTCCACCTTCCGGGTTCAAGCAATTCTTCTGTCTCAGCCTCCCGAGTAGCTGGGACTACAGGCACGCGCCATCATGCCTGGCTAATTTTTGTGTTTTTAGTAGAGGCGGGGTTTCACCATGTTGGCCAGGCTGGTCTTGAACTCCTGACCTTGTGATCTGCCCACCTTGGCCTCCCAAAGTGCTGGGATTACAGGCATGAGCCACCGCGCCTGGCCCACTTTTTGTTTTAATTAAATGCAAATGTAAAGGTGTTTTCTCAGTGTGAACAGACTTTAACACCGGGACGTGTGTGTGCTGCTGTGCAACTAGACATGAGAGTTTCCGATGTGGGAAGCAAAAATGGGTGGCGGAGACAAGAGGAACTTTCAAAGTGTGAATTGTGTGTACTTGTTTCCAAATGCGGTTCACAGGAACAGTTTGGTGGCATCCTCTGCGCCTACCGTGGGAGGATGTTTAACTCAGACTCTGGCTTCTCTCTCCAGCTCCTGCTTCACATTTGCCATGACTTGACCCTGGCAGTGCTGAGCCAACAGATGGCCTCCTGGGACGAGGCTGTGCAGGCGCTCCTTCGGGCGGTGGTCCGGAGCTATGACTCAGGGAGCTTCACCATCATGCAGGAAGTGTACTCAGCCTTTCTCCCTGACGGTAAGTGACTTCCTGCTGCCTGAGGCACACCCTTTAATGGACAACATCACCACCATTAGTGGTGTGGCACTGGGAGTACCTAGATTCTTAAAAGATGGAGATTGGCCAGCTGTGTCATTTTAGTAGAAAGTTTGGATTCTCTTACCGAAGCTTTTAAGAACAACTATACTGTTTCCTTTACCTGGCCCTACCCTCTTACAGCCTCCTGTCCACTTTCCACAAAGTTTAAGGGAGAGAGAAATAGGAATGTAGTTACATGTTAGTAAGAACAGAAAAGAACAGCAAAAAAGATAGACATTCCTTGGGCTGCATAGTCAGTCACTGAACTAAATCATTGTGATTTTTCAGAGAGACAGTGTGATCTGTTGTCGTGGCCCCAGAGCCTTCAGTAGTACAAATGGAATACTCTATCATGCTTTGAATGACTCCTAGGATGTAGTAATGAGAACACTGTCGCAAGCCAGGAAATGTTTAGCCTCCAGTTGGCTCTTGGTGGAAAGGCATGTGGCCCGGTGGATCACACTGTTGTCCTTTTTCCTGGGGTCTGCTTCTTGGTTGATAAGAAATAGAACATAAGGGCAGGAAGCCACATTTCTGGCAACTAGAGAAATGCATGACCCAGTATCTTTTTCCTCTTTTCCTAGGCTGTGACCACCTAAGAGACAAGTTGGGGGACCATCAATCCCCTGCCACACCAGCTTTCAAAAGTTTGGAGGCCTTTTTTCTTTATGGGCGTCTGTATGAATTCTGGTGGTCTCTCTCCAGACCTTGCCCAAATTCCAGTGTCTGGGTAAGGGCTGGTCACAGAACACTCTCTGTTGAGCCAAGCCAGCAGTTAGACACTGCCAGCACTGAAGAAACGGACCCTGAAACTTCTCAGCCAGAGCCAAACAGGCCTTCAGAACTAGACTTGAGACTCACAGAAGAAGGTGAGCGAATGCTGAGTACTTTTAAGGAGCTCTTTTCAGAAAAGCATGCCAGTCTCCAAAACTCACAGAGAACTGTTGCTGAAGTCCAAGAGACCTTGGCAGAAATGATCCGACAACACCAAAAGAGTCAACTCTGTAAATCCACAGCAAATGGTCCTGATAAGAATGAACCGGAAGTAGAAGCAGAGCAGCCCCTCTGCAGTTCTCAGAGCCAGTGGTAAGTACTGAGGCAAGTACAAGACGGAATGAAAAATGACCCTGCTGGCTAGGAACAGTGGTTCATGCCTATAATCCCAGCACTTTGGGAGGCTGAAGCAGGAGGATCACTTGGCCCAGGAGTTCACCACCAGCCCGGGCAAAAAAGCGAGACCCTGTCTCTACAAAAAAAAAAAAAAAAAAAAAGCCCGGGCACAGTGGATCACGCTTGTAATCCCAGCACTTTGGGAGGCCGAGGTGGGCAGATCACTTGAAGTAAGGAGTTTGAGACCAGCCTGGCCAACATGGTGAAACCCCGTCTCTACTAAAAATTAGCTGGGTATGGTGGCACATGCCTGTAATTCCAGCTACTTGGGGGGCTGAGGCCAGAGAATCGTTTGAACCTGGGCAGCAGAGGTTGCAGTGAGTCAAAATCGCACCAGTGCACTCCAGCCTGGGCAACAGAGGGAGACTTCATCTCAAAAAATACAAATAAAGTAACCAGGTGTGGTGGCATGTACCCTGTAGCTACTTAGGAGGCTGAGGCAGGAGGATCACTTGAGGCCAGGAGCTCAAGTTCAGCCTGGGCTACATATTGAGACCCTGTCTCTAGAAAAATTAATTTTTTTAAATTAGCCAGTAGTGGTGGCATGCACTTGTAGTCCCAGCTACTCAGGAGGCTGAGGTGGGAGGATCACTTAAGCCCAGGAGTTCGAGGCTGTAGTGAGATACGATCATGCCACTCATACCAGCCTGGTTGACAGACCCTGTCTCTACAAAAAAAAAAAAAAAAAATTAAATTTTAAGAAGCCAGGTGACAAAGGAATTTTATTTATAAAATGAGATAAAAGTAACCCAGGCAGGGGCATATGCTCTCAGGGCCTCCTGAGGGCTGTGTCATAGGCAAAAGTTTAAATTTTTAAAAAATATTAAAAATAAAAGGTAAAAGCTACCCAGGCATAACAAAAGATAATCCAATTCAAGGATGGGCAAAGGACTTGAATAGACATTTCTCTAAAAAGCCAGTAAGCACAGGAAATGATGCTCAACATCTCATCATTGGGGAAATGCAAATCAAAACTACAGTGAAGCAGCACTTCATAGCCATTAGGCTACTATCAGAGAAACAGAACAAGTGTTGAGGAGGATGCAGAGACATTGGAACCCTTGTGCCTATTGGTGGGAATGTAAAATGATGCAGCCACTGTGGAAAACAGTACAGCAGCACTTCCTCCAGAAATGTAAAATAGAATGACCATAGGATCCAGCACTTCCACATCTGGGTATACACCCAAAAGAATTGAAAGCAGGGTCTGAAATATGTGCACACCTGTGTTCATGGCAGCATTATTCATAATACCCAAAACACGGGAGCAACCTAAGTATCCACTGACAGATGAATGGATAAGCAAAATGTGCCATATCCATACAATGGAATGTCATTCAGCCTTACGAAGGGAGGACATCATGCTGAGTGAAATAAGCCAGTCACAAAAAGACATATACTATATGACTCCACTTATATGAACTACTCAAAATAGTTAAATTTATAGAGACAGAAAGTAGAATAATGTTGACAGGGGCTAAGGGAAGCAGAATGAGAAGTTAATGTTTAATGGGTATAAGATTTCAGTTTTACAAAATGACAAGAGTTTTTGGAAATGGGTGGTGGGGATGTTTTTCACCACATTATGAATTTATTTAAAATCACTGAACTATGTATTTTTAAATGGCTAAGATGGTAAGCTTTATGTTATATACATTTTACCACAGTAAAATAACAATGGGAGAAAAATGTTACCCAGGGCAAGACATACAATTTACACCTTTTATTTTTTTCACTAGTAAAGAAGAAAAAAATGAGCCACTTTCTCTGCCTGAGTTAACCAAAAGGCTTACCGAGGCAAATCAGAGAATGGCGAAATTTCCTGAGAGCATTAAGGTAAGAGTTAAAGCAGTTCATTTGGTAAAGCATCACTTTTTGTGTTATCACTTGACTATACCACATTCTTATAAAGGTCAGCTACCTCTCTGTTCAGTTTCTAAAATCTCTACCCATTCATATGTGCTTAAGAATTTAGAATCCAGGCTGGGCGTGGTGGCTCACGCCTGTAATCCCAGCGCTTTGGGAGGCTGAGGCTGGCGGATCATGAGGTCAGGAGATCAAGACCATCCTGGCTAACATGGTGAAACCCCGTCTCTACTAAAAATACAAAATATTAGCCGGGCGTGGGGGCAGGTGCCTGTAGTCCCAGTTACTCGGGAGGCTGAGGCAGGAGAATAGCATGGAGGCAGGAGAATGGCGTGAACTCAGGAGGCGGAGCTTGCAGTGAGCCAAGATCACGCCACTGCACTCCAGCCTGGGCAACAGAGCGAGACTCTGTCTCAAAAAAAAAACAAAACAAAAAAAAAGAATTTAGAATCCAATTACTTTGGTTAGCTAGAATGTTTTGTGAGACTAGAATTATCGATCACACAAGTAATTTTATACCTCAATCTTCAGAGAAACCAAATAGATTTAATAGGTAAGAAGTAAAATTTAAATTGGTGCCATGTATTAGATAGCTTACAGATGGACAGGTCTTTTTGGCTGTGGGCCCAAATATTAATAGAAGCACCATTTTTAAGGGTGGATTTGCATAGGGCTGTAGAAAGAGATTGTGCCATTGAGAAGGACATCGCAGTAGCCATCCTAGTTTTGAGTGTCATTTCTCCTTGGAGTAACTGTTGAAGAGAAAGACAGGACATTGCCTTAGGAGACAGCTGGCTCAGCTGTGTCCAAGAAGTGTCTATAGATGAACCTGAGTGACTGGTGCCTTCTGTGCAGGTGTTTGTGGCTCTTCTGCAAATGCTTCCTTATTCATCCTCATGTCATCGTCTTTCAGGCCTGGCCCTTCCCAGATGTGCTGGAGTGCTGCCTCGTCCTGCTTCTCATCAGGTCCCACTTTCCTGGCTGTCTGGCCCAGGAAATGCAGCAGCAGGCCCAAGAGCTCCTTCAGAAATACGGCAACACGAAAACTTACAGAAGACACTGCCAGACCTTCTGTATGTGAATTTTCACACACCTTGAAGAAACTGCCAAATTGAAAATGTTTGACATCTTTCACCTCTGCAGTTATGCCTCACCAGACATTCACTCTGGTCCCTAGATGTTTTTGCAGTAATCCAAAAGAATACAAACAAGGATTAAGTTTGAATCAACCCTGCCTACCCATAGACAACGGTGGATCTGACTTTAGACTCAATTGTGGTCTCCTACTGGAGGGAAGATCATGAAAAGCCCACAGTAGTTATTCAGAACTAACACCTGCAGAGTGTTGGTCATCTCTACAGCCTTAGGCAGGTTTCACCCAAAGAGGAGAAACTTCTGTCGTCACCCAAAGTGTTACATGCTTAAAACACAAGCTACCTTTGTAAATACTTCATCTGATCAGAAGTGTGTCATGCTTGTTTGAGATGGAGTTGCTGCATTTTAGGACTATTGATACCTTTTTTTAATTGTTTTTATAATATTTAATTTGAAAGAGGAGACCCTTCTCTCTCTACTCTTTCATAGACTGAAGTTTGAATATGAAATAGGCCTTAACCATCATGTTGACTCTCCTGTCAGAATTTTAGGTTGGAAATTTGGTTTTATTCTTTCATGTAATTGCTTATTTGAACAGATCACTTACTAAAGCTTTAGAAGAAGTGATTCAAATGTGTGTTTTCCCTTCAGTTTTATAACAAATGGATTGATGGCAGTCAAATAGCTCAGGAATAAATTACTGTTTCAATGGTTCTTAAACTTTCTTGGATCATAGGATCCTTTTGAGAATCAGATTAAAGCCAAAGATACTCTTTGGAGAAAAATGCATATTCCTAATTTTGCATAGATGACCTTTGGATTATTGGACTCTGACTATTGGGACCCTAAATACTATTTAATTATAAATCTTTTTTTTCTCCTCCTTGGTTATTTAAACAGTTGAACAGTGTCAGGAACAGATGTTTCTGTAATGTCACAGTTGCTAGCATGGGAAAATCAGAGTCTGGCATGGGTGTAGGAAGGAACACTCCTTTCAGATAATTGAACTGTTTTCTCTAGGATTCATTGTGAAGGCTTTTCTGCTCACGTTTGTAGTTTATTTTTCAATTAATTCCTAGGATTGGAGCTGTTGGGACAGTGAGAATGAAATTCATTTACAGGAAGTCCCAGGAAGGAGAAAGTTTGAGGCAGTTTTCAAAGACGTGTATGTGCCTAGCATTAGAGTTTAATAAACTCACAAAGGGAAATACTGTAGAATTTAGATCCTCACAGTTCTTCATACAGTGAAGTGAACTTTAGGAAGACGATGCTTTGTTACCAGGGATGGAGAATCTTTCTTGATTGCAAAGACATAAATAGGCATGGCTAGGTAGAAAACCTAGCCTAGTTGGTAGGACACCAGTTCTACCAACTGCTAAAATGAACTTTACTTACAGAGGTGGAAAAAATATATACTCCCTTCCACTTGAGTAAAGAGTGATATTGTTAAACTAGAATTCTAAATTCCTTTGTGATCTGTCAGAAGCATCACCTGTGGGTGGAGGAGTCCTGCACACTCCTCAGTTACTGCTTTGGTAAGAACAAGATTATCTATTTGAGTCCAGGCATGGTAGCTCATGCTTGTAATCCCAACACTTTGGGAAACCAAGGCAAGTGAATCACTTGAGGACAGGAGTTTGAGACCAGCTGGGCAGTATATATGGAGGCAGTATATATTTGAGACCAACATTTGGCAGTATATATGGAGGGGCTGAATTGCACTCAGTTGCCTGGTGCTATGGTGCACGCCTGTACTCTGGATACTGTGGAGGTTGAGGTGGGAGGATTGCTTGAGGCCAGGAGTTCAGGGCCAGCCTGTGCAACATAGCAAGCTCCCATCTCTATAAGTAATGAATAAACTTTTTAAAATGAATTATGGCCAGGCACAGTGGCTCACACCTGTAATCCTAGCACTTTGGGAGGCCAAGGCAGGCGGATCACCTGAGGTCAGGAGTTCGAAACCAGCCTGGCCAATATGGAGAAAACCCATCTCTACTAAAAATACAAAAATTAGCTGGGCATGGTGGCACATGTCTGTAATCCCAGTGTTGGAAATAAGAGCTCAGAGTCACAAAGAAAATGAGCACTCAAACAAAAGACTTCTCAGCAAGGCAAATTTACGTCCGCAGAAGGGTGCTGCTGCCTGCACCAGTCACAATCACAAGAGCACACTGAACAAAGGAGAGAAAGGTTTTTATCCCTAATGCAGCTTCTGTTTCTGTATCCTTTTCCCATTGGCTGGAGTCGGACCACACAATTTAAGCTAACCTGATTGGCTAAAACTTGAAATTTTTCCAAATAGGGTAGACAGGGAAGAAGGGGTAGGAGTGGTAAAACTTTTCCAAATAGGGTAAACTGAAACCTTTAAACACGTAACTTGTAAAGAAAGGTTGGGAGGGAGGGATTGTCCATTAAGGCATATTTGGGCATGTTTAGGCACAGCAAAGATGGAAAGTCTTGTTTAGAGAACAAGAATTTATCCTTTCTAGCAATGTGAAAGGACATTAGTTGCTAAAAGGAACAAGGAAGTTTGAAGAGGAACTGATGGTTTGGCAAATTTCCCCCTCTTGACTTGGTAGTTCTTCCTCGTCAAGTCTCCTTAACATATCTTGACTTTATTGTTCCTCTTAGTCACTCAGGAATAGGAGCTTATCTGAGTAGGGTGGGGGAGAAGCAAGAGGGGTTTTGGTGAGAGCTTTTTCTATGAGTCTTTGCACTAATCCATGAATACAGGGTATAATGCAGCAACCTACAAGAATAAGTACACCTATAACAATTGCAAGGGGGGTAAAGATTGAGGTTATGAGTCCCTTCCATTTGCCAAACCATTTTTCCATGAGATTAGAGAAGGGGTCATTTACTCCAGAATTTTTGGCCAATTCATTTGCTAGGGCTTTTGTAATTGTTCCATCCGGGGCTGTGTTGTTGGGGATAAAAGTACACCATTAGACTCCAATCATGATATGGACCCCACCCTTCTCAGCTAATACCATGTCCAGGGCTATTCAATTTCCCAGGCCATTAGGCTGGTAGGGCCTAATTGTTCAGCTATTCCTTTAATGGAATCCCTAGTATAATTAGCAAACCATTGTTGATTATAGTTAATGTAATTTATCCAGTCTACATTTTTGTTTGCAGTTACCCATGAGAGCAATATAGATTCAAATCCTGCAGGTATTTGATTTTGGGTTTTAAACTCATTTGGCACCCCTCATGGAACTCCAATGGCATCTATATAAATGTGAGGGTCAAAGGACATGTAAGGGGGACTTCTCTTAACAATTGTTCTTTTTGTTTGGTTGGTGAAATGCCAGGGTGAAAGGGATGGCCAATTGGATTAGAGTGCAAGTGTCCCTCCAGTTACTTGGCAGAGTACCCAATAGTGGCCCACCACAATACCACCATAAATCCAGATGCTCAGGGATGAACAAGGGCAGACTTATTGGTTAGCTCCTGAAAAGGCTTGGACTCACTACATCCCATTAGGCTTCCAAGGAATGCCAAATTTTCCCCCTGTCGTGAGACACGTAAAATTTACATTGTTAATCGGAGGCCCTCGGGCTGACCTACAGGGCCTTTAACTTCCAGAAATAGCAGCGAGAGTTTAGCATGCCTTATTCCCCCGGGCTGTGGGGTTTTGGAAGAGAGCTACCATACAGCTCAAGCCCTGTTGGTTGGAGGTCCATCCGAGTGGAAAGGGAACAATTTGGGTTTCTGGCTTACCTGTTGCACAAGGGTAACAATCGCTTTTATTTAGGGTGTGAATGGAATATTTAATCCATTCCAGCCAGGCATTAACATCTTGATATCTGGTTTCTATGGCTAAGGTTTGCTTTAGGTCCATGACTTCTACTATGGCTATTTTTTTATTATTAGGTAAGAAACGAAAAATGGTTTGATTTGGTGGGCGTGGGGGAGGTGAGTTGGTAGGAGACGGAGAAGGGTTAACAAAACTTTTTTTGTTTTTATTTTTGTTTTGTTGTTGTTTGTTTGAGGCAGAGTCTCTGTCGCCATGCTGGAGTGCAGTGGCACGATCTCAGCTCACTGTAACCTCCGCCTCCCAAGTTCAAGTGATTCTCCTGCCTCAGCCTACCGAGTAGCTGGGACTACAGGCATGTGCCACCATGCCCAGCTAATTTTTGTATTTTTAGTAGAGATGGGGTTTCACCACGGTGGCCAGGTTGGTCTCAATCTCTTGACCTTGTGATCCGCCTGCCTCGGCCTCCCAAAGTGCTGGGATTACAGGTGTGAGCCGCCACGCCCAGCCAATGAAAGATATTTTAGAGGAGCCTATGGGGTCTTTTCCAGTGACATCCATTCCTAGGCCATAAAGACAAGTGGGGTTAGGGTCAGTGGAGGTGGGGATAAGAATAGAGAGAAGTACTGGGTTGCACTGGTGGATTTGGCAATTTGAGGGGGTGATTCCTATGGTGAAGTGGAGGTAGGATTTTAGGGTGGTGCAGCCTTCTGAGGAGGTCCAGCCCTGATATTTGGTAGTCCAGATAACAGCTCCCCAACTATATCATAACCCCTGGAAGGCTCATGGTTGTTGATTGCAAAGGTTATAGGTGGTGCTGGGTTTGGAAGGGGTGGATGGGCAGAGCTTTTCTAGGAGGCTAGCTGTCTCTGACTTTGGAGATTCCCTCGGGGCATGGCAAGACAAGCATTGAAAGTAATGCTTTGGATTTGGGGTGAGCTTGACCTAGTTAAGTTAATAATAAGACGAGAGGCAGCTAAGGGAAAGAGAAGAGGAAAAAAAGACAGATTAGGCTTTTCTCTTTAATGTTACTCTGGTGAGAGTTGGCCCTGGGACGACGGTCCATGGCTTTGGAGAGGGCAGTGCCTTTCTGACTTGGGTATAATGGATCCACCCCTTTTCAGCAGTTCGGACTGCTCAGTTGTTAGGAGCACTAGGTAAGGTTCTTCTCAGGTGGGCTCAAGCTTTCCCTCTTTCCAGATTTTGACAAGGATGTGATCTCTGGGTTGATGTTGGTGGACTGGGAATTTGAGAGGTGGTGTTTGCGCTAGGAGGCCTTGAATCCTGAGGGAGGAAAGGGTGGAAGACAGACCAAATACATAGATTTTGAGAAACTGATTTTTCATTTCAAATGTAGAAAGGTCAGTAGTGGAATTTAGGTAAGGCAACCCATAGAGCATTTCATAAGGGGACAGGCCAAGGTCCTTTCAAGGGGCAGTCCGGATTTTGAGTAAGGCAATGGGAAGACATTTTGTTCATGGTAACCGAGTTTCCAGGATTAACTTGGTTAGGTGATTTTTTAAAGTTTGATTCATTCTTTCTGCTTTCCCTGATGAGGACAGATGCCAGAGAATATGATATTCCCATTTTATTTCTAATGCCTAGGTTAGTCCTTTAATGATGTATGCAGTGAAGTGGGTCCCATTGTCTGAATCAATGTTTTCTATTAGTCCAAACCTGGGTATGATGTGTTCTAACAGGGCTTTGACCACATTACTGGCTGTTGTGCTTGGGAAGGGGATGGCATCTACCCAGTGGGTGAGGTATTTTACTATTACTAGCAAATACTTGAGGTGGTCTATTGGGGGCATTTCAGTATAGTCAGCCTGGACACTTCAGAATGGCCTTGACCGTGGGTTCCTTCCTCCAGGAGGTTGCCTCTTTAGGGTTTGCTTATTAGTCTTTCTGCACGCTATGCAACCATCCACTGCTTGCTTAGTGAGGGTGTATATTCCTGTGTATTCATAGACTCTAAGGACTGCATCACACGTAGCTTGAGGACCCCAATGAGATCCTTGATGAAGTTGTGACAGTATTTCCCTCATAAGAGGCTTGGATAACATTTCTCTTCCATCTGGTAATACCCATTTTCCTTCTGAGTTTTCCTCAGCTCCTAATTTCTTTAGTTTTTCCTGGTCTGCGTGGGGGAAGATGGGAAGTGCAGTGGAAGGGGGAAGATGAGGGGTTAAATGAAAAATGGGTGTAGCTTGGGAAGAGGCAGCCTGTTTGGCTATTTGGTTGGCTAGATTATTTCTCCGACTTTCAAAGGAGAGGGTTTTTTTTGGTGTCCTGGGACATGAACAATAGCTATTTCCTCAGGAAGCTGGAGATTATCTAATACTTGTATTATTAACTCTTTGTGAACTAGGTTTTTTTTTTTTTTTTTTTTAGAGACGGAGTCTCACTCTGTTGCCCAGGCTGGAGTACAGTGGTGTGATCTCGGCTAACTGCAAGCTCCACCTCCCGGGTTCACGCCATTCTCCTGCCTCAGCCTCCCGAGTAGCTGGGACTACAGGCACCCGCCACCACGCCTGGCTAATTTTTGTATTTTTAGTGGAGACGGGGTTTCACCGTGTTAGCCAGGATGGTCTTGATCTCCTGACCTTGTGATCCATCTGCCTCGGCCTCCCAAAGTGCTGGGATTACAGGCACAAGCCACCACACCCGGCCTTATGGACTAGGTTTTGACCTTTACTGTTAGTAAGGCCTCATTCAGTCCAGATTTTTCCAAAGGTATATACTACTCCAAAGGCATATTTGGAGTCAGTATAAATTGTTCCCTCCCGATTTTGTAAAAATTTTAAGGCTTGATTTAGAGCAATTAGCTCGCACGTCTGTGCGGACCAGTCATTGAGTAATCTTCCTGATTCTATTTCTGTGAGGGTATCTCTGTCAACTACAGAGTATCTGTAATCCCTTTTTCCTTCTATTACCTGGGAGGAACCATCTACAAAAAGATGTTTCCCTGTTTGAAAAGGAGTTTCACATAAGTCTAGTCTTAACTTTGGTTTGGTAACTAATTAGGTCTAAATATTTATGCTCAGGTTCCATTGGTTGTGGGTTCCCTGTTACCTTTTGGTTTGGATTCCTGGTTAGAAAAGCAGCTGGATTTAGAGAATTGTCAGTGGTTAGTGTCAGGTCATCTCTCTCTAGCAGGATAGCTTCATATTTTAAAATTCTTGAGTCAGCGAGCCACCTTTCTGCCTTTTGGTTGAGGATAGTTCTGACTTCGTGAGGTGTGCTAACAATGAGTTTTCCCCCAGAGGTTAATTTTCTGCTTTCCTCCCTGAGCAAGGCTGTTGCTGCCAGTGGCCCCCATGCTCTTGGGTGAGTACCCCTAAAGCCACTCCTTTGCTTAATACTGACAAAAAGATGGAATGGCTGTTCTAGGGAGGGTAAAGCTAGAACAGGGTCAGTCACTAGTAAATGTTTTAACTTTTCTACTTGTTTGATTTCTGCTAGAGTTCAGAGAAGGGGGTCTGGCTCTTCTTGGGTGAGTCTTTCATACAAAGGTTTTGTTTCTAAGGCATAAGAGTCAATTCATTGGCAACAGTATCCAACCAATCTCAAAAATTTTCTGAGCTCTTGTTTTGTTTCTGACACAGGTAGGGATATGATACCTTCAATCCATTCAAAGCCAATTCTCTGCCTTTTGCTTTTGCCTTTCCTCATCCCTCCGTACATATACATTTTCATTCTCTTTAAAAGCTCTTCTATGGGATGGTCTTTCCAATTTTCTATCTTTCGTAATTTCTTTGTAATATCTGGTGACAAAACGGAGCTCTAACATTCCTCATCCAAGGGGGTTTTCTAATTCTAGGCCAGCATATTTCCTCCTTTGCTCTTTAAGCCTCTCTAAGAATTCCGTAGGTCCTTTATCCTTTCCCTGTTGTATATTAAAAGCTTTGGTATATTTTGAGTTCGAGGAACTGATTCCCGAATCCCTTTAATTATCCTATCTCTAAGATCTCTCATATTCCCTCAATGGGCTACATTGTTATCTCATTGAGGATCTTGGGCTGGGAACTTTTGTTTAGCTGCAAGGACGTTATGACTGAGGGGGTGTTCACGTTCCCAAACCGTCATAGTGCAGATCATGCTTCTTTCCTCTCCCGAAAAGAGGATGCCTAGGATGGACATTAACTCAGTCCAAGTATACAACTGGGGTCCTAGAAATTGATCAATTTGATCTGCTACTCCATAGGGATTGTCTAAGAGTGGTTTGAGCCCTTTTTAGGCTTCGGACTTCTGAACTGGTTAACAGGGCGTTCACAAAACAAATGCCCCCTCCTCCTAGAAGCACTTCCCTTAAGGGAAAGATCGTTGGAGCAGATTCTCGAGGTAGTGGGGAAAGGAAAGTTTTGGATATCTTTTTTACACTGTTCTATCTCACGTTGAAGTCTTCCTGGGGAAGGGCATTCAGGCTAGGGAGACCCCAAGTCAGGATTATAAGGGGAAGAAACAAAGTGAGCTGGGGAAGGGTCTGGGGCAGTTGCAGCTACTGGAGGGGGAGGGAAGTTAGTGGTGTTTGGTGGGGGAAGGTGGTCTAAGGGGTCCCACGTGTTGGTTGACTTTTTGGGATGAGGGATATTAATTTCTTGAGAAGAAGTAGCTTCTGGCTTGTCCCCCGTATCCTTTAGGGAACAGAGGACAGGCCCCCACCACCAACACAGGGCATAGTCTATTTCCTCCTGGGAGACAGGACTTTTGTTATTGACATACCCTATTAAAAGCTGACAAATCCAATCCTCACTAGATCGAAACTTTTGGCCAAAAGACTGAAGGTTTGAGGATAGGTTTTTTGGTCCAAATAAAACAGCAATATTTTATCGTTTGTTGCTTTTTCTTGTGTTTGGTCCTTTCATTATCCTTCCAGTATGTTAACATGAGACCTAGAGGGCTATCAGAGGGAATTTTATTGTCTGTCTTATCCTTCTTATTTCCTGTCCTGCTTGAGGTATTTCCCATTCTGGAAGTTTTAGGTGTTTCCCTGAGTTTCCTGAGTCTGTGTGGCTCAACCTCTTTTATGAGAGATTTCTTGCCCCCTTTTCCCTGAAGGTTCAACCCCTCCCCTGCCACTGGAGGTTTCTTGCACTCCCCTACTTTTGTTTCATCCTTCTCCGGCCACTTCCCTTATGGGAATTTGGGTCCCTCTTAGCATTGGCGGGTCGGTATAAGCCTCATGACAGGAAAGCTGCCCTAAGCCATATGAGGTGACCGTGGAACCACAGATCCGGACTGCACACTTGCTTTGCACTCAACTGTGCATCTTATTCACACACTTTCAACCTCCAGGATGTCCTGACCACCAAAGAAGTACTTCACCGCCCCCGCAGCTTTTCTTACCTTGGTGTGTGCAGAGGAGTTACCTGGTCGCCACAGTATTTGTAGGACTTTTCTTCCTTCATTGCTGAGAGTCCAGGTTTATTCGTCACACCAGGTGGGTCTTGATTCCTTATTCCTGAGGCCATTGCAATGAGGCAGCAGGACGCATCTCCTCATGAGAGGTGATCAGAGACCCTTCCCTAGAGGAGAATGGGATGCCAGATGAGCCCCCAAATAGTTGGAAATAAGAGCTCGGAGTTGCAAAGAAAATGAGCTCTCAAAAGACTTCTCAGCAAGGCAAATTTACTTCTGAGAAGGGTGCTGCCTGCAACAGTCATGATCGCAAGAGCACACTGAACAAAGGAGAAAAGTTTTTATCCCTAATGCAGCTTCTGTTTCTGTGTCCTTTCCCCATTGGCTGTAGTCGGACCACACAATGTAAGCTAACCCGATTGGCTAAAACTTGAAATTTTTCCAAATAGGGTAGATGGGGAAGAAGGGGTAGGAGTGGTAAAACTTTTCCAAACAGAGTAAACTGAAACATTTAAATGCGTAACTTGTTGTTTTTTTTTTGTTTTGTTTTTTGTTTTTTTTGAGACTGTCTCTGTTGCCCAGGCTGGAGTGCAGTGGCGCGATCTTGGGTCACTGCAACCTCCACCTCCTGGGTTCACGCCATTCTCCTGCCTCAGCCTCCCAAGTAGCTGGGACTACAGGTGCCCACCACCATGCCCGGCTAATTTTTTGTGTTTTTAGTAGAGACAGGGTTTCACTGTGTTAGCCAGGATGGTCTCAATCTCCTGACCTCATGATCCACCCGCCTTGGCCTCCCAAAGTGCTGGGATTACAAGCGTGAGCCACTGTGCCCAGCCTAAATGCGTAACTTGTAAAGAAAAGAAAGGAGGGGAGGGAGGGATTGTCCGTTAAGGCATGTTTGGGCATGTTTAGGCATGGCAAAGATGGAAAGGCTTGTTTAGAGAACAAGAATGTATCTTCTAGCAATGTGAAATGACATTAGTCGCTAAAAGAAACAAAGAAGTTTGAAGAGGAACTGACTGTTTCTGGCACCAGCTATTTGGGAGGCTGAGGCAGGAGAATTGCTTGAACCTGGGAGGCGGAGGTTGCAGTGAGCCAAGATCATGCCACTGCACTCCAGCCTGGGCGACAGAACAAGACTCTGTCTCAAAAAAAAAAAAAAAAAAAAAAAAAAAAAGAATTACAAGCCAGCACGGTGGCTCATGACTGTAAGCACTTTGGGAGGCCAAGGCAGGCAAATCACTTGAGGTCAGGAGTTTGAGACCAGCTTGCCCAACATGGTGAAACCCCATCTCTACTAAAAAAATATAAACATTAGCTGGACATGGTAGCATGCACCTGTAGTCCCAGCTACTCAGGAGGGTGAGGGTGCAGTGAGCTAAGATCATGCCACTGCACTCCAGCCTGGATGACCGAGTGAGACCCTGTCTAAACCTCGAAAGAATTACACCTTAAGTGATTCTCTTGGTTACCCTACAGTGCCATCACTTTTTGAGGATGAGCATTCACATAGACCTATATGCACTCATACACACAAAGTTCTTGCCAGTTCCAAGACTTGTGCTCTTTCTTGCTAAAGCACTACTCTAAGCTCTTAACTCTCACATGCAATGATGACCAAACCCCACACTCAACACTGAGTTCCTCAACCCTTTGAGCATTTCTCCTGACATGTAAGTAAGTCCTTAATTGTAGAAAATATTAAATGTCCTGCTTTAATTCAAATTTGGAAGGGTATCTGCATAGCGCTCACAGTCACCAGCATGCCAGGGCACCCTGGTTGAGAACCACTGACTGCTGTTTCACCAGAAATTACAGTGATAAATCTCTTGTTTTGTCAACTTCCCAGTCACAATTCCATATCTGCCCCTGTACCAGACTTCTTAAAACCCCACATATTTTGTGTCAACAGAAATGGCTGGAAACAAAGTCTTGAGCCAACTCTAGGATATCTGAAGTTCAGGTTGTTTAAAAGAATCCCACTAATTAACAAGCTAATCCACCATATATAGTGGAGTGACCCCAGGAAATATTAGACTGGTTTAATTCTATAATATTAAGACCCAACAATCTTGAGTATGAAGAGACAATTCCATTTACACAGGTGCTCGTGAAAAGCTTCCTACCAAGTGATATGTATTTTTTTTATTCCCGAACCCACCCCCCAAGTGATATTTTGTATGTAAGCCAACTTGGGGACAATGGAGGCAAGATGCTCTTATTTCACTGATGGCAAATGACCATCTTCCAGAGCCAGCAATCCATAGCTATGAAAGACCAAACCTTAATGCCAGTGGTTAAAAAGAAATCTTTATTTTACAAAATTAAAAACATAAATAGTATTTACAAGCATCTTAAATACCAGCTTATAATACTTGACATTTTCTAATCATTTCAAATTGAGTTTCCCATAAGCTTTTAAAATGCAAGACCATTCATTCACTTGAGTGAGTTACCAGTTTTTACTTCCACCAATCCAAAGTGGGTTTTGGTTTTTGAAATTGTCCATACTGTAGTCATTCAAAAAAATACAATATGCTTTTGAAATGACTAGCTTTAAAGAAAAAAGTCCTGAGCTTCCTACCCCAGTTGTGGGATATTACTCCAAAACAACTCAAGAACCCAAATTATCTTACTGCCTGATTAAATGTAACCACTCTAGCTTTTTAAAGACACATTCCTGTTACTCACATTAATCCATCTCCCTCACGTTTCAGGTTTGCTGGAAGGAAAAGTAGAGAAATAATGGAGTAGAGAAGTGGGAGAATCCAGATGACCATCTGAAATCACATTACTGAAAATACAACAGACATGACCCAAAAATCTGATCTTACTAGTTTCCTTCAGGATCAAATCCAGGATATTTTATTGTACAAAAATTTCAAATGATTTCAGATGATGCATATGTGACAGCAAACCTGAATGGCACAATGGAACACAGACTTAAAAGATGCTTCAGTGGTCAACACTCATTCTGGAGTTCTCATGAATGAAGGGTAGACAGATTCAGTAAAATTGTTTGCTTTTCAGTTTCATTATCTGGTCTTCAAATTTCAGCACAGAGCAATTCATTTCCATATAGTAATATGTAAAGAGAGACTACAAAAGTGTGAGGAAAGCAAATGTCCTCGAGAAGGGTCAGAAAAGGAAAGGAAGACTCAGTATCTACAACCCATTACCTAAGAACACCATTTTGTTCCATTTTCCCTGGAAGCCCTCACAGCTCAGCTGAGAATCAGAGTAAGAATCTTCATTATCAGAGATTAGCAACAAATTTAAAAGAAAAAGAATGACAACAGGTAAGAGTTATATACATTTTACTACTTTGTTTCAGACTTGTCCTGATATTTAAAAAGGTGTCAAATGAGCCATGGATGCTGGTGGCAGGAGGCAACCAGAGAGGAGAGGCTCGAGTATGAGGAATGGGGAAGACTTATTTACAAATTCAGAGCAAACTCCTCTCTTCTGGGTCTAAAATAAAAACATCTTTTGTCTTCAGTAAAACAAAAGTCTTTCTGCTCAATGCAGATGGTAGGTACAGTGTGCTCAAAAGAAGCATTTTCTCTTGGGGAAGATAAGTACACAGTCAGCACAGTAAGCACCACTCTGGGATCAGGCCCACCCTGCAGAGCCTGGCGCCATCACTGCTGCATGTTGTTGATAATCGCCAGGATGCTCATCTTCTCCTGGGCAGAGTCCACATCCTCATTCTGCTTCTGGGCCACTCCTGTGCCTAAGCCATAGAGCCGCCCACAGTACTTGGCATCATCAATGCTGTCCTCAAAAAACAACTGCAGAATGGGACAGAGAACCATGGTGAGAGTTATGCTAGAAGTCATGACAAGTATAAATATTATCACATCTGGCCGGGTGCAATGGCTCACGTCTGGAATCCAAGCACTTTGTGAGGCTGAGGCGGGCAGATCACTTGGGGTCAGGAGGTCGAGACCAGCCTGGCCAACATGGCAAAACCCCATCTCTACTAAAAGTACAAAAATGAGCCGGGCATGGTGGCACATACCTGTAATCCCAGCTACTTGGGAGGCTGAGGCGGAAGAATCACTTGCGCCCAGGAGGCAGAGGGTGCAGTGGGCCAAGGCCGTACCACTGCACTCCAGCCTGGGCAACATAGCGAAGACTCCATCTCAAAAAAGAAAAAAACCACTACCACATCACCACCTCCCAGCCTTCCTAAAGCCCTGAAAATATACCAAACTAGAAAAAAAAACTAATAGTATAGAAAGGCTCGGCCAGGCACAGTGGCTCACGCCTGTAATCCCAGCACTTTGGGGCGCCAAGGCAGGTGGATTACGAGGTCAGGAGTTCAAGACCAGCCTGGCCAAGATGGTGAAACCCTGTCTCTACTAAAAATACAAAAAATTAGCCAGGCGTGGTGGCAGGCACCTGTAATCCCAGCTACTTGGGAGGCTGAGGCAGAGAATTGTTTGAACCCGAGAGGCAGAGGTTGCAGTGAACTGAGATCACACCACTGCACCCCAGCCTGGGTGACAATGCAAGACTCCGTCTCGAAAGAAAAAGAAAAAGAGACAGGGTTTCACTCACTGCAACCTCCGCCTCCCAGGCTCAAGTGATTCCCTTGCCTCAGCCTCCCGAGTAGCTGGGATTACAGGTGCATGTCATCACACCTGACTAATTTTTGTACTTTTAATAGAGGCAGGTTTCACCATGTTGGCCAGGCTGGTCTCGAACTCCTGACCTCAAGTGATCCACTTGCCTCGGCCTCCCAAAGTGCTGGGATTACAGGTGTGAGCCACCGCACCCGGCCTAAACCTTTCCTTTTAATGCAGTCTTTTCATGCTCCTTTCTCTATAGGAGAAAGGCTCTCCTATCTGAACATACTTTCCATGTATTCTTTTACTGCCAGTATCTCTGTGCTGCTGCTGTTTAACACAACTGCTCCCTTCTCTTTAACAGGCAGAGCAATGGGCTGGGCTTGGGCTGTGGATTCAGCCGGACTCACTTGACCTTGGCAAAGTCATTTAAACTCCTTTTAAGCCATAGTTCCCTATCTATAAAACAGGATAATAGGGTTATTATGAGGAATGAGATAACGAACAGTAAGCACTTAACGCAAGATCTCTCCACTGTGGCACTACTGGGGTAGGATAATTATTTGGGGGAACTTGTCCAGTGTATCACAGGATGTTTAGCAGCATCCTGACAGGTAGCACACCACTCTCCCCCACCAGATTGTGACAACCAAAATCATCTACAGATATTAACAAATGTACCCTCCAGGGCAAAATCATCCCCAGTTGAGAATCACTGACCTAGAACATTTACCAACACATGGTAACAGTTGTTTATAATTAAGAGTAACAAAGAGGAAATGTACTCTCCCTCTCTACAATCTTAGTTCTAAAAAGGAGATCCATGTCTACAGATCAATTAATCTGATCCGGTCCTCAAAAGTGTCAACAAAATCAATATTTCAATTTTTCAAAGCAGCGTCTTACTCCTTCTACATCTTTGAATATATTTTAAAACCTGAGTCAGTGAGTAAAGAAACTAAAAGAAGAAATTAAGAGTCTAATTTTTACTAAGGGGTTATAGTAAATTCAATATAGTATTTATTTAATAATAATTAACAGAACTTACCATAATGTCAGTAGGTGGCCTAACAAATATATTTCTATTACAGGAATCAGAAAAAAAGCAAATAACTGAAAGGATTAGAGCTGACAAGAACATGAAGTTCTGGACTTGGGTGTGCTCAAGAATACTTGGTTACTGGAAAGTGGCTTTCACGTCAGAATGCTGCTTTTGCCTCTCAAACATGTGACATGCAGAATACCATAACAAAAAACAACCACTTTCAAAGTGGACATCAACTTGCTAAAAAAACAGTCTATGTGGCTGGGCGTGGTGGCTCACGCCTGTAATCCCAGCACTTTGGGAGACCAAGCCAGGCGGATCACCTGAGGTCAGGAGTTCGAGACCAGCCTGGCCAGCATAGTGAAACCCCGTGTCTACTAAAAATACAAAAAATTCGGCCAGGCAGAGTGGCTCATGCCTGTAATCCCAGCACTTTGGGAGACCAAGGCAGGCAGATCACCTGAGGTCAAGAGTTTGAAACCAGCCTGGCCAACATGGCGAAACCCTGTCTCTACTAAAAATACAAAAATTAGTAGGGCATGGTGGCGGGCACCTATAATCCCAGCTACTCAGGAGGCTGAGGCAGAAGAAAAGCTTGAACCCGGGAGGCGGAGGTTGCAGTGAGCTGAGATCGCACCACTGCACTCCAGCCTGGGTGACAGAGCAAGGCTTCATCTCAAAAAAAATAAATAATAAATAAATAAAAAATAAATGTTCAACAAACCTCAGCCCACATAACAGACCATCCACTACCTCCTTAGCCTTCAGCAAGTTACTGCCGAGAGGCCTGTGATCACATTCAAGGAAGCTTACCTCTTTCATCCTAAAGAAAGCCATTCCTGTCAGCAGTGAGTCTGAGCCTGCCTGGTGCTGCCTTCCAATCCTCTGCAAATCCAACTGATCAGCAACTTCCTGAAGACCTCCCTGGAGATGTATGGAGAACAAAGATAATATTACAAACCCAACATGCCCCTACTGGAGCCAACTAAGTGCAGTTATGAGTTCACTGAATTCTAGCAAGAAGTGGGGACAGGCCATTTATTTAACAGGCCTTAGTAACCTCTTTTTAGCTCTTTTATTCCCTTTTTCCAGACGCTATATTGTGCTACATCCTACATTTTGCTCCTTTCCATGTTGTTAATTTTTCCAGAACTCTGCCATTAAAATCAGAATTGCAAGGCTGAGGAAATAGTAAATCCCACTCTAATTCTAGACAGCAAAGCTCTATGTCAACAATTTATTACGGTACCAAGTTCTAAAACTTTCTAGAGTTAAGAACTCCTCTAAGAATCTGTTATACCACAGACCCCATCCCTAACAAACAGCATTTATACCTTTTCATTAGGTTCATGGCCCTCGAGTGAAGAATGCCTGCCTTAAGATGACAGAAGCAGAGGGTTCCCTTCATGGCCAGGTTAAAGATCGTTACCACACAAATATCTGACCAAATCAGCTTTATATTATACCCTGTCTACCACCACACTAGCATCTAGTACTCAAAAATGCATGCTGAACACGTAACAATAAAGCAAAGTCAGCTTTTTTTCTGTCCTTCTTTTTGTTACTGGTATTAAGAAAAACATCATATACCTTAAGATTTTTGCAGCTCTTCATCAGGTATTTCACATCATAAATGGATGGGAAGAAAAGGTTCAGAATATGAAAGAATTCATGTTCCTCTTCTGGCAAACGAGAATCTGTAAGCAACTTTACCATATAGCCAAAATCATAGCCACTACAAGAGAATAAACCACAGAGGTTAAAAAAGCAGTGGTTATCAGGCCCCAGTGTTCAACCATTTTATTTCTCAAAGCTTGTAAATGCTACTTCATGTTAGGAACTTTCACTTTTTCTGAGTAGTTTATCGTACTATAATCTGAATCTTTTTTTTTTTTTTTTTTTTTTGAGACAGAGTCTTACTCTGTTGCCCAGGCTGGAGTGCAATGGCACGATCTCGGCTCACTGCAACCTTCACCTCCCAGGTTCAAGCAATTATCCCTGCCTCAGCCTCCCAAGTAGCTGGGATTACAGGCACCCGTCACCATGCCTGGCTAATTTTTGTATTTTTAGTAAAGACAGGGTTTTGCCATGGTGGCCAGGCTGGTCTCGAACTCCTGACCTCAGGTGATCCACCTTTCTCAGCCTCCCAAAGTGCTGGGATTATAGATGTGAGCCACTGCGCCCGGCCTATAATCTGAACTTTCTAATAACAACCTAACAGACTAATATGGGAGATATAAAAAAGTACCCAAGGGGTTTAATTGTAGATTCGATTCACCAAAAATCCAAAAGTACTGAGAAGTTAAAATAAGGAGAATCTGGCTTTCAAGTACCTAAGAAACTCCGAGACAGCCATTTAAAAGATAACCAAGTACTGTGACCCTCTACACCCACCATATTCCCACTTGGAATTAAACCCACTGATAGCCACATGATAGAGCCAAATACTGTGTGAAACAAACCAGTATATGAGCCCCAGTGTTTTGTGAAAAACTGAAACATGGGCAACAAGCACCAATTCAACTTCTGGCTGCTGCTGCTGAACAGAACAGTCACTAGGACTGCAAAAATGACTAAGAATTCAATTCCCTGCTTCAGTGTAGCCCAAAGTGAGAGAGAAATACACATTCCCTAGGACTGACCTATGAAATGAAAGCCATTTGACATTGTCACAGAGAACCACTCCTGATGTCATAAGCAGCTCTGCAAAGTGCAGTGTGTCAATCCCTTCCTCTTCATGCTTCTGAAACTGTAGTCCTGAGTTAGCAAGGAGATCTATGGAATCCTGGGAGTACATGTCCTCTCTAAAAAACAAGGTGTTTATTTATTAACTGGTGAATAATGAAACAGAAGTAGTGGCCACACTATTACCACCACCTTATAATTATAGTACAAGTATTTTTGAAATGCTTTTCCTAACTTAATAGATCAATTCACTCTTTCCAACATTCAAACAAGCATGCAAAGTAGATCATATTTCTGTGACAGATAGAAAAATGAGATTTTCCTCCATAAACTAAATTTCCTAATTATAATAGGTATACATTTGCTCATTATTTAAAAAAAAAAAAAAACCAATAACACCAGGCACAGTGGTGCACGCCTGTAATCCCAGCACTCTGGAAGGCCAAGGCAGGAAGATCACTTCAGACCAGGAGTTCCAGACCAGCCTGGGTGACAGAGTGAGACTCCGTCTCAAAAAAAACAAAACAAACAAAAAAAAAACAACACACACACACACACACAAACAAAGATTAGCCAGGCATGGTGGTATGCACCTGTAGTTCTAACTACTCCGGAGGCTGAGGTGAGAGGATTGTTTGAGGCCAAGAACTGGAGGGGACTCACACCACTGCACTCTAGTCTAGGTGACAGAGCAAGATCCTGTCTCAAAAATAAAATAAGTAGGCCGGGCATGGTGGCTCACACCTGTAATACCAGCACTTTGGGAGGCTGAGACAGGCAGATCACTTGAGGCCCAGAGTTCAAACCAGCCTGGCCAACATGGTGAAACCCTGTCTCTACCAAAAATACAAAAATTAGGCCAGGCGTGGTGGCTCATGCCTGTAATCCCAGAAATTTGGGAGGCCAAGGTGGGCGGATCACGAGGTCAAGAGATCAAGACCATCCTGGCCAACGTGGTGAAACCCTCTCTCTACTAAAAACACAAAAATTAGCTGGGCGTGGTGGCGCACGCCTGTAATCCCAGCTACTTGGGAGCCTGAGGCAGCAGACTCACTTGAATCTGGGAGGCAGAGGTTGTAGTGAGCCAAGCTCGCGCCACTGCGCTCCAGCCTGATGACAGAGCGAGACTCCCTCTCAAAAAAAAAAAAAAAAACACAAAAAAACAAAAATTAGCCGGACGTGGTGGCATGCCCCTGAATCCCAGCTACTCAGGAAGTTGAGGCATGAGAATCACTTGAACCCAGGAGGCAAAGGCTGCAGTGAGCCAAGATGGCGCCACTGTACTCCAGCCTAGGAGACAGAACAAGACTCTGTCTCAAAAAAATAAATAAACTTAAAAAAAAAAAAAAAAAAACCAACAAGGCCGGGTGGGGTGGCTCACGCCTGTAATCCCAGCACTTTGGGAGGCTGAGGTGGGTGGATCACCTGAGGTCGGGAGTTCGAGACCAGCCTGACCAACATGGAGAAACCCCATCTCTACTAAAAATACAAAATTAGCAGGGCGTGGTGGCACATGCCTGTAATCCCAGCTACTCAGGATGCTGAGGTTGGAGAATCGCTTGAACCTGGGAGGCAGAGGTTGCAGTGAGCTGAGAAAGCGCCATCACACTCCAGCCTGGGCAACAGGAGCGAAACTCTATCTCAAAAAAAAAAAATAAACCAACAAAAAAATATTGAGGCACAGATGGTGGGCAGCCAGCTAAGATGACCTGACGCGCCTTCCAGCTGATTCAGGCTGCTTGCCTCAGACTCAGACACCGCCACCATGGCCAGTGAGTCTCAGGGGATCCAGCAGCTGCTGCAGGCTGAGAAATGTGCCACTGAGAAGGT
Organism: Homo sapiens; assembly: GCF_000001405.40. Classification (NCBI taxonomy): domain Eukaryota; kingdom Metazoa; phylum Chordata; class Mammalia; order Primates; family Hominidae; genus Homo; species Homo sapiens. Next base: position 154,868,949 of record NC_000005.10, on the reverse strand, counting down.
ATCCAAGGCCCATGAGCAAAAGACCCAGAGGCTGAAGTAGATCAAAGGAGCAGCTAAGGATGAAACTTAACAGTACCACCTGCAGAGGGAGGAAGTGGTCCAGGCCAAGGAAGCCACAGCCCTGGAATCCCAGTAGCTGCAGCACTCAAGTGGCGTAGGAAGCCCAGAAGAGGACCAGCCTCCAGACCTACTTCTGGCAGAACAAGGCTTGGATAGCCTCTTGGCCACCGTCTGTGACACTGAGCAGAAATCCATGAAAACTACAGCATAAATGGAAAGGAGTGGGAGAAAGAAGTGCCTGTTCCATGAACTGGCGTTTTAGATGCCCTCAGGGAACATAAAGCTTTGGCAAAGCTCAAGTTATATTCTTATGAAGTAAATAGGTCGGGTGCGGTGGCTCACAACTGTATGTAATCCCAGCACTTTGGGAGACCAGAGTGGGTGGATCACGAGGGTCAGGAGTTAAAGACAAGCCTGGCCAAGATGGTGAAACCCCGTCTTTACTAAAAATACAAAAGTTAGCCAGGCATGGTGGGCACCTGTAATCCCAGCTACTTAGGAGGCTGAGGCAGAGAATTGCTTGAACCTGGGAGGTGGAGGTTGCAGTGAGCCGAGATTGCACCACTGCACTCCTGCCTGGGTGACAAAGCAAGACATTACCTCAAAAAAAAAAAAAAAAAAGAAAAGAAAAGAAAAAGAAAAGGCAGTAAATAGGTGGGGCATGGTGGCTCATGCCTGTAATCCCAGCACTCTGGGAGGCCAAGGCGGGCGGATCACAAGGTCAGGAGTTCGAGACCAGCCTGGCCAACATGGTGAAACCCCGTCTCTACTAGAAAAATACAAAAATTATCCAGGCATGGTGGTGGGCGCCTGTAATCCCAGCTACTCGGGAGGCTGAGGCAGGAGAACTGCTTAAACCCGGGAGGCAGACGTTGCAGTGAGCTGAGATTGTGCCACTGCACTCCAGCCTGGGTGACAGAGCAAGACTCTGTTTCAAAAAAAAAGAAAAGGAAAGGAAGTAAATGATTTCTGTATATTACATAGCAGGTCCCTTCACTTCTTGGAGAGTAGCAAATCTAGCTTCTTTGTACAGACTTACAACTTAACTAAAGCTTTTATATTTTAAAAAAGACATTAAAAATTTTTTTTCTCTTTACCTCGTATTTCCTAGAAATGTAATGGGTATGTGTTGTCTGTTCTCCTATGTCTTTTAGCTCAAGCAACACATGTATTATTGTTGACTTTTTCTTTCTTATATCTAGTGAAAGGAAAAAAGTTCTTTGAAGAAAGAAAGAAATTAAGTTTTCTTTTTCCCTAATGCTTCCATGAAGGTCAGGGGCTTTATCTATGAAAAAGTAGCAAATAGTTATTTGTAACCCACGTGAAGCAACAGCCAGCCTTAAAGTAGTCTATTCCTGCTAATGGTTCAAACAATGAATACTAGTGTAATTGTTTGAGCTACTTGTAGTTTCTCTTAATCAAAATTACTAGATGACAGAATTAAATAACTTGTAACATGTTATTACTTGGTATACAGATGATTATCTAAAAGACTCTGTCATGAAAAAAACTGAAAAAATTAATGGTCGTATAATGCTACCCCACAGATCCAATACCTTTGTTTACAGATCTTTCCAGACTATTTTCTCTATCTACACATACACACCTACATCCCTTACATCTCTACATCACAGACCATCTTTACAAATCAATACTCATCCATTGTAACACTGTCATAATATTCCACTCTAAAGATATATCCATTAATTCAACCACAGGAATTATTTATAATACCATGTAATACAAAAGTAAGGAAATAAGCTAAACGACTCCTGTTCCACTAGACTTTCACTTGCTTTTCATATAAACTTGGGTTAGACAATAAGAAAACCACTGCAATCTTGATTTTTTTCCACTAAATTAAAACCAATGATGAATCACAAGTTTCTTTTCCACTTAAATAAACATTTTTTTTTTGTTTTGCTTATTATAACTAGGCTTCAATCCCAAGTAAACATTATTTTTTTTCTTTTTCTTGAGGCAGAGTCTCATTCTGTCACCTAGGCTGGAGTGCAGTGGCACAATCTCGACTCACTGCAGCCTCCACCTCACAGGTTCAAGTGATCCTCCCACCTCAGCCTCCTGAGTAGCTGGGATTACAGGCACCTGCCAGCATACCCAGCTAATTTTTTTATTTTTAGTAGAGATGGGGTTTCACCACATTGGCCAGGCTGGTCTTGAACTCCTGGCCTCAAGTGATCCAGTGATCCACCCACCTCGGCCTCCCAGAGTGCTGGAGTTACAGGCGTGAGCCACCACGCCCGGCTGCAAGTAAACATTATTTTAAACCCAAACATACCCAAACCACTCAGTGAAATAACTCATTTTTCTTCCTTGTATTATATTATTTTTATGGTACAAACTACAGGCTTTGACAATAAACTAAAAAATGCAGTTAAAGGAAAGATCCAGATGATCTCCCAAAATTACTTGAACCTCAAGGAAATTTCCAAAACATACGAACAACAATAAAAAAAATTACTCCTTCCAGGAACAATGGCTCCACCTGTAATCCCAACACTCTGGGAGGCCAAAGCGGGCTGATCACTTTCTACAAAAAATCAGCTGGGCATGGTGGCGTGCACCTGTAGTCCCAGCTACTTAGGGGGCTGACGTGGGAGGATCAGATAAGCCTGGGAGATTGAGGCTGCAGTAAGCCATGTTAGCACCACTGCACTCTAGCCTGGGTGACAAAGCGAGACCCTGTATTGACAGGAAAAAAAGATTACTCCTAAATCATGAAACACTCCCGATGCCCAGTTAAACAAAGCAGGATACAATAGGAAGTACACTAACATCATTTTATGCAATCAGCAAAATGACAGTCTCCCCGAAATTTTCTTTGAAAATTCCTGGGCATACATCCAAAAGAACTGAAGGCAAGACCTTGAAGAAATATTTGCACACCCATGTTCATAGCAGCAATATTCACAACAGTCAAGAGGTAGAAAAAACCCACGTGTCTATCAACAGATGAATAAACAAAATGCGGTATATACATACCATGGAATTTTCCACTGCCTAGGAGTGGAATTGCTAGGTCATATGGCAACTCTATGTTTAACCTTTTCAGGAACTGCAAAACTATTTTCCAGAATTTCCCCCAAAATTCTATATTCCCAGCAGCAATGTATGAGGGTTCCAATTTTCTCCACACCCTCAACAACACTTATTATGTCTTTTTGACTATAGCCATTCTAGTGGGTGTGAAGTGGTATCCCAATGTGGGTTTAATTTGCATTTCCCTCATGACTAATGATGTTGAGCATCTTTTCATGTGCTTACTGGCCATCTGTACATTATCTTTCAAGAAAAGTCTATCTTTTGCACATTTTTAGTTGGGTTGTTTATCTTTTCATTGTTGAGCTGCTGCAGTTCTTTAAGCAGGACTTCACTTGCTGAGATTCCCTGTTCCGTCCTCTGCTTGACCGCTCTATCCAACACCCACCTGGATTCAGTGAAAACAAAACTTAAAATTAACGCATTTATTTAGAAATCACTTACGTAAGGTTAAATTTGAAATTGAACTGCCAAGTATTGATTCCAGAAGGATACTCTCCCTTCTCATTTGTGAATGTAAGGCCCAGCTGGATAATTTTTAAAAGGTCAACATTGCACCGCAGAAGCTGATATTGGTAATCTATGGAACTACGAAATTCACCAATTGGTCGCACCACAACACCTGGAAATTCTGTGTCCTGGAAAAGGAAAAAGTCTCTCATCACAAGGTTTCACAAAACAGTGGATGCTGAATTGGTAATTCATAAATAAAATTTTACCTCCATTTATAAAAGTTATGTGGCAAGCCCCAAACTTGGGCACAAAATTCTTTTTGTGTTTTTTTGAGATAGGGTTGGTCTGTCTCTGTCACCCAGGCTGGAGGGCAGTGGCACAATCACAGCTCACTACAGCCTCAACCTCACAGGTGCAATCAATCCTCCCACCTCAGCCTCCCTAAGTAGCTGGAACTACAGGTGCACACCACCACACCCAGTTAATTATTGTATTTTTTTGTAGAGATGGGGTTTCACCATGTTGCCCAGGCTGGTCTCAAGTGATCCACCTGCCTCGGCCTCCCAAAGTGCACAGATTACAGGCATCAGCCAACACACCCAGCCAAAATCCTATCTTAAAATACTGATCTTGTTGGTATCTACTGAAGAAGCACTAAAATCATGAAGCTTTGCACAACAACTTGATCCTAAATAAGCAGAATGTCAATAGAAAGAGTTGAGTAACTACAGGTAGATATGCAGTCAATTAAGAACATTCTAGGTAGAGAACAATATATGAATAAAAATACAAATACAGGGAAGTGAAACAGCCATTCAGAAAAAAATATAAAGAGACAGGCTTAGCTTGAGTGAAAAGACTGGAAGGAGCTCTGAATACCAAGCTAAAGACTTAACTCTGTAATTTCTTTTTTTTTTTTGGGACGGAGTCTCGCTCTGTCCCCCAAGCTGGAGTGCAGTGGCACGATCTCGGCTCACTGCAAGCTCTGCCTCCCGGGTTCACGCATTCTCTGCCTCAGCCTCCCGAGTAGCTGGGACTACAGGCGCCCACCACCATGCCCGGCTAATTTTTTGTATTTTTAGTAGAGGCAGGGTTTCACCGTGTTAGCCAGGATGGTCTCAATCTCCTGACCTCGTGATCCGCCCGTCTCGGCCTCCCAAAGTGCTGGGATTACAGGCGTGAGCCACCGCGCCCGGCCAACTCTATAATTTCTAAAGCAGGAGTCACAAACTCCAAGCAGCTAATGTAAAGGAGTAAAGTCAGCTAGGTATGAAAATAGTACAAGTAATCGGGACTGGAGTAAAACAGAGAGCACATGCCCGTCTACAGGAGGCCCTTAATATTACCACAATACTCATCTCTCTCTCCAGCCAGTGTCAGGCAGGAGTGGATAACAGATATTGCCAGATCTTCCTATTTTTTTTTTTCAGAGATGCCAGAAATCTGGAATTCAAGTGAGTTCTATTGACTTTTAAATGCTGGCAATAAATTTTTAAAATTCTTAACATCGTATAGTCAAATCCAACATATCTGTGGAACAGCTGGGCCCTAGGGGATGACGTAACTTCTGCTTTAAAGACTTTCAAACAGAATAATGTTATAAAAAATCTAAGATACTAGAGGTTACATCCTTCTCAGAGACACTGGCTACCTTGATATTTCATGAAGCAACACAACCTTCCATCCGGTTTAATTTACAATGGCTTTAGTGGAACATACCCATTCTTTTCAAAATCTCAAATTAAACATTCCCTAAACCCATCCATATAAGAAGGTGAGTCAAGCTGGGCATAGTGGTATGAGCCTGCAGTCCCAGCAACCTGGAAAGGTGAGGTGGGAGGACTGCTTGAGCCCAGGAGTTCAAGGCTGCAGTGAGCTATGATTGCATCTGTGAATAGCCACCGCACTCCAGCCTGGGCAACAGAGCAAGACCCCAACTTTAAAAGTGACAAAGAAGGTGAGTCAGAGTAGAGCTCCTTACCATGGCAATATAACTGTAACTGAGCACGATTTCTCGGATCTTCCTCATCTCTTCTTCTAGATTACTGGCCCACACTTCACAGATAACCTGGCTATTCTCCACAAGTGCTGCAGGCATCCTGAAGAAACCTGAGAAGTCGTCTTCAGCTAACTAGTTTTACAGTGCAAGCCAGACAATGTTTGGTCTGATCTAGATTGTAAAACATTTTAAAATCATGTAAGTTTACACACACATAAGATGTCAACACAACAAAGACATCAAAATAATATTTTACAATCACTTCATTAGTTTAAAACATTAAGATTATATTTATTCTCCATTTTATATGATGGAGAAACTTTGTCAACACACACACACACATGCACACACGCACACACACACAGTTCTTTCTTGAAGAAACTGAAGTTATTGAAACTTCTGCCCAGCAGTCCTCTGCCACAGAAGTGAAACCACTACCCTAGTTTTTCAGCTCTCTGTAGACTAGACCAAAATAATTCCGTTACCACAAATATGCCCTTATCCATGACTTTCACATCACTTTGCACAGAGACCAAATCATGGAAACAGTCCTACAGGAATCATCTTAGCCATTTTCAATGTACCTGAGATCTCTGAAAACCTGAAAGAATGTGGACCTAAACTCTCACACTCAAGCCTTTGTACCCATATGATGAATACTGGCATGGGATTCTTCCCCCATCCCACAAAAGGAAATTATTTTTCTCTACAATCCCAAAGTCAAATACAACTAGAGGTAATAAACAATACCAGTGCCTCTTTAGACATACCAGTGCCTCTTTAGATTTGTGCAAACAGAGCATGAAGTGAGGGATTTAAGTGCTAAAAAACAATCCCACTTGCTAATCTGAACCCTAAAAACCACAATGCAAATCAGAATTTTAGTTAGTATTTACTTTTTTTTTTTTGAGATGGAGTCTTGCTCTGTCGCCCAGGCTAGAGTGCAGTGGTGCACTCTTGGCTCACTGCAACCTTTGCCTCCTGGGTGCAAGCAATTCTCCTGCCTCAGCCACCCAAGTAGCTGGGACTATAGGTGCACGCCACCACGCCCAGCTATTTTTTGTATTTTAGTAGAGATGGGGTTTCACCATATTGGTCAGGCTAGTCTTGAACCCCTGACCTTGTGATCCACCGGCCAGTATTTACTTTTAAACACATAAATTAAAAAGAAACTATGCAGCAATTCAACAGTAGGACTAAAGATGGCTGGTGTAAATCATTCAACCAGAAACAGAATGATTCATGGTGTATTTTCCAGGAGAAAAATCAGGGAGGGGAAAGTATTCTGTGAGAAAAAAATTCAACATGATTGGGTCTCTGACGAATGCTGTTATTATTATGGCAAACAACGTACAAGGCCTGGTTATAAAAATACAAAAAAGCCGGGCATGGTGGCTCACGCCTATAATCTCAGCACTTTGGAAGGCCGAGGCGGGCGGATCACAAGGTCAGGAGATAGAGACCATCCTGGCTAACACGGTGAAACTCCGTCTCTACTAAAAATACAAAACGTTGGCTGGCTGTGGTGGCACGCGCCTGCAGTCCCAGCTACTCGGGAGGCTGAGGCAGCAGAATCGCTTGAACCCAGGAGGCAGAGGTTGCAGTGAGCCAAGATCGCGCCACCGCACTCCAGCCTGGGCGACAGAGCGAGACTCCGTCTCAAAAACAAACAAACAAACAAAAAAGAGCTTATCATAAAGGCACTTACTTCTAAGGCAAGCCCACTGCATGGATCCACAACACAATAGTGGGCTCTAATGTATATATTTAAAGAAAATTTCCTAGAAACAGTAAAACGAATGTAAGTGGTTCCCAAGGGACAGAGCAAGGAAAATCTTTGCTTCCTATTTTCAAGATTGGCAGATGCAACAATGAGAATCTGGAGCAAAACAAAACTGGCATCATTTCTCTAAGAAACTTCTGAGAAATCAAACTGTTGGTTTGCCAGCAAACCTTGAAGATTCCATTTATTCAAGGTATCCTATACTTCCACAGATTTTTCTCTGTAATTACAGTAATTAAACTTAAGTAGACTATGTGGCATCTCCCCCAAAAAACATAGTAGAAACTTCTTAAAGCCAGAATAAATTTCTTCTCTTGTTTTTGTTCTATTACAGGCTTGCAAAAGAACAATAAAGATCAGGAAAAGAGAGAAGTTCAGAATGAATGTGGAGTAAATTACACTATCTGACCATAATTCAGAAAATGTTTCGACTCAGAATTTTAGATTCCTAAACTTGCTTAAGATTTCTCCCCTGCAAAAGGCCTTAAAACCATTTTCTATACCCATATAATGTTAAATCGGTGGTACTTCCTTATTTCCCTAACTGAAATAATACCCTTCATTTTTGGTGTCATTTCAAACATAACCATAACTACTTTGGAGGAAGTGGGTGTATCACTCCTGAGTTTTTGAGAGATGTTTCCGTAAAAGCAAAAGCAACAACAACAAAAAACCCCACACAACCAAAAGACGCCTTTAACTTCCATTTAAAAGAGAATTGGTTTTTAAAAAGCTAACCACTGTTATACATATCTGGCATATATATGGGGACTGCCGAAGCCAGACAGTTGGCAAAAATATGTAAGCCATTTTTGCTCCAAAGTTAGCTAGGATCTGTGGGGAAGTAAACAATAGCTTGCAAGCCCCTGAATGTAGTGCCACTCAAAAATTAAAGAGGAATCGCACTATGCACATTTAATTTAGCAAGTCAAATTACTGCATATGCTGGCCAAAAAATAAAATAAAATAGCAACTTAAATACCAGCAGGATAAGGGCAGTGGCTCACACCTGTAATCCCAGCACTTTTGAGAGGCTGAGACTGCAGAATCACTTGAGCCAGGAGTTCGAGACCAGCCTGGGCAACAAAGTGAGACCCCGTCTCTACAAAAAGTACAAAAACTTAGCCAGGCATGGTAGTGTGTGCCTGCAGTCCCAGCTACTCAGGAGACTGAGCTGGGAGGATCACTTGAGCCCCAGGAAGTCAAGGCTGCAGCAGTGAGCTGTGATTACGCCACTGCATTCCAGCCTCAGCGACTGAGCAAGAGCACGTCTCAAAAAAATCATCATCATCATCATCATCATACCAGCAATTCTGCCTGCCACTTTCCACTTTGTAAGCACATGCTCCAAAATGAGCCTAAGATAGGGGTTTGTCTTCCTCCTTTTAAGCCTCCTCAGGGCAAGCATCTCACAGCGCATCACAACTCTATGGCTTTCAAATATGCTTATTTGCACAACACAGCCCCTAAAGGTAATCTAATTACTTATCTGGGTTACAACCAAAGCAACAGTAACAAGTTTCAAAACTGAAGGAAAAACCGTCCAGGATGTAGTCAGAAACAGGATGCTAATCTCAAGCGTTGCACCTTCCTAGGAATTTTTAAGGGTTAATTTTTATTACATACAATGTTTGCCTCACGGGCTGACTTAAAAACTTGACTCCCACATGAGCTACACAGAAAACTGTGCAAGAAGGAAAGGTTTTCACAAACACACTCACACCTATGAATTACTGAAGTCCCTGCTCTGTGTTGACCTGCAGTGCAGTATGTTCAGATCGCTCCCGTTCATCTACGGTGTAAACTTCTCCAAAACATAGCTTCTTATTTACACAGGAAAGCTCTGAAGGGCAACTAATGATAAAGCCACAGGAAAGTTTTCTCTGCAAGCAATCAAGGCCTTGCTCGGGAAAAGAAACGTTGAGTCTGATTTTGTTCGTTTAAGCCCAAGTGTACAAGGAAACAATAAACATCACTTCCTTATTCTAGAGGACTGAACAAAGGCTTTGCCGTGCATAGATATGATAGAAAAGGAAGTGGCACGTTTGAAGAAATAAATAGCAGCAGCGTTTAAGAGGATCCTCTGACCCTCCCTTACCTCCAAACAGTGTCTCAAGGCACTGCCCTGGATTGAACCGCAGTTCAAACTTCTTAAAACCACCCGAATGGCCCAGGTCTGTGAGTTGGCTCCTCCATTCATAAAGCCATAGAACACCAAGAAAA